>NC_000010.11:37617059-37921342 GCF_000001405.40 Homo sapiens | reverse complement strand
TCCATATGAATTTTAAAACAGTTTTTTAAGTTCTTTGAAGAATGTCATTGGCAGTTTGATATGAATATCCATGAGCACAGAATGTTTTTTCCATTTGTTTGTTTCTTTGAGCAGTGTGTTGTAATTCTCATTTTAGAGATCTTTGACCTCCTTGGTTAGCTCTATTTCTAGGTGGTTTTTTTGTTTGTTTGTTTGTTTGTTTGTTTTAGACAGAGTCTCACACTGTCACCCAGGCTGGAGTGCAATGGTGTGGTCTTGGCTCACTGCAACCTCTACCTCCCAGGTTCAAGTGATTCTCCTGCCCCAGCCTCCCAAGTAGCTGGGACTACAGGCGCGCACCACCACACCTGGCTAATTTTTGTATTTTTATTAGAGAAGGGGTTTCACGATGTTGGCCAGGCTGGTCTCAAACTCCTGACCTCGTGATCCACCCACTTGGCCTCCCAAAAAGTGCTGGGATTACTGGCGTGAGCCACTGCACCCAGCCCCTAGGTATTCTTTTTGTGGCTCTTGTGAATAGGATTGCATTATTGATTTGGCCCTCAGGTTGGATGCTTGAATGTTGTGTTGAATATCTACCATGTTTCTTTTTTCTTTTCTTTTTTTTTTTGAGACAGAGTCTCCCTCTGTCGCCCAGGAAGGAGTGCAGTGGCATGACCTCAGCTCATTGCAAACTCTGCCTCCCAGGTTCAAGTGATTTTCCTGCCTAAGCCTCTCGAGTAGCTGGGATTACAGGAGCCCACCACTAAGCTCAGCTAATTTTTGTATTTTTAGTAGAGATGGGGTTTCACCACCTTGGCCAGGCTGGTCTCAAACTCCTGACTTCAGACCTCCCAAAATGCTGAGATTACAGGTGTGAGCCACCATGCCCAGCCTGACAGTGGCTGTATTATTTTGCATTCTCATTAGCAATGAGTGAGAGTTCTTGTTGTTCTACATCCTCAAAAGCATTTGGTTTTATTAGGGTTTTGGACATTGGCCATTATGTTTGTAGTGGTATGTTATTGTTTTTGTTTGCAATTCCCTAGGGACACATGATGTTGAGCATCTTTTCATATGCTCATTTGCCTTCTATATATCTTCTGTGGTGATGTGTCTGATCAGCTCTTTTGCCCAGTTTTTAACAATTTTGCTTGGTTTTTACTGTTGAGTTTTGAGTTCTGTGTATATTCTGGATAACCATCCTTAATCAAACATGTATTTTGCCAATATTTTTTCCAAATCTATGGCTTTTCTATCTCTTCATATACATTCAAAAATTTTTTGAAATAAATTCAAATGTTGTCCTAGAGTTTGCAACATACAGTGTAAACTAATTCAAGACCACTTTCAAGCAACACTATATAATGCTTCACAGGCAGTGCATGTAGGTACTTCGTAACAGAGTGATATGGTTTGGCTGTGTTCCCACCCAAATGTCATCTTGAATTGTAGTTCCCATAATCCCCACGTGTCATGGGAGGGACCCAGTGGGAGGTAATTTAATTATGGGGGCAGTTACCCTTATGCTATTCTCATGATAGTGACTTCTCATGAGATCTGATGGTTTTATAAGGGTCTTTTTCCCGTTTTGCTTGGCATGTCTCGTTGCTGCCACCATGTGAAGAAGGATGTTGTTTGCTTCCCCTTCCACCATAATTGTAAGTTTCCTGAGGCCTCCCCAGCCATGCTGAACTGTGAGCCAATTAAACCTCTTTCCTTTATAAATTACTCAGTCTTGGGTATGTCTTTATTAGCAGTGTGATAATGAACTAATACACAGAGTATCCCAACCTGTTCTCTTTCATCCCCTATAACGCTGCAGTCATTAATTTCATTTATCCATTAGCTATAATCACAAAATGCACTTGAACTGCTGTTAGATCAGAATAAGAAAAATAAAACATATTATTAGACTATTATTTATTCCTTCTCTAACTCTCTTCCTTTATGTATATCTGAGTTTCAACCCCATACCATGTTCCTTCTCCTGGAAGAGCTTCTTTTACAAGATAGGTCTACTAATGACAATCTCCTTCAATTTTGTTTATTTGAGAGTCTTTATTTCACCTTCACCAGTAAAAGATAATTTCACTGGATACAGAATTCTAGACTGGTTTTCTTTCGCCCTTTTAAATATTTCACTCCACTCTCTTCTGCTTGAATAGTTTTTGAAGCAAATTACAATGTAATTATTATCCTTACTTTTCTATGGGTAAGTTGTTACCACCCCCACCCCCACTGGCTTCTTTCAGTGCTTTCTCTTTATCTTAGAATTTTCTGTAGTTTGAATATGATAGGCCTAGGTGTGGGTTTTTTGGTGTGTCCTACTTGGTGTTCTCTGAGCTTTCTGGATGTGTGGTTTATGTTTGTCACTAATGTTGGAAAATTCTCACTCATTATTATTCCTTCAGTTCCTTTTTTCTTCCTCTGTTATTTCCAATTTACATGTGTTACACGTTTTGTAATTGTCCCATAGCTCTTACGTTTTTCAAATTTTCATTCTTTCTCTTTGATCATCAGCTTTGAAAGTTCCTAGTGACATCTCCATGTTCACTGATTATTTCCTCAGCTATGTTTTATCTACTGTCTTCATTTCTGTTAGAGTGTTTTTTATTTCTACCATTTCCTTTTTGTTCTTTTAGTTTCTAAGCCTTTGTTTATATTACCCATCTATTCCTGCATGTTGTCCACTTTCTCCATCAGAGTTCTAAGTATACTAATCACATAAACTTTAAATTCTTGCTCCAATAATTCCACAACCTCTTCCATATCTAAATTGAGATCTGATGCTTTCTAGTTAGAGGGTTTTGCTTTTTTTTTTTTTTTTTTTTTTGTCTCTTAGCATGCCTTTGATTTTGTTGTTGTTGTTATTGAAAGCCAGAAATGATATATTGGGTAAAAGGGATAGATGGATATGGGCCTTTAGTGTAAAGTTTCATTTAAACAAATTTTTTTAATCTTTGTTTTTAAAATTATTCCTGAAACATCAAAGTTTCATTTTATCTGGCTAGGAGTTGGGCTGCATTTACTGTTTGCTGTAGCTGTGGTGTCAGAAGCTAACATTTCCTCTAGTGTTCTTATTTTTATCTTCCCTGTCATCCCTGTGTTTCCCTATTCCTTCTTAAGGCCTGAGGCTTGCAGTTCTTTTACCCATAACTCCATTATTATACAGGCAGCCGATTGGTGTGTGTTAAGGTGTGAGGTGAGGGGAAACGTTCTATACTGATATCATTGGGTCTCAGTCTTTTACTGAGCATCTGTCCTTGTAGCTGATGTGGAAAATAGTTTGGTAGTTTCTCAAAAAGTTAAACATAGAATTACCTTATTGAGAGGTAAAAGTTACGTGGTTAGGGTGGGTCCTTGGTAAAACTCATTTTGTTTTGTTTTGTTTTTAGATTGAGTCTCGCTCTATTGCCCAGGCTGGAGTGCAGTGGCACAATCTTGGCTCACTACTACAACCTCTGCCTCCCAGGTTAAAGCGATGCTCCTGCCTCAGCCTCCTGAGCAGCTGGGATTACAGGTGCCCACCACCACGCCCCGCTAATTTTGGTATTTTTAGTAGAGACAGGGTTTCACCATGTTGGCCAGGCTGATCTTGAACTCTTGACCTCAAGTGATCCGTCCAACTCAGCCTCCCAAAGTACTGGTATTACAGGCGTGAACCACCGTGCCCGGCCAGTAAAACTTTTTAAAGGAGAAACAGCCTGAGAAATCAGGCTGCCGGCACAGGTAAGGAAACTTGCACAAATCTCCAGCCCACTCAGATGAAGGAACTTGTTCCCAACACAGAAACGCCTTTGTTGTTTGTGCCTAAAGACATGCCCACAGCTATCTTGGTAAGAGAACGAGACCTAAAACATAGAAATGCCTTTGTCCTTTGTATAACCAGTGGGCTTCCAGGAAATAGTCTCTTCGTTTTTGGGCATGTACACAGTGGGTTCCGGTGGGCACTTTCCTTTCCTTTTCTGGACATGCTTTGGATTGTGAGCCGAGCCACTGTGAACCATCACTTCAGCCTCTGATTTGTCCCAGGCCAAGCTTTCCCTTCCGCTCCTGATTGGTCCCAGGCCAAGCTGAGTAGCGCTCTCTTCAAGACTACTTAGCATGTCCTTTCCCTTCCCAGTCCATAAAAACCCCAGCCCCCAGCCTCACAGTGGGCAACCCACTCGGGCCCCCCTCTTTGCTGCAGAGAGCTTTCTTCTTTCACTTATTAAACTTTCTCTCCAACCTCTCCCTTTGGGTCCATGCTCCTTAATTTTCTTGGCCCCTGGGTGATACCTCATAATGAGAGACTGCTACATTGTGGTGTATTGGTAAGACAGCAACATTATGAGGCAGCAATTCCACTCCTGGTTAAAAATAAATGTTCGCACAACAACTTGCAACATAAATGTTCATAGCAACATTATTCATAATAGCCAAAAAGCAGAAAGAGCTCAAGTGTCCATGAACTGAAAAATAAACAAACTGACATATCCATAAAATAAAATGTAATTCAGCCATAAAAGGAACTAACTAGCATTTCTCTCAAATGCTAAAGAATGTTTCTTAGAAACATCATGCTAAGTGAAAGAAGCCAGAAACAAATAGCCACATAGTATATGATTCCATTTATATAAAATTTCCACATTAGGCAACTCCATAGAAATACAAAGTAGACGTAGCAGTTGTCAAGAATAAGGGTGAGGAAATAATTGGGACTAACTGCTAATAGAGATGGGACACTGAAACAGAAATAGGACATATAAGGAAAGTTTTGTTTTGTTTTTGAGATGGGGGTCTCACTCTGTCACCCTGGCTGGAATACAGTGGCACAATCGTGATTCACTGCAGCCTGGACCTCCCCAGCAGAGCGTGATCCTCCCACATCATCCTCTCAAGTAGCTGGGACTACAGGTACATGCCACAACATGTGGCAAATTTTTTTGTAGACACGGGGTTTCGCCATGTTGCCCAAGCTGGTCTTGAACTCCTGGGCTCAAGCAATCCACCTGCCTTGGCCTCCCAAAGTACTGGGACTACAGGCATGAGCCACCATGCCCAGCCCTATGTAGAGTCTGAAAGAAATCTCAAACTATGGACTTCAGTTAACAAAAATGTGCCAATATTGGTGTGCTAATTGTAACATACTAAGGTATGACATCAACAACCGGGGAAACAGTGTGAAATAATATATGAAAACTCTTTGTACTATCTTCACAATTTTTGCAAATCTAAATTAAAAGTTTTAAATTCTTGTAAATTTAAAATTATTCAACAAATGGTGAAAAGTATAAAAAGTGACCCATAAAAAGCAGCAAAACAGCAAACAATGAGAAAAAGTGATTGAGTTAAAGAAAAAACCTTAAATCACCAATTATAAATATGCTACATGTTTACCAACTAAAAAGAAAATGATTACAGAAAAGAAACATATAACATATGAAGCAAATGGGAATTCCAGAGATTTTCTTAAAAATCACTGAATGTGGCCAGGCGCGGTAGCTCACGCCTGTAATTCCAGCAATTTGGGAGGCTGCGGTGAGTGGATCACTTGAAGCAAGGAGTTTAAGACCAGCCTGGCCAACATGGTGAAACACTGTCTCTACTAAAAATACAAAAGCTAGCTGGGTGTGGTGGCACATGCCTGTAATCCCAGCTACCTGGGAGGCTGAGGCAGGAAAATCACTTGAACCTGGTAGGTAGAGGTTGCAGTAAGCAGTAAGCCTAGATTGCACTACTGCACTCCAGCCTGGGCAACACAGTGAGACTCCATCTCAAAAAAAAAGCAATTTCTAAAAATCCTATAAACAACAACAACAAAATGTTAAAAGGAGACAGAGAAAAAGCATACAACATATCCTGAGGAACAAAGATTTAAAAATTATCTTAGACTTGCATCACAAAGTATCCAAGCCAAAAAACAAAGGAATGAAACCTTTGGAGTATTAGAAGAAAAACACCCCTACCAATATAATCCTATAGCCATCTAAAAAATCTCCCATAAAAAGGCAAGAAATACCTTTTCATGCTCCCAAAAAACAAAAGCTGGGAACATTTATCACCAGGAAAATTGCATTACCAGAAATGTTAAATGGAATTCTGTTAAGCAAAAGAAAAAGAATACCAGATGAAAATCTGAATATCTACAAACGAATGAAGAATTTACCAAAAATGGTAAATAATGAGACAAATATAAAATATTTCTCATTCAAAAATTACTCTAAAAGGGCTGGGCACGGTGGCTCACGCCTGTAATCCCAGCACTTTGGGAGGCAGAGGCGGGCAGATCACAAGGTCAGGAGATCGAGACCATCCTGGCCAACATGGTGAAACCCGGTCTCTACTCAAAACACAAAAATTAGCTGGGCATGGTGCCTGTAATCCCTGCTACTCGGGAGGCTGAGACAGACGAATTGGTTGAACCTGGGAGTCAGAGATTGCAGTGAGCCTAGATCGCGCCACTGCACTACAGCCTCCATCTCAAAAAAAAAAAAATTCTTTAAAAGGTAACTGTTTAAAGCAAGCAAAATAGTATAATGCAGGATTTATTGGAAACACAGCAATGGGGCCGGGCGTGATGGCTCACACCTGTAATCCCAACACTTTGGGAGGCCAAGGCAGGTGGATCACCTGAGGTCAGGAGTTCAAGACCAGCCTGGCCAACATGGAGAAACCCCATTTCTACTAAAAATACAAAAATGAGCTGGGCATGGTTGTGCACACCTGTAATCCCAGCTACTCTGGAGGCTGAGGCAGGAGAATTGCTTGAACCTGGGAGGCGGAGGTTGCAGTGAGCCAAGATCATGCCACTGCACTCCAGCCAGGGTGACAGAGCAAGACTCTGTCTCTCTCAAAAAAAAGAAATGGAAAGTATGACAACAATAGTGCAAAACAGGAGAGGGGAAACTAAGTACACTCTAAGTTAAAGATCTATTATTATTTGAAGGTAGATTGTGATAAATTAAAGAAACTGATGTAAATTTCAAAGAAACACCTATATAATAATGTTTTTAAAGTTGATCCAAATTGTGAAAAAAATGGAATACAAAAATACATTTAAAAAGACAGATAAAGAAAAGAATAATGAAATAAATAAAAAACAATTAGTCTAAATAATATGGCATACAAACGTTTCTCCCTGTTCCTCCTTTCCTCTGGAAATAACAAGGGACAAGAAAAGGAAATTCTGAAAAGTGGTAAGAAAAAGGTAAACTGGCATATGAGCCCAGAACTGGAGGAACAATGCAACAGCATGGCACTTTATCTACACAGAATAAGGCATCCCAGACCCAACATTTCCTGACCTCCAAACTAGCAACAAAGCAGCCCTAGTAAGCTCATTCCTCTCCCTGAACTAAAGGGAGTCCCCTCTTACAGTCTCAGGCAAGCCTGAAACCCCTGGCAAAGGCGACTGACCTGGAGAATCCTCCAACAATAAACAGGCGGAGAAGTGCTCCCCTCCCCAACCAAGAGACTGAAGTAGGTGAGGCCCAGCCAAGAAAAGGTCTCATCCAGGAAGCCTCTTTGTATCCACAGGCCTAAGAATTCTCCATCCCCACCAACAGATACCTCGTGGAATGGCCTGGAGAAACTCCTTTGGCTCCTTCAGGCAGCACCAACAAGAACCAGAGGCAGGCCCATCTGTACTAGATAAAAGGAGTAGACTAAAATAACACCAGAAAGACTCTGAAAACTGTCACTGGAACCACAGCCCATAAAGGTAAGCCAAGAACTGCAAGCTGAAACCTAAAGAAGGTATCTGCCTGCAAAAATAAAAGATTGAAATAGGACTCACAGTTTCCAAACCTAAGTAGGAAAAATGTACAGGATACCTTTAAAAATCACACATCCTAACAAAAACCAACAACAACAACTTGAAAAAGAGAAGAATCAAATGACACTAACACTGAGATGGATCAGATACTGGAATCATCTGGCAGACTTTAAAGCAGCCATTAGAAATAATGCTTCAGGCCAGGTGCCGCAGCTCATGCCTGTAATCCCAGCACTTTGGGAGGCTGGGGGCGGGTGGATCACTTGAGGCCAAGAGTTCGAGACCAGCCTGGCCAACATGGCGAAACCCCATCTCTACTAAAAATATAAAAATTAGCCAGGGGTGGTGGCGCACACCTGTAATCCCAGCTACTCGGGAGACTGAGGCAGGAGAATCACTTGAACCCGGGAGGGGGAGGTTTCAGTGAGCCAAGATTGCACCACTGCAGTCCAGCCTGGGTGACAGAGTGAGACTCCATCTAATAATAATAATAATAATGATGCTTCAAAATCAATAATACAGGAGTGACATCACCAAGGTGGCTAAGCAGAAGTTCCTAGAGCTAGTGCCTCCCACAAAAACAACTAAAACAACTTCTTTCAATGAAAACAACTAAAGGAGATCAGAATAAAGCACAGGAGTCAAAGAATCTTGCAAAGCACAGAGACACAGAGAAACTCAGGCGGGCTGCACAGAGAAGGAAAGGAAATACCTCACCTCTGCCACCCCATACCCCAACTGGGATCAACTTGGAACCAGGAAGGACTTCTCCCTGTAGGGAAAAGTCATGCAGGAGGATGCCAGCAACCCCCATTACCACATGGACACCTGCAGTCTTTGCCACTGGGGACTCCTACAGGCCATACAGGTGCTGAGCCCACCTGAGGGAGCTGCTCAGAGCTACGCTTCACAGCTAGACCAGTGAAACAGCATAGACAGCCCAGAAAAAAACCAAACATATATGGTGAACTAATTTTCAGCAAGGGCACTACAAGGACACAATGAGGAAAAGGCAATCTCTTCAATAAATGGTTCTAGGAAAGCTGGTTTTTCAAATGCAAAAGAATGAAATGGGACCTTTTTCTTATATCACACAAAAATCAACTCAAAAATACATAATAGAACTAAAAATAAGACCTGAAACCATAAGACTACTTGAAGAAAACACAGAGGAAAAGTTCCTTAACAGTGGCCTTTGCAATGATTTTTTGGATATCACACCCAAAGGTCAGGCTACAAAAGCTAAAATAAATGGAACTAAAACTAAAATGCTTCTGCATAGCCAAGGAAACAATCAACAAAATGAAAAGGTAACATATGGGTTGGGAAAAAATATTTGTAAACCATATAGCTGATAACAGTTTAATATAAACAATTTATTTAAAAACTCATACAGTCAATAGCAGAAACAAATAACCTGGTTAAAAAACTGGACAAAGGACCTAATAGACATTTCTCCAAAGACATAAAAATAGCCAACACGTATATGAAAAGGTGCTCAATATTAGTAATCATCAGGGAAATGCAAATCAAAACCATATGAGATATCATCTCATACCCATAGGATGTCTATTAACAACAAAAAAAGACAAAAGATACTAAGTATCAGCAAGGGTATGAAGAAAAGGCAGCCCTTGTACACTGCTGGTGGGAATATAGATTGGTGCAGTCATTATGGAAAGCAGTATGGAGTCCTACAGACATTAAAAATAGAACTTCTGGCAGGGCGCAGTGACTCACGCCTGTAATCCCAGCACTTTGGGAGGCCAAGATGGGCATTTCACCTGAAGTCGGGAGTTCAAGACCAGCCTGACCAACATGGGGAAAGCCCATCTCTACTAAAAATACAAAATTAGCCAGGTGTGGTGGCGCATGCCTATAGCTACTTGGGAGGCTGAGGCAGGAGAATCACTTGAACCCAGGAGGCAGAGGTTGTGGTGAGCTGATATCACGCCATTGCACTTCAGCCTGGGCAACAAGAGCGAAACTCTGTCTCAAAAAAAAAAAAAAAGGAACTTCCATATGACCCAGCAATCCCGCTTCTGCCTACACCAAAAGAAGATGAAATCACCACCTCATAAAGATCTCTGCACTCTGATGTTCATTGCAGCATTACTCTAAGTAGCCAAGATATAGAAACAACCTAAGTGTCCGTCAGTGAGCAAACAGATAATGAAATTGTGAAATATTTATACAATAGAATATCATTTAGCCTTAAGAAGGCGGCTCTGCCATTTGCCACAACATGAATGAAACTGGAGGACATTATGCTAAGTGAAATAGGCCAGATACAGAAATTAAAATATTGCATGATCTCACATGCATAGCTTTTTTAAAAAGTCAAATATTGAGACAGAGAATAAAACAGTGGTTAACAGGTGTAGCGGCAGGGGCAAACAAATCAGGAGAGGCAGGTCAAAGCATACAAAGTAGCAGACATGTACGATGAACAAGGCTAGAAATCTAATGTATAATGTGAGGACCATAGTTAATTATACAGTGCTGTATTTGGAAAGACTGTAGCTGCTCTTGCCACAAAAAAAATGGGTAACTACACATGATGGATATGTTAATTTACTATTGTAAACATTTTACTACCTATATGTATCTCATAACATCATGTTGCATAACTTAAATATACAGCTGGCCCTTGAATAACACAGGTTTAAACGGCAGTTCATGTAAATGTGAATTTTCTTCCACCTCTGCCGCCCCTAAGACAGCAAGAGCAACCTCTCTTCTTTCTCCTCCTCCTCAGACTACTCCATGTGAAGATAAGGATGAAGACTTTTATGATGATCCACTTCCACTTAATGAATAGTAAACATATTTTCTCTTCCTTATAATTATCTCGGTAACATTTTCTTTTCTGTAGCTTTATTGTAAGAATACAGCATATCATACATATAACCTTCAAAATATGTGTTAATCAATTAATACTGGCAAAGCTTCTGGTGAACAGCAGGCTGTTAGAAGTTTTGGGAGAGTAAAAAATTATACATGAATTTTAGATTATGCAGGGGTCTATATTCTTAAACCTCACATTGATCAAGGGTCAACTCCACTTATAAAAGAAAAAAAAAATAGCTGTAAAACAGCCTTGAGCAGGTCCTTCAGGAGGTATTCCAGAAGAAGGCATTGTCATCATAGAAGATAACAGCTCCACCCAAATTACTGCCCCTGAAGACCTTCCAGAGGAACAAGATATGGAGATGGAAGACAATGATATTGATGACCCTTTGTGTACACCCTGGATAATGTGTGTGTTTAAGTCTTGGTTTTTAACAAAAGAGTTTTAAATGTTTAAAAAAATAAATTATAGGTCGGGCACAGTGGCTCACAACTGTAATCCCAGCACTTTGGGAGGCCAAGGCAGGCGGATTGCTTGAGCCCAGGAGTTTGAGACCAGCCTGGGCAATATGGCGAAACCGTATCTCTACCAAAAAAGAAAAATAAAATCAGCCAGGCATGGTGGCTCGCAGCTGTAGTCCCAGCTTCCTGGGAAGCTGAGGTGGAAGGATCACTTGAGCCCAGCTGAGACTGCATTGGGCCGTGATTGCACCACCGCACTCCAGCCTGGGCAACAGATGAGACCCTGTTCCAAAAAATAAAAATAAAAAAATTGAAAATAGAAAAGAGCTTAGAAAACAAGAATATTAAGGGGGGAAATGTGTACTGCTGGCTGCACAATGTGCTTGTGTTTTAATCTAAGTGTGTTATTACAAAACAGGCAGTAAGTTAAAAAAAATTAAAAGTTTGGTCAGGCACGGTGGCTCACACCTGTAATCCCAGCACTTTTGGAGGCCGAGGAAGGTGGGTCATGAGGTCAGGAGTTTGAGACCAGCCTGGCCAACATGGCGAAACCCCATCTCTACTAAAACTACAAAAATTAGCTGGGTGTGGTGGTAGGTGCCTGTAATCCCAGCTACTTGGGAGGCTGAGGCAGGAGAATCGCTTGAACACAGGAGGCGGAGGTTGCAGTGAGCTGAAATTGTGCCATTGCCCTCCGGCCTGGGCAACAAGGGCAAGACTCTGTCTCAAAAATAAATAAATAAATACATTTAAAAGTTTATAAAGTAAAAAAGTCCCAGAAAGCTAAGGTTAATTTATTATTGGAAAAATAAAAGTATTTTCTATAAACTTACTGTAGCCTAAGTGTCCAGTGTTTATAAAGCCCACAGTAGTGTACAGTAATTTCCTAGGCCTTCATATTCACTCATCACTTACTGACACACAGAACAACTTCCACTCCCACAAGCTCCATTCAAGGCAAGTCCCCTATACAGGTGCACCATTTTAAAAATCTTTTACAATGTATTTTTATTGTACCTTTTCTATGTTTAGTTACACATATACCACTGGGTTACAACTGCCTTCAGTATTCAGTACAGTAACTTGCTGTATGGTTTGTAGCCTAGGAGCAATAGGTTATATCAGATAGCCTGGGTGTGTAGTAGGCTATACCATCTAAGTCTGTGTAAACACGCTCTGTGATGTTCAAACAATGACAAAATCACCTAATGATACATTCCACAGAAGATATCCCCTATGATTAAGTGATGCATGACTATATACAGAAAATCTCAGGGATTCACAAAAGATATCAAAATTAAGTTTATCAAGATCAATGGAAATAGGGTCAGTGTACAAATATCAAGTGTATTTCTAAATACAAACAAGGGACAACTGGTAATTGAAATTAAATAATAATATTTACAATAGCACCCAAAACCAAGATATACCTAGGGAAAAATTTAACATGTGCAACATCCATACACTGGCAATTAAAAGCATTGTTGAGAAACAATTAAAGACCCAATTAAATTAAAGGCACACTTAAATGGAGAGAGATATCATATTCATGGATGAGTCAATATCAAGATGTCAATTTTCCCCAAAGTAATTTAGAGTAAATGAAATCCTAATCAAAGCAGCGCTTTTTTTTTTAAGAAACTGACAAGCTCATTCTAAAATTTAAGTGGAAATGCAAAGGACTTAGAAAAGTCTAAATGATGCTGGGCGCATTGGCTCATGCCTGTAATCTCAGCACATTGGGAGGCTGAGGAGGGTGGATCACCTGAGGTTAGGAGTTCGAGACCAGCCTGACCAACATGGTGAAAACCCATCTCTACTAAAAATACAAAAACTAGCTGGGTGTGGTGGCAGGCGTCTGTAATCCCAGCTACTCAGGAGGCTGAGGCAGGAGAATCGCTTGAATCCAGGAGGCTGAGGTTGCAGTGACTCGAGATTGCGCAATTGCACTCCAGCCTGGGCGACACAGCAAGACTCCATCTCAAAAAAAAAAAAAAGTCAAAATGATTTTAAAGCAGAAAACAAACTTGAAGAACTTATAGGACTTCATTTAAAGATGTACTTTAAAGCTAAGACAATGCTCTGTAAAGAAGATACAAAGGTCGATGTAATACAGTGGTCTCCAACATTTGGCACCAGGGACTGCTTTTGTGGAAGACAATTTTTCCAGACCAGGGTGGGTGGGGGAGGGGATGGTTTCGGGATGAAACTGTTCTACCTCAGGTCATCAGGCCCTAGTTAGACTCTTATACAGCACGCACAACCAAATCCCTTGTATGCTCAGTTTACAATAGGGTTTGCCCTCCTGTGAAAATCTAATGCTGCCGCTGATCTGACAGGAGGCAGAACTCAGGCAGTAATGCTTGCTTGCTCACCCGCTGCTCACCTCCTGCTGTGAAGCAGGGTTCCTAACAAGCCATGGACTGGCACTGGTCCGCTACCTGGGAGTTGGGGACCCCTGGTGTAAAATTAAGAGTCCACAGGTACATAGCATCCCCCTCCCATATACAGGCAAACACACACAAATAATTAACTGGATTTCAACAAAGGTACTGAGGTAATTCAATAGAAAAAGTTAAACTTTTCAACAAATGGTGACGAAACAACTGAATAGTCAAGTGGGAGAAAATACATCTCAATCCTTAATTTATACCATACACAAAAATTAACTCAAAATAGATCACATTTACTCAAAATAGATCAGACATTTTGAATAAATTTACTCAAAATAGATCTAAAAACAGAGTTAAGACACTGAGAAAACATGGGGAAAAAAACTTTGCTAACATTAAAGATTTCTTAGACAAGACCATTAAAGAAGAGCACATGCTTGTTGTCCCGGCTACTTGGCACGCTGAGGCAGGAGAATCGCTTGAACTCCAGGAGGTGGAGGTTGCAGTAAGCCAAGATTGTTCCATTGTACTCCAGTCTGGGCAAAAAGAGCAAAACTCTGTCTCACAAAAAAAAAAAAAAAAAAAAAAATTCCACAGACTGGGGAATAATATTCACAATGAATAGAGAATTCCTGAAATTCAATTAATAGCAAGACAAAAAACCCAACTAAAAAGTGGGGAAACAATGTAAGCAGACATTTCATAAAATATGACATACAAATGGCTAATAAGTGAAAAACGCATAACATCATTATTCATCAGGTGAATGCAAGTGAAAAACACAGTGAAATGCCACTATACACTGATTAGAGTAACTACATTAAAAACAGTGACAATGGCAAGTATTGGCAAAAATGTAGAATTAAAACTCTCAAACATTAATGACAAAAATGTAAAATGGTACAACCCTAGGTTTGCAAAGTAAGTATATATAAAGCCAAATGAAAGCTTTGCATGTACTTATCCTACAAACCTAGAAATTTTACATCAAGTATTCACCCAAGATAAATAAAAACACATGTCTACAGAAAAATACACAAGAATGTCCCCTGGCAGCTGTTTTAGTACATTTTGTGTTGCTATAAAGGAATATATGATATAATTTATAAATAAATTTTATTTTTAAAGAAAAGAGGTTTATTTGGCTCATGATTCTGATGTCTGAGAAAGCTTAAGATTGGACATCTTGTGAGGGCCTCAGACTGCTTTCGTTTGGCAGAAGAGACCCAGTGATCACTGTGCATGGAGATCAAATGGTAAGAGAGGAACCAAGAGAGTTAAGGGAGGTGCCAGGCTATTTTTAACAACCAGCTCTCATGGAAACTATTGGAGCGAGGACTCTCTCACCCTTGAGAGAGGGCATCATCTATTCATGAAGGATCTGCCTCTAGGATCCAAACACCACCTATTAGGTGCCACCTCTAACATGGGATCAAATTTCAACATGAAGTTCAGACAGGACACACATCCAAATGATAGCAGCAAGTATATTCCTTGCAATCAAAAACCAGAAACAACAGAATATATAAGTCAAAATATACACATACAATAGAATACTAGTTATCAATAACATGAAGGTGTTACTAACACATGTTAAAACATAGGTGAATCTCAAAATCATGCTGAATCAAAGCAGACAGACACAAATGAGTAAATCCTGTATAACTCCATTTATGTGAAATGCTACAAAAGATAAATCTAGCCTGGTGATAGAAAGTGGATAATTAGGGCCAGGCACAGTGGCTCACACCTGTAATCCCAGCACTTTGGGAGGCCGAGGCAGGTGGATCATGAGGTCTGCCTGGCGACAGAGCGAGACTCCATCTCAAAAAAAAAAAAAAAGTGGATTAATTGGTTGCCAGGGCCAGGAGGGGAAAAGGGGAAGTGAGTGACTGGGAAGAGGAATGGGAAATCTTTCTGGGTAATGGGTATGCTCTGTATCTTTTTTTATTATACTTTTTTTAAAATTATACTTTAAGTTCTAGGGTACATGTGCACAACATGCAGGTTTGTTACATAGGTATACATGTGCCATGTTGGTTTGCTGCACCCATCAACTCGTCATTTACATTAGGTATTTCTCCTAATGCTATCCCTCCCCCAGCCCCCAACCCCTGACAGGCCCTGGTGTTTGATGTTCCCCGCTCTGTGTCCAAGTGTTCTCATTGTTCAACTCCCACCTATGAGTGAGAACATACGGTGTTTGGTTTTCTGTCCTTGTCATAGTTTGCTGAGAATAATGGTTTCCAGCTTCATCCATGTCCCTGCAAAGGACATGAACTCATCCTTTTTTATGGCTGCATAGTATTCCATGATGTATATGTGCCACATTTTCTTAATCTAGTCTATCATTGATGAACATCTGGGTTGGTTCCAAGTCTTTGCTATTGTGAATAGTGCCACAATAAACATACATGTGCATGTGTCTTTACAGTAGCATGATTTATAATCCTTTGGGTATATACCCAGTAATGGGATGGCTGGGTCAAATGGTATTTCTAGTTCTATATCCTTAAGGAATTGCCACATTGTCTTCTACAGTAATTGAGCTAGTTTATACTCCCACCAACAGTGTAAAAGCATTCCTATTTCTCCACATCCTCTCCAGCAACTGTTGTTTCCTGACTTTTTAATGATTGTCATTCTAACTGGTGTGAGATAGTATCTCATTGTGGTTTTGATTTGCATTTCTCTGATGACCAGTGATGATGAGCATTTTTTCATGTGTCTGTTGGCTGCATAAATGTCTTCTTTTTGAGAAGTGTCTGTTCATATCCTTTGCCCACTTTTTGATGGGGTTGTTTTTTTCTTGTAAATTTAAGTTATTTGTAGATTCTGCTCTGCATCTTAAGTGTGGTAGTTACTACATGAGGGTATACTGTTGTAAAAACTCATTGTATTAGTCCGTTCTCACAGCTATAACGATACTACCTGAGACTGGTTAATTTAAAAACAAAAGAAGTTTAATTACTCACAGTTCAGAATGGCTGGGGAGGCCTCAGGAGACTTACAATCATGGTGAAAAGTGAAGGGGAAGCAGGCAACTTATTAACAGGGCGGCAGGAGACAGCAAGTGAGTGCAGGGGAAACTGACGTTTTTGAAAATATCAGATCTCGTGAGAACTCCCTCACTATCATGAGAACAGCACGGGAGAAACCACTCCCATGATCCAATCACCTCTTGTCAGGTCCTTCCTTCAACACATGGGGATTACAATTCAAGATGCAATTTGGGTGGGGACACAGAGCCCCAAACCATATCACTCATAAAATTGGCTAAACAGGGTATCTTTTACCATGTTTAAATTATACCTAAGTTGATTTATAAAAATTATCATACATTGTTTTAATAGTGAAACAAAATTTTGAAATTTCATAAACAGGAAAATGGACAATATTTTATAGTTACACAAAGTCATTTATTATACCTTATTAAAATAAGTAAAGCTAAACATATCAGCAGGTAAAAAGGTCAAAACCATGCATTTGAAGACAAAAGCTGAATAACTTCAACTTTTGCAAATACTTGCAAAACAACAAAATGTTATTGTACATACACAATAGTATATGTGTTATATGGAAAGAAAGAATAAAAGTAATGAGATGTGGTATCAATAAAAGCCAAGTTGAAAATAAGGCTTAAAGGTGGTAAAGGTTATAGGAAGTTAAAGGAATTTGGGAATGATATGCAGATGCTTAAACTACTTGTGTAATACTTTACTTCCAAGCTGCAATAAGTACACTGATGGTTATGTTATGAAATATTTGACTAAAACTACACCAGCCCACCTAAAAGGGTTCACTAAAATTGAGTCAATAGGCTTGGATTCAAAAAAAGTAAGCTATACTGAGCTTCCTGTGGCTCTGAATTGGAGACTAAGGTCACATGGGCTAGAGGTTTCTAGGTGGTCCTCTAGCTTTGTACACACACTTAATGTGGTTTCCAGTCTCTGCACCTAGGAAGAGGGGCAGATGCAGCCTCAAGGACAACGTATATCCCACTGCCTCTGGCTGGTCCCAGTGTACGTTCTGGTAAGAGGGTCGTCCATCCTGAGCTCCCCTAAGGGTAGGTCCACTAGGCAGAAAACGCAGAGGCAACAGTATAGTTGGAGGGCAGACTAATCAAGGACAGGAGAGGCTCATGATAGGAAGGGCCATGGGGTAACACTCTTTCCCCAAAAGTGGACTCAGAGACTGAAAAGGTTATTGAATTTATTTGTACTTTATAAAAATCTTCATACTCTACAGTTATTATTTGTATAGAATTCTATTTACAGTTATATTTACATTTAAAAATTTGGGGTCAGAACAAAACATGACTGATTTTTTTAAAACATGACTTTCAGTATAATATTGTATCTAGAAGAAAATTTCTATTCATTATTTCCTAAATTGACACATTTCCTTTAACACAATCTTCAGATATAATAAGGTCTGAATTTTTGTTAATGTCTTCACATTCAAAATATCTGTTATAACTTTAACTCAATATGAATTATCTTGCTCAGTAAAATGGCATTTCTTGATATAGGCTCAACAACATTTGCTGCATTCTTTGAGTGTCTTCCCTATTATTTCTTTAATACACAATGAGTAAAACTTGTGCATAAAGTTGTCACAAGAAAAAAAAAACCCACAGAATGTTGACGGTTTTTTCTAAATGTGGTTTATCTTATTTTTATTAATGGTCATTCTCTGGAAGAACATTTTCATATATCCATGTGAGTCATTAGATTATTTCCTATGTAAGTTCTTTAATAAACTCCAAATTATAGCAAAATATTTCCCCATATTCCCTACATGTATTAGTAGCATTTCTTCTACATGTATTCAGTTACTTTGTAGTTGTCTTTTACAGCAGATTTTCAAACATTCATTACATTATTAGGAATTTCCCCTATGTCTATTCTCTCTTTTTTTTTTATTAAGTTTTAGGGTACATGTGCACATTGTGCAGGTTAGTTACATAAGTATACATGTGCCATGCTGGTGCGCTGCACCCACTAACTTGTCATCTAGCATTAGGTATATCTCTCGATGCTATCCCTCCCCCCTCCCCCCACCCCACAACAGTCCCCAGAGTGTGATATTCCCCTTCCTGTGTCCATGTGATCTCATTGTTCAATTCCCACCTACGAGTGAGAATATGCGGTGTTTGGTTTTTTGTTCTTGCGACAGTTTACTGAGAATGATGATTTCCAATTTCATCCATGTCCCTACAAAGGACATGAACTCATCATTTTTTATGGCTGCATAGTATTCCATGGTGTATATGTGCCACATTTTCTTGATCCAGTCTATCATTGTTGGACATTTGGGTTGGTTCCAAGTCTTTGCTATTGTGAATAATGCCACAATAAACATACGTGTGCATGTGTCTTTATAGCAGCATGATTTATAGCCCTTTGGGTATATACCCAGTAATGGGATGGCTGGGTCAAATGGTATTTCTAGTTCTAGATCCCTGAGGAATCGTCACACTGACTTCCACAATGGCTGAACTAGTTTACAGTCCCACCAACAGTGTAAAAGTGTTCCTATTTCTCCACATCCTCTCCAGCACCTGTTGTTTCCTGACTTTTTAATGATTGCCATTTTAACTGGTGTGAGATGGTATCTCATTGTGGTTTTGATTTGCATTTCTCTGATGGCCAGTGATGATGAGCATTTTTTCATGTGTTTTTTGGCTGCATAAATGTCTTCTTTTGAGAAGTGTCTGTTCATGTCCTTCGCCCACTTTTTGATGGGGTTGTTTGTTTTTTTCTTGTAAATTTGTTTGAGTTCATTGTAGATTCTGGATATTAGCCCTTTGTCAGATGAGTAGGTTGCAAAAATTTTCTCCCATTTTGTAGGTTGCCTGTTCACTCTGATGGTAGTTTCTTTTGCTATGCAGAAGCTCTTTAGTTTAATTAGATCCCATTTGTCAATTTTGGCTTTTGTTGCCATTGCTTTTGGTGTTTTAGACATCAAGTCCTTGCCCATGCCTATGTCCTGAATGGTAAAGCCTAGGTTTTCTTCTAGGGTTTTTATGGTTTTAGGTCTAACGTTTAAGTCTTTAATCCATCTTGAATTGATTTTTGTATAAGGTGTAAGGAAGGGATCCAGTTTCAGCTTTCTACATATGGCTAGCCAGTTTTCCCAGCACCATTTATTAAATAGGGAATCCTTTCCCCATTGCTTGCTTTTCTCAGGTTTGTCAAAGATCAGATAGTTGTAGATACGTGGCGTTATTTCTGAGGGCTCTGTTCTGTTCCATTGATCTATATCTCTGTTTTGGTACAAGTACCATGCTGTTTTGGTTACTGTAGCCTTGTAGTATAGTTTGAAGTCAGGTAGTGTGATGCCTCCAGCTTTGTTCTTTTGGCTTAGGATTGACTTGGCGATGCGGGCTCTGTTTTGGTTCCATATGAACTTTAAAGTATTTTTTTTCCAATTCTGTGAAGAAAGTGATTGGTAGCTTGATGGGGATGGCATTGAATCTGTAGGTTACCTTGGGCAGTATGGCCATTTTCACGATATTGATTCTTCCTACCCATAAGCATGGAATGTTCTTCCATTTGTTTGTATCCTCTTTTATTTCCTTGAGCAGTGGTTTGTAGTTCTCCTTGAAGACGTCCTTCACATCCCTTGTAATTTGGATTCCTAGGTATTTTATTCTCTTTGAAGCAATTGTGAATGGGAGTTCACCCATGATTTGGCTCTCTGTTTGTCTGTTGTTGGTGTATAAGAATGCTTGTGATTTTTGTACATTGATTTTTTTTATCCTGAGACTTTGCTGAAGTTGCTTATCAGCTTAAGGAGATTTTCGGCTGAGACAGTGGGGTTTTCTAGATATACAATCATGTCATCTGCAAACAGGGACAATTTGACTTCCTCTTTTCCTAATTGAATACCCTTTATTTCCTTCTCCTGCCTAATTGCCCTGGCCAGAACTTCCAACACTATGTTGAATAGGAGTGGTGAGAGAGGGCATCCCTGTCTTGTGCCAGTTTTCAAAGGGAATGCTTCCAGTTTTTGCCCATTCAGTATGATATTGGCTGTGGGTCTGTCATAGATAGCTCTTATTATTTTGAAATACGTCCCATCAATACCTAATTTATTGAGAGTTTTTAGCATGAAGGGTTGTTGAATTTTGTCAAAGGCTTTTTCTGCATCTATTGAGATAATCATGTGGTTTTTGTCTTTGGCTCTGTTTATATGCTGGATTACATTTATTGATTTGCGTATATTGAACCAGCCTTGCATCCCAGGGATGAAGCCCACTTGATCATGGTGGATAAGCTTTTTGATGTGTTGCTGGATTCGTTTTGCCAGTATTTTATTGAGGATTTTTGCATCAATGTTCATCAAGGATATTGGTCCAAAATTCTCTTTTTTTGTTGTGTCTCTTCCTGGCTTTGGTATCAGAATGATGCTGGCCTCATAAAATGAGTTAGGGAGGATTCCCTCTTTTTCTATTGATTGGAATAGCTTCAGAAGGAATGGTACCAGTTCCTCCTTGTACCTCTGGTAGAATTCGGCTGTGAATCCATCTGGTCCTGGACTCTTTTTGGTTGGTAAGCTATTGATTATTGCCACAATTTCAGATCCTGTTATTGGTCTATTCAGAGATTCAACTTCTTCCTGGTTTAGTCTTGGGAGAGTGTATGTGTCCAGGAATTTTTCCATTTCTTCTAGATTTTCTAGTTTATTTGCGTAGAGGTGTTTGTAGTATTCTCTAATGGTAGTTTGTATTTCTGTGGGATCGGTGGTGATATCCCCCTTATCATTTTTTATTGCGTCTATTTGATTCTTCTCTCTTTTCTTTATTAGTCTTGCTAGCAGTCTAACAATTTTGTTTATCCTTTCAAAAAACCAGCTCCTGGATTCATTAATTTTTTGAAGGATTTTTGTGTCTCTATTTCCTTCAGTTCTGCTCTGATTTTAGTTATTTCTTGCCTTCTGCTAGCCTTTGAATGTGTTTGCTCTTGCTTTTCTAGTTCTTTTAATTGTGATGTTAGGGTGTCAATTTTGGATCTTTCCTGCTTTCTCTTGTGGGCATTTAGTGCTATAAATTTCCCTCTACACACTGCTTTGAATGCATCCCAGAGATTCTGTTATGTTGTGTCTTTGTTCTCGTTGGTTTCAAAGAACATCTTTATTTCTGCCTTCATTTCGTTATGTACCCAGTAGTCATTCAGGAGCAGGTTGTTCAGTTTCCATGTAGTTGAGTGGTTTTGAGTGAGATTCTTAATCCTGAGTTCTAGTTTGATTGCACTGTGGTCTGAGAGATTGTTATAATTTCTGTTTTTTACATTTGCTGAGGAGAGCTTTACTTCCCAGTATGTGGTCAATTTTGGAATAGGTGCGGTGTGGTGCTGAAAAAAATGTATATTCTGTTGATTTGGGGTGGAGAGTTCTGTAGATGTCTATTAGGTCCGCTTGGTGCAGAGCTGAGTTCAATTCCTGGGTATCCTTGTTGACTTTCTGTCTCGTTGATCTGTCTAATGTTGACAGTGGGGTGTTAAAGTCTCCATTATTAATGTGTGGGAGTCTAAGTCTCTTTGTAGGTGACTCAGGACTTGCTTTATGAATCTTGGTGCTCCTGTATTGGATGCATATATATTTAGGATAGTTAGCTCTTCTTGTTGAATTGATCCCTTTACCATTAAGTAATGGCCTTCTTAGTCTCTTTTGATCTTTGTTGGTTTAAGTTCTGTTTTATCAGAGACTAGGATTGCAACCCCTGCCTTTTTTTTGTTTTCCATTGGCTTGGTAGATCTTCCTCCATCCTTTTATTTTGAGCCTATGTGTGTCTCTGCACGTGAGATGGGTTTCCTGAATACAGCACACTGATGGTTCTTGACTTTTTATCCAATTTGCCAGTCTGTGTCTTTTAATTGGAGCATTTAGTCCATTTACATTTAAAGTTAATATTGTTATGTGTGAATTTGATCCTGTCATTATGATGTTAGCTGGTGATTTTGCTCGTTAGTTGATGCAGTTTCTTCCTCATCTCGATGGTCTTTACATTTTGGCATGATTTTGCAGTGGCTAGTACCGGTTGTTCCTTTCCATGTTTAGTGCTTCCTTCAGGAGCTCTTGTAAGGCAGGCCTGGTAGTGACAAAATCTCTCAGCATTTGCTTGTCTGTAAAGGATTTTATTTCTCCTTCACTTATGAAGCTTAGTTTGGCTGGATATGAAATTCTGGGTTGAAAATTCTTTTCTTTAAGAATGTTGAATATTGGCCCCCACTCTCTTCTGGCTTGTAGGGTTTCTGCCAAGAGATCTGCTGTTAGTCTGATGGGCTTCCCTTTGAGGGTAACCTGACCTTTCTCTCTGGCTGCCCTTAACATTTTTTCCTTCATTTCAACTTTGGTGAATCTGACAATTATGTGTCTTGGAGTTGCTCTTCTCGAGTAGTATCTTTGTGGAGTTCTCTGTATTTCCTGAATCTGAATGTTGGCCTGCCTTGCTAGATTGGGGAAGTTCTCCTGGATAATATCCTGCAGCGTGTTTTCCAACTTGGCTCCATTCTCCCCGTCACTTTCAGGTACACCAGTCAGACGTAGATTTGGTCTTTTCACATAGTCCCATATTTCTTGGAGACTTTGCTCATTTCTTTTTATTCTTTTTTCTCTAAACTTCCCTTCTCGTTTCATTTCATTCATTTCATCTTCCATTGCTGATACCCTTTCTTCCAGTTGATCGCATCGGCTCCTGAGGCTTCTGCATTCTTCCCGTAGTTCTCGAGCCTTGGTTTTCAGCTCCATCAGCACCTTTAAGCACTTCTCTGTATTGGTTATTCTAGTTATACATTCTTCTAAATTTTTTTCAAAGTTTTCAACTTCTTTGCCTTTGGTTTGAATGTCCTCCCATAGCTCAGAGTAATTTGATAGTCCGAAGCCTTCTTCTCTCAGCTCGTCAAAGTCATTCTCCATCCAGCTTTGTTCCGTTGCTGGTGAGGAACTGCGTTCCTTTGGAGAAGGAGAGGCGCTCTGCTTTTTAGAGTTTCCAGTTTTTCTGTTCTGTTTTTTCCCCATCTTTGTGGTTTTATCTACTTTTGGTCTTTGATGATGGTGATGTACAGATGGGTTTTTGGTGTGGATGTCCTTTCTGTTTGTTAGTTTTCCTTCTAACAGAGAGGACCCTCAGCTGCAGGTCTGTTGGAATACCCTGCCGTGTGAGGTGTCAGTGTGCCCCTGGTGGGGGTTGCCTCCCAGTTAGGCTGCCCGGGGGTCAGGGGTCAGGGACCCACTTGAGGAGGCAGTCTGCCTGTTCTCAGATCTCCAGTTGCATGCTGGGAGAACCACTGCTCTCTTCAAAGCTGTCAGACAGGGACATTTAAGTCTGCAGAGGTTACTGCTGTCTTTTTGTTTGTGTGTGCCCTGCCCCCAGAGGTGGAGCCTACAGAGGCAGGCAGGCCTCCTTGAGCTGTGGTGGGCTCCACCCAGTTTGAGCTTCCCGGCTGCTTTGTTTACCTAATCAAGCCTGGGCAATGGCGGGCACCCCTCCCCCAGCCTCACTGCCGTCTTGCAGTTTGATCTCAGACTGCTGTGCTAGCAATCAGCGAGACTCCGTGGGCCCAGGACCCTCCGAGCCATGTGCGGGATATAATCTCGTGGTGCGCCGTTTTTTAAGCCCGTCGGAAAAGCGCAGTATTCGGGTGGGAGTGACCCGATTTTCCAGGTGCCGTCCATCACCCCTTTCTTTGACTCAGAAAGGGAACTCCCTGACCCCTTGCGCTTCCCAAGTGAGGCAATGCCTCGCCCTGCTTCGGCTCGCGCACAGTGCACGCACCCACTGACCTGCGCCCACTGTCTGGCACTCCCTAGTGAGATGAACCCGGTACCTCAGATGGAAATGCAGAAATCACCCGTCTTCTGCGTCGCTCACCCTGGGAGCTGTAGACCGGAGCTGTTCCTATTTGGCCATCTTGGCTCCTCCCCGTCTATTCTCTTATTTACTTTGGAAGATGACTTATGGTAAAAGGTTTGCCAAATTCTTTACATTCACAGGGGTCATGTCCTATTTGATTTCTCCTACGTATTTTCAGGTATGAATTGCTTGAGAAAGATTTCTCTCATTTCTACATTTATAAGCTTTTTCCCATGTGTATCCTTGGATGTGCTATGAGACTTGATTTCTCAGAGGGTTTCCCACACTGGTTACATTCATAGGGTTTCTCCCTTGTACTTCTCTGATGTACTTTGAGGCCTGAGCTGCAACTGAAGCTTTTCCCACACTGATTACATTCATAGGGTTTCTCTACTGTATGTGTTCTCTAATGTTTAGTGAGATCTGACTTATGATAGAAGGACTTCCCTCATTCATTACATTTATAAGGTTTTTCCCCTGTGTGTATTCTCTGATGTACAGTAAGGACTGATTTCTCAGAGAAGGACTTCCCACACTCATTACATCCATAGGGCTTCTCCCCTGTGTGTGTTCTCTGATGTGATTTGAGGACTGAGTTGCAAATAAAGGTTTTCCCACATTTATTACAGTAATAAGATTTCTCCCCTCTGTGTGTTCTCTTATGTACTGTATAGTCTGCCTTATGGTAGAAGGTTTTCCCACATTTTTTACACACATAGGGTTTGTCTCCTGTATGCATTCTCTGGTGTATTGTAAGGTATGAATTCCTAGAGAAGAATTTCCCACATTCCTTACATTCACAGGGCTTCTCACCTGTGTGTGTTCTCTGATGTTTGGTTAGGTCTGATTTATTGTAGAAGGTTTTTCCACGTGCATTACATTTATAAGGTTTTTCCCCTGTGTGTATTCTCTGATGTACTGTGAGGACTGATTTCTCAGAGAAGGATTTCCCACACTCAGTATATTCATAGGGTTTCTCCTTTGCATGTGTTCTCTGATGTACTTTTAGGCCTGAGTTACGACTAAAAGTTTTCCCACATTGAGTACATTCATAGGGTTTTCCCCCTAGGTGAGTCTTCTGATGTTTAGTGGCATCAGACTTGTGGCAAAAGGTTTTGCTACATACCTTACATTCATAGGGTTTCTCGCCTGGGTGAGTTCTCTGATGTATTGTAAGATATGAACTCCTAGAGAAAGATTTCCCACATTCATTACATTCATAGGGTTTCTCACCTGTATATGTTTTACGATGTATTGTGAGAACAGAGTTGCTTATGAAGGTTTTTCCACATTGATTACATTCATAGGGTTTCTCCCCTGTGTGAATTCTCTGATGTACTGTAAGATATGACTTATGATAGAAGCTTTTTCTACATTCCTTGCATTCACAGGGTTGCTCTCCTGTGTGAGTTCTCTGATGTATTATGAGGTGTGAATTCCTAGAAAAGCATTTCCCACATTCCTTACATAGGGTTTCTCTCCTGTGTGGACTCTCTGATGTAGAGTGAGGAGAGATTTCCTAGAAAAGCATTTTTCACATTTATTACATTCATAGGGTTTCTCCCCTGTATGGATTCTTTGATGTTTGGTTAGCTTTGACTTTTCATAGAATGGTTTTACACATGGCTCACATCCACAGACTTCCTCTCCTCTGTGTGTTCTCTGAGTTACATTAAGTACTGACTTCTCGCACAAAGCTTCCCCTGATTTGTTACTTTCAAATATTTTCTCTCTTGTGTTAGGAAAGCTTGATCTGTTAAAATTCCTACACTTTCAATATGTTTATAGTGTTTCACCTCCAAATGAACTTTATGTTTCAAGAAAGGGGACTTCTCAAAGGTTTTTTCATATTCATTAAACTCATAAAAGTTTTCTCTTTTTTCTGACATTTTATGGACCATGAGAGTTGAATTATTACAGAACACTTTATTACATTCATTGTGTACACAAGGACTCGCTCCTGTGTAAGCTTGCTTATATGTAATGAAAACTGCCTTTCCATAGAAATCCTTTTCACATTCCTTATATTCAAAAGATTGCTCTAAATTTTGAATTCTCAGATATGAAATGAAGTCCTCCTTATGACTGAGACATTTTCCATTTTGAATAAACTCATAAGGTTTCTCTTCCATATGAGTTTTTTCATGGTTACTATTGAGGAATAGTTTTCCATATGCACTGAGGTCATGAGGCATCTTTCTTAAATAGTTTTTCTTACTATTAAATAAATCTGAAATGTATTGCAAACTCATACCACATAAGTCACATTTACAAGGTATTTTTATGGAAGGAAGTTGGTGTATGCTGAAATCAAACACTTTTCCTACTATGTTACCTCTCTCTATAGTCAGTGTTCTATTGTTGATATATGGAGCTTGCCAGATATGTCTGTCCTGGATTTCCTGACAGTGCTCTAGTTGATCATCCACTTTGCAGACTTCTAGAAATAAGAAAAAATAACCACAACTTATGAGTCTTGTGATATTTGTGATGAAATTACACTTACATACATACGCGCTTTTATATGTAGTTGACTTAGTTTCCTGGAATAAAGTAATCCAAAAAGTGTTAATCTCCTCCAGCCCTTTGGCTAGAAGAAAATAAACATGAAACCTTATAATGTGGAAAGTAGGGTGGAAATTTAGAACACACAATGGGCAATTTACAAATACGTACTTTGAAACAACACAGAGGTTACAAATAACCATAAAGCACAGTGAATATAGAATAGACACAAATAATGACATAAAACATTAGATATAAAAATGATACTAAAAATATATAAAATAAATAATATAAATATAAAAATGGCTAATCTAGAAATGGGACATGCAGAGAATGAGGGGGCAAGGAAAACTAGTAGTTAACAGTGTTCTAGAAAAATATCAGAGGAGGCCAGGCGTGGTGGCTCACACCTGTAATCTCAGCACTTCGGGAAGCCCAGGAGGGAGGATCACCTGAGGTTGGGAGTTCAAGACCAGCCTGACCAACATGAAGAAACCCCGTCTCTACTAAAAATGCAAAATTAGCTGGGTATGGTGGCACATGCCTGTAATCCCAGCTACTAGGGAGGCTGGACAGGAGAATCGCTTGAACCCAGGAAGTGGAGGCTGCGGTGAGCTGAGATCACGCCATTGCACTCCAGCCTGGGCAACAAGAGCAAAACTCTGTCTCAAAAGGAAAAAAAAAGAAAAAGAAAAAAAGAGAAGAAAAATGTCAGAGGAATGGTTTTATTTGTATGAAACATATCAAGTTTTAAATGGTGTTCTTCTACCACTTGAACCCACAAGGCAGGGGTTGTAATGGTTAGTGTTTCAGGTGGTATGAGTGAAAAGTGAAAATATAAAATATAAAAATATTTAGAAGACAGTTTACAAAAGTAAAATAGTAATAGATATGTTTTGTTTTGTTTTGAGATGGAGTCTGGCTCTGTCACCCATGCTGGAGTGCAGTGGCGTGATCTTAGCTCACTGCAACCTCTGCTTCCTGGGTTCAAGCAATTATCCTGCCTCAGCCTCCCGAGCAGCTGGGATCACAGGCACCCGCCACCTTGCCCAGCTAATTTTTGTATTTTAGTAGAGACATGGTTTCACCATGTTGGCCAGGTGGGTCTTGAACTCCTGACCTCAGATGATCCACCCCCCTCAGCCTCCGAAAGTGCTGGGATTACAGGTGTGAGCCACTGTGCCTGGCCTTTTTTTGAGATGGAGTTTTGCTCTGTCACCCAGGCTGGAGTGCAGTGGCATGATCGCAGCTCACTGCAACCTCCATCTCCCAAGTTCAAGTGATTCTCCTGCATCAGCCTCCTGATTAGCTGGGATTACAGGCATGTGCTACCACACCCGGCTAATTTTTTATATTTTTGGTAGAGATGGGGTTTCACCATGTTGGCCAGGCTGGTATCGAACTCCTGACCTCAAGTGATCCACCCACCTCGGCCTCCCAAAGTGCTGGGACTACAGGCGTGAGCCACCACACCCATCCCAATAACAGACAGTTACTTAACATCATTAAGAAAGGATGACGGAAAGACAAAAGTAAAATAACATTATGAGGGTCATTTGTGAGAGCAGCAGGCTTATAGAATGTAACAAATAAGATAAGTGAGGAAGATTTATGATTTGTCAGTAATGATTTTAGTTTCAGTTCTTGCCAATTTGCAGGGTATCAGAACATCCTCCCAGACTCCTGACCGCAGGTAAAACACTGCGTGAGTGGCCAAAGGCACTGGAAATAGAAAGGGGAAGGTCATCAGACCAAAACTTTGTATCATGGATATAGCAAGAGCTTATTATTATTTTTTGAAGATTCAATTTTATTGTTTTTCAACAGGTAATTTATGGTGATTACTGAAAACATATCAAGTTGTCTCCTAAATGTTAGTTTGTATCTTGTATTTGTCAGAGTTTTCCTACGATATCCACTGCACCTTTCTTCTTTTTGTACTTTGTTTTTTTGATATTTTCCCATTTTTTCTTCTTTACATCTTTGGAAGTTATACTATACCAGTTTCTCAATGGTTGGCTACCCATTAAATTTTACCAAGCTTTCTCACTCATCAAGATCCAGAGTTAGTTAACTAATGATACAATATCCATTATATGCCACATACCAAAGTGAGTTAATATCGTAAACCTCTTTTCTGAATTACAGAAGGATTTTGAAACACAATTTGATTATCCCCACCTCATTTATATGCAACTATTGTTTATTATATAATTGTGTCTTTTTTAGCGCTACAAAGTAAGTATCATTATTATTTTATACAAACATAATTTAGATTTACCTATGTTTCCTAAATTCCTATCACTTATTTACCAATACTCCCATCTCAAGCATTCTTTTAGGGTTCATTTTCTCTCTTCCTGTATTTGCTATTAGAATTTTACTAAAAAAATATGCAAAAGGTATGGTTTTTATAATTTATTGCAGGATCAATCCAATTTTAATTCTTTTTAAATGTTAAATGTAGTGTTCAGTAATCTGTACTGACAGACATTCCTTCTTCCTTACTCCTTTTATTTCCTCTTCTACTACTCTGAATGTGTCTTACATGGTTGTTTTATAATTACTAATAAATCCATGGTCTTAATTAATGGGTGTTTGAAAATATATTTTCCATTATTTCTGTTTACTCTCACAAATGACTTATTTCATCAGGTTTTGGTTTTAAGCTCATGTTTTGTTTAACTGTAAGTGAGAATATTGGGGATGCTTATCCTTGAGAGGAATTATTTTCCTTTCCTTAAAGCAAGCTACCAACCTAAGGTGACGGCCTAGAGTCTGGATCCCCTAGTGTGGGAGTATAGGAGAATAAGGGTGCAAAAAAGCCCTCTATCCCTACAGCAGGAGTGCAGAACTACATTGGGCCCAGGATCCTTTACTGACAGAAAAATAGAGGTCTCATAACACTGAAGAAGAAGCAGGTACAGTTATACCTCAGGCTCTGCAGGGGATTGTTTCCAGAACTTCCCTCAGATACCAAAATCCACAGATGATCAAGTCGCACAGTTAGCCCTGCCACACCTGCAGATACAGAGGGCTGACTGTACATGGTGAAAGCCTCCATGCTGAGGCCCAGGCACACAGGGCCTGCCTATGACTAAGGCTGTGTTAGAACAACAGAGAACACCCTTGCCCCCACCACAAGCATGGCATAGAGTAACAGGGAGCAGCAGCCTATTGCTGGCAGAGGGGCAAGAGCAGGGAGACACAGGCTTGGAGGGATAGCTAACAGCCGACACAGAGAAGCACGCGGAAAATTCTCCTAATGCAAAATATCTAAGAACTATGGGATAACAGACATATACAAGCAACTGGAGACCCAGGGAAAAAAGATGAAAAACATCAAACCACAGTTGTGAAAAGTGAGAGAACAGCAAGAAAGAAAAATACCACACACACACAAAAGGCAAAATCTATAAATATCATAGCCAAACAGCTAAAAACCAAGGATAAAAAGAAAATCTTTAAGGTAGCCAGAGAAAACAGGATATTAAATGCAGAAAAACAAAGATTTTTAAATTACAGCAGGAAATAATATCTAAGTCAGAAGACAACAGAATGAAATATTTAAAGTATGGAGAAAAAAAAATGTCAACCTAGAATTCTATACCCAGAGAAAAAAAAATCTTACAAACAAAGATAGTTTTTTTTAGACAAACAAAAGCTCAGAAAATTCACTGCCAACAGAGCTTTGCTTTATGAAATACTAAAGGAAGTTATTTACACAAAAGGAGGAAGATACACAAAGATATTAAGAATGCCTAAAATGTTTTCAAAATGGGGGGCAAATATAAAAGACTTTTAAATCATTATAAAAGACGACTGGCTTTATAGAGCAAAAATACTACTGATACATTGTGGGGTCTCTAAGTAAAAACATATGTCTACAATATCACATACAAAGGGAGGAAGACTTTAGCCCAGGAACTCAAAACCAGCCTGGGCAACATGGTGAGAGCTCGTCACTACTAAAAATACAAAACAACTAGACAGACATAGTGGTATGTCCTGTAGTTCAAACTACTCAGGAGGCTGAGGTGGTAGGATCACCTGAGGCCGGGAAGTTGAGCCGTGATTGTGTGACTGCACTCTAGCCTGGGCAACAGATCAAAACCGTATCAAAAAAACAAAAAAGAAAAAATGGGAGGACGGAATGGAGCTGTATCAAATCTTAAATCTTACATTGTTGTAAGATTCTAAGGTTATATGTGAAATAGTATAATACCACTTGAAAGGAGACTGATAAACTGATAATGCTTATTGTATATCATGGGGCAACCACTTAAAAGAAAAATTAAGAAAGAAGTACAGGCTGAGTATCCCTTACCTGAAATGCTTGAGACCAGAAGTGTTTTGGATTCCGGGTGTTTCTGGATTTTTTATTTTTTCAGATTTTGGAATATTTGTATATTGTCCTTTGAGGGAGTACTTGTGTGAGGGAATCTAGGTGATATGGTTTGGATTCGTGTCCCTGCCCAAATCTCATGTCGGATTGCAATCCCCAATGCTGGAGGTGGGCCTGGTGGGAGGTGATTGCATCATGGGGGCTGATTTCCCCCCTTTGGTGCTGTTCTCGTGACACAGGTCTCAAGAAATGTAGTTGTTTAAATGTGTGTGGCACCTCCCACCTCTCTCTCTTCTTCCTGCTCTGGCCACATAAGACGTGCTTGTTTGCCCTTCACCTTCCACTATGAGTGTAAGTTTCCTGAGGCCTCCGAGTTATGTTTCCTATACAGCCTGCAGAACTGTGAGCCAATTAAAACTCTTCCCTTTATAAATTACCCAGTCTCAGGTAGTTCTTTATAGCAATGCGAGAATGCATATAGCAATGCGAGGACTAATATACTATGCATGTATACAAAGATATATCACGGCTAAAGGGGGTTGAGAGAGTCTTTTTCCCTTAGGGACACTGAATAAACTATGTGTTGTGCCCCTACACTTTGTGCCCCATCACATAAGGTGTGGAACTTTCCACTTGTGGTGTCCTGTTGGCCCTCAAAAAGTTCTGGGTTTTTTAGCATTTCAGATATCAGATTTTCAGATTAGGGATGCTCAACCTGTAATACTAACAAGAATTCAGCGGAGATAAAACAAAATAAAAATTATCAATCCAAATGAGAGAAAACGAGGAAAAAAAGGAAAAAGAACAAATGAGCAAGGAGGAAACACTCAGCAAAATAATATGAATCCAAACATTAAAAAATTGTATTAAATATATGTGGTTGAAATATCACAGTTAAGAAGTAGAAGTAAGACTGGGTGCAGTGGCTCACGCCTGTAATCCTAGCACTTTGGAAGACCGAGGCAGGCAGATCACTTGAGGTCAGGAGCTCGAGACCAGCCTGGTCAACACGGTGAAATCCTGTCTCTACTAAAAGTACAAAGTTTAGCTGGAAATAGCTTGAACCCGGGAGGCGGAAGCTGCAGTGAGCTGAGATTGTGCCACTGCATTCCAGCCCAGGCAACAGAGTGAGACACTGTCCCAAAAAAAAAAAAAAAAAAAAAGTAGAAGTTTCACATGAATTATAAAAGCAACATCCAACCACATGCTATTTTAAGAAATTCATGGCTGGGTGCAGTGGCTCATGCCTGTAATCCCAGCACTCTGGGAGGCCGAAGTAGGCAGATCACAAGGTCAGGAGTTGGAGACCAGCCTGGCCAACATGGTGAAATCTCGTCTCTACCAAAAATACAAAATATTAGCCAGGTGTGGTGGCACGTGCCTGTAATCCCAGCTACTCGGGAGGCTAAGGCGGAGAATCGCTTGAACCCAGGAGGCAGAGGTTGCAGTGAGCCAAGATTGTGCCATTGCACTCCAGCCTCGGTGACAGAGCAAGACTCCATCTCAAGAAAAAAAAAAAAAGAAATTCACTTTAAATATAAACAGATTAAAAGTATGGAAAAAGGTAAATAAAAGACAACTGGAAGAGCTAAATTAATATCAAAGTAGTGTTTAGAACAAAGAGTATTACTAGGTATAAAGAGAGACATTACATAATTATTAAGTGGTTAATTCATGAAGTGGACATAAGGATCCTAATATGTACAACTTAATAATGCTCCAAAATTCATAAAGCAAAAACCAAAATAATCAAAAGGAGAAATTCAATCCAAAATTGCAACTGAAGACTTCACTGTTGTGTATCACTGACACAGAAAGTTTTTGAGTGTTAGACCTTGACCTCATTTTCCCATTAGTCCTATGATTTTTATTGTACTCATTTGCAAAGATCAGTGATTCTTAGGAATGTATACACTGCATTTTAACATAATTCGCTTTATTAGAATACCGTCATTCTTCCCACTTGTTTTTAGCCTCCACTTAATCAAATTAAATACAGTCTATAACGCCCAGGTTTTCAATAACACATTCTCACATTTGCTTTAGAATTAGTTCCTCAATTAAATTCAGAGGCTACCACCAATATTTTTACCATGCTTTTTGTGTCACTTCTTGGTTATCTGATATTCATCCTCTAATAAAAGGTCTTAGGGAGAAAGGGCCCAGAATTCTTGCCTATTCAAAAAAAGGTTTCCTCTTTTTTGTTAAAGAATCGCTCTTTAACCTGGTATAAAGTTCTTAATTTGACCCACCCTAATGATTTTGTAGCAATTGCTCTGCAGACTTTTATCAGTTTTTTTTAGCAAACTTTGTTATGGAAAAGGCTGAGATCAGCTGGACTTTTTTCTTATATTGACTGGCTGTCAAAATGATTCTTTATCTTTGAAGTCTAGTAATATTATTAGGAATATATCACGATGTTGATCATTGTTGGTCTGCCTTCCTGAGGGATGGTTTGTCTTTTTATGTAGATTCAATTGTATCTTCTTTTCCCCAAAAAGTGTTATTGGAATATTTTCAATATTGGTTCTATTTATTTCATTTTCTACTTTGGGGAATCAACTGTATGTAATAGCATATATGTGAAATATCTTTTATACTATCTTCTTTATGCAATATTCACCTTTTATTTACTTCAGTTTCTTCTTGCTTGAAAGGCTTTCCACATTTATTTCTAATCTACATTTCAGCAATGCCTATTCTTTGGGAATCCTCCAATTTGCTTTTATTTTTTTTGAGATGGAGTTTCATTCTGTTGCCCAGGCTAGAGTGCAGTGGTGTGATCTTGACTCACTGCAGCCTCTGCCTGCTGGGTTCAAGTTATTCTCCTGCCTCAGCTTCCTAAGTAACTGGGATTACAGGTGTGCCGCCATTCCCAGCTAATTTTTTGTATTTTTAGTAGAGATGGGGTTTCACTATGTTGGCCAGGCCTGTCTCAAACTCCTGACCTCAAGTGATCCACTGGCCTTGGCCTCCCAAAGTGCGGGGATTACAGGTGTGAGCCACCGTCCCTGGCCCCAATTTGTTTTCTTTACTGTGGTTCTTATTTTCTCTTCCAATTCTTTTCTCAGCCTGACATCCCAGAATGCATTTTATTAAATGAATTAAAACATTATACTGTTGCCTTAACATCCTTCTTGAACTCTCATATCATGCAGGTAATCAATTCAATTAGTCCTTTTTGAAATTCATGGTTTATTATTTGGCCCAATTATTTATCTACTTTATGTCCACTTTGATCAGGTGACATTTCATCACCTACTTTTTTTTTCTAATCTTTTTCACCTCTTTTTTCTTGCAGTAGTTTTGTGGGGCATTTTATGCTGGTTCCTTTTGGATTACTCAGCTTCAAAGGACATGAGCTTTTACACTCCATCAGTTTTACTAGGTAAAGGGAACAGAGCCATGTCTTAACCTAACAAGAGAGCTTCTTATGAACAAGTGTTTTGCACATACACCAAACTCAGTTTATGCATCAACCCAGATTGTCGCTCCTTTCTTGCCAGAGTAGCCTTAGTAATGGCTTGCTCTGTTATCACCCTCTTGTACTTTCTCTTTGTCCTAACCAGCCTTATTCCCCATTTCCTCACTTCTGCAGTAGGTCTGCCCATCCTGACCAATAGTTATTGAGTAAATTTTTATTTCAAATTGTTTGTAGGAATACAAGCTAAGATAGCATGTAAGTTTATTTCCCCACATACAGGTGTCTGTAACATTTTTTTTCTGAAATGGAAAGTCTCATCTCTTGCATTGTCACAGAAAAATATGACTTGTGTGTCTGTTTCCATACGTAACCCTACATCAGCTTCACAGAACCAAACTGCATTCAAAGGAGCTCCAGCTGTCCTGTGCACAGCACTGATGTTATTCCAAGAGAGATTTAAGCTTTGCACCTCAGAGTATGTACTTTATCTCTGTCAAGTATATTACCAGTTCCTTCAAGCACCAGAAATGTTTTTGTTTCTTTTCATCTGCTGGTACATATAGACCTCCTTAATTTTTCAGTGATTCTGGCAGCATTTCCACTTGTATTGATTTGGGGTTTCAGATATCCTCTATTGTCATAAGATAAAGTTGTGTTGCTCTTTTTCCTTATTGCTTCTGGATGATCTGTAGACAGAGACAGAGAAAATGCTGACTTTACACATCCTGCTTCAGAGAAGCTCACTTTCTCCATGAAACACTGTGTCTTCACTTTGCTGCAGGATACTACATTCTTTGTTTTCCACTCATCCCCAAACTGCTTTTTCTTTCTTCTTTGCTCAGTCTCCTCACTTTCATGACTTCTGAAAGCTAATGACCCAGGGGACAGCCTCCAGTCCTACCCCAAAAGAGAGGTTATCTAATCCATCAGCTTTAAATACTAAACTTAAAAACTGTTAACTACTGCCATAAGCTGATAATTTCCAAATAAATATCTTCCTCTTGGACTTGCCCCAAACTACCTGCTTATATGCCCAAATGCTTATTCGCCATGTAAACCTGGATATTTTATAATCACCTGAAACTTTATGTGTGCAAACTAAACACGTAACAATCCCTCCAAAACTGTTTCTCCTCAATATCCCCCAACTGGTACCCACTTATCCAACTGCTCTGGGTGAAATCTTTAGAGTCACTCTTGACTCCTTTCTTTCTTTCATGTTCCATATCCCACTCAATAGCAAATGTTACAGGTCCCACATTCAAAACATATTGAAAAGCCAACCACTTTTTAATTTTTTTTTGAGACAGAGTCTTGTTCTGTCACCTAGGCTGGAGTGCAGTGATGCAATCTTGGCTCACCTCAGCCTCTGCCCCTCGGGTTCCAGCAATTCTCCTGCCACAGCCTCCTGGGTGGCTGGGATTACAGGCGCATGCCACCACGCCTGGCTAATTTTTGTATTTTTAGTAGAGATGGGGTTTCACCATGTTAGCCAGGCTGGTCTTGAACTCCTGACCTCAGGTGATCTGCCCACCTCAGCCTCCAAAAGTGCTGGGATTAAAGGCGTGAGCCACTGTGCCCAGCCAAAAGCCAATCACTTTTAATAATCACCACCACTCCAAAGTGTAAGCTACTATTGCCTTTTTGCAGACGGAAATACTCTCCTGACTCATGCTCCTGCTTTCATCCCTCTGTCCCCAATAGTATTTTCTTTGCTTACCAGCCAGAGATATTCATTTAAAAGACAAATCAGAAAATGTTCCTTATTGGGTCAATAGCTTCTCATTTTACTCAAAATAAAATCATAGTCCTTATCATGGCCATATGGCCCTACATAATTTGGGCTCCCATTACCTCTCCAACATCAACTCATACCACTCTTGCCTCATTCATTCTTTTCAATCCACACTGATATTTGTGTGTCCTCAAAGACCACACGTGCACTCCTGCCTCAGTGCCCTGCACTTGATGCTTTCCCTGCTATCAAGACTACCCCCAACTCCAACCCTCATATCATTCAAGTTCACAGCATCCAAAAGCCTACCTTTCTAAAGTTTAACACTCCATCATTCTTAACCTTCTTTAATTTCCTTACTATTTTACATGACCACTTGGCATTTCTGTGCATGTGTGGTAGTGCTGCCATTTTTGATCCTTATCTTTTTCTCCCAATCAGAAGGTAAGCTCCATGAGGTCATGGATAAAATTCAGTTCACTACTCTATTTCCAGCACCTAAAACTTGAGTGACACACAGTAGGAATGAACATACGAGCAAACTCTTTTTTTTTTTTTTTTTTTTTTGAGACAGAGTCTCGCTCTGTCGCCCAGGCTGGAATACAGTGGTGCAATCTCAGGTCACTGCAACCTTCACCTTCCTGGTTCAAGTGATTCTCCTGCCTCCGCCTCCCAAGTAGCTGGGATTACAGGCACCTGCCATCATGCCCGGCTAATTTTTGTATTTTTGTAGACATGGGGTTTCACCATGTTGGCCAGGCTGGTCTCAAACTCTGACCTCAGGTGATCTGCCCATCTTGGCCTCCCAAAGTGCTGGGATTACAGGCATTGAGCCACTGTGCCTGGCCATGCAAATTCTTGAGAATTAAAATAATTCATACCATGTCACTGGCATCCTTCTGCTTAATACATGCCAATTCACCTGGGTATCTCTGGCCTGGGGGCTCTTCCTCTAATGTCTATGGCTGCTCTCCTTGTTCCAATTTGAAGATCACTTCTGGTTTAGGGATGCAATATCCTGTGAACGGGAAATGACATGGAAACTAGGTGAGGATAATGGACTTTAGGGCCTCTGAAAGAGGGAGAAAATGAAACTTCAAAAGCCAATTTCAACCGTGTGTGGAAACAGTAAGAAAACAACAACATTCTTTACAGCACCCCAAACAGTTCTTCTGCTTAATACTCTGAATATCAAGTTTAGTTTAATTAACCTTAACAAAACTTCCACAAGTTTCAGCAACCAAAAAAATATGTACACACTAGGAGTCTACATGAAAAACAGTTCCTACCTACCCACTGAGACGAGGTGGCTGTAGTTCTCTAGCATCACATCCCTGTACAGGGTCATCTGAGCAGGGTCCAGATGCTGCCACTCCTCCTGGGTGAAGCCCACAGTCACATCTTCAAATGACAAGGATCCCTGAAACAGTACATTCCATTCAAATTTGAGCAATCAAAATTTAAAGACATAAACGCTGTAAGAGAATTATTATAATGTTCACCATTCACAGTTAATCCAAAAACGTGTTATAGGATGTCTACTTTTGCACTGTACTTGGTTGGAAAAAAGAAATCATAATAGATATACCCCACCGCCATGATAAGTAATTGGTGTCCCACCATGTGCCTATGTGTCACAAAGAATTCTACTTTGGGGGAATATGAAGACAACTAAAACAATGTTACTGTTCTCAAGGAAAATATAGTCTGATAAGCACAGGCAAACCTATAATCACATAACTACAATAAGATGTTGCAGGTACTATAGTGAAAAGATGTAAAAAGTTATCTAAGCTTACAAAGGGGGAGAAAAGTTCTATTCCTGCTATTTGGTTGGGTTTCACTGCGGAGGTGAAGATTTGAATTCTTAAACAACTAGAGTGTTATTCATGAACTCAGGCAATAGCATAAGAATGGATACAGCTATCATATGTAGTTAAAGGAGTAACAATAAGCACATAGAATAGTATTGTTTGGGACGCTGATAAGATAAAGAGCTATAGAGGTATTCAGGGAACATCATTGAGTAATTTTGGACTTGTTCCTATAGAATTAGGGGTATCCAAAATATTTGGACATTTTTCAATCCTGGGTAATCTTTTTTTTTTTTTTTTTTAAGATGGAGTTTCGTTTTTGTTACCCAGGCTGGAGTGCAATGGCGCAATCTCGGCTCACTGCAACCTCTGCCTCCTGGGTTCAAGCAATTCTCCTGCCTCAGCCTCCCGAGTAGCTGGGATTACAGGCATGCACCACCACACCCAGCTAAGTTTGTATTTTTAGTAGAGATGGGGTTTCTCCATGTTGGTCAGGCTGGTCTCGAACTCCCAACCTCAGGTGATCTGCCCGCCTTGGCCTCCCAAAGTGCTGGGATTACAGGCATGAGCCACTGCTCCTGGCCCTATCCTGGGTAACCTTTTTGTTAATTTATAAATTATAAACTTATATTGCCAACCTATATATTAAATTTCACTCTTTTTCTTAGATTATAATATATGTAGGTAGGCATTTGAATATTTTCTTCTTTAATCCAGTGGACTGTTTCATCTAGCTCAGAGATGACTGACTGCTGCGGGTAGTGGGAAGCCAATAAGTAGACACAAACCAGCAGAGAGAGAAAGAAGCACCATTCCCAGGTTAGCAACACAAACAGCTGGTAAATGTTCATGGCATACACCGAGAACTGGAAAATAGGGGAAAAAATAGGTCAGAGCGTAAAAGTGAGTGGAATAAGGCAAGAAAAGATATAAAAAGTTATAAGAATTAGAAGAAATTAAATAAAGCTATCAGTATCTGCAGATGTCATAATTCTGCATGAAGAACATGCAAGGGAAGCTACAAATTATTGTAAGTAAGAAGTGAATTCAGTAAGTTTTTGGATACAAGATCAATGTGTAAAAATCAAGTGGAGGCCGGGCACAGTGGCTCACGCCTGTAATCCCAGCACTTTGGGAGGCCCAGGAGGGTGGATCATGAGGTCAGGAGATGGAGACCACCCTGGGTAACACGGTGAAACCCCATTTCTACTAAAAATACAAAAAATTAGCTGGACTTGGTTGCATGAGCCTGTGGTCCCAGCTACTTGGGAGGCTGAGGGAGGAGAATCGCTTGAACCCAGGAGGCGGAGGTTGCGGTGAGCCGAGATCGCACCACTGCACTCCAGCCCAGATGACAGAGCGAGACTCCGTCTCAAAAAATAAATAAATAAAATGAAGTGGATTTCGGCTGGGCATGGTAGTTCACGCCTGTAATCCCAGCACATTGGGAGGCTGAGTGGGTGGATCACCTGAGATCAGGAGTTCGAGACCAGCCTGACCAACATGGAGAAACCCCATCTCTACTAAAAATACAAAATTAGCTGAACGTGGTGGCACATGCCTGTAATCCCAGCTACTCCAGAGGCTGAGGCAGGAGAATCGCTTGAACGCGGGAGGCGGAGGTTGTGGTGAGCCAAGATTGTGCCATTGCATCCCAGCCTGGGCAATAAGAGCAAAACTCCAGCTCAAAAAAAAAAAAAAAAAAAATCAAGTGGATTTCTATATACCAGCAACTAATTGTTTCAAAGTACCACCTATAGTGCCATCAAAAACAAGAAATACCAGCCAGGCACAGGGGCTCACGCCTGTAATCCCAGCACTTTGGGAGGCCGAGGTGGGCGGATCATGAGGTCAGGAGATCGAAACCATCTTGGCTAACACGGTGAAACTCTGTCTCTACTAAAAATGCCAAAAATTAGCCGGGCGTGGTAGCAGGCACCTGTAGTCCCAGCTACTCGGGAGGCTGAGGTGGGAGAATGGCATGAACCCGGGAGGCAGAGTTTGCATTGAGCCGAGATCGCGCCACTGCACTCCAGCCTGGGTGACAGAGTGAGACTACATCTCGAAAAAAAAAAAAAAAAACCTCAGAATAAATCTAACAAATCATTTTTAAGACAATTACACAGAAAATTATAAAGCATTCTCAAGAAAAACAAAAGAATATCTTTAAAAAAACAGAATATCTTTAAAAATAAAGGAACTAATTATAGTCATGGATTGGACAACTCAATATTACAAAGTTCTCAATTCTCCCTAAATTGGCCTATAAATTCTAGGTAATCCCAATCAAAAGCTTAGCAAATATTTTTGTGGAAACTGACAAGTTGATTCTCAAGCTTATATATAGAAATTCAAAGAACCAGCTCGGTGCGGTGGCTCACGCCTGCAATCCCAGCACTTTGGGAGGCCAACCCAGGCAGATCACAAGGTCAGGAGTTCGAGACCAGCCTGGCCAACACGGTGAAACCCCATCTCTACCAAAAATACAAAAATTAGCTGGGCATGGTGGCGCGCACCTGTAGTCCCAGCTACTCGGGAGGCTGAGGCAGAATCGCTTGAACCCCAGAGGCAGAGGCTGCAGTGAGCTGAGATCATGCCACTGCACTCCAACCTGGTGACAGATCTCAAAAAGAAAAAAAAAAAATTCAAAGAACCAAGAATGTTCCCATCATCATCAAATGAAGGCAAAAGGCCCGGAGTGATGGCTTACGCTTGTTAATCCCAGCAAATCTGGGAGGCCGGGGCAGGAGAATCACTTGAACCTGGGAGGTGGAGGTTGCAGTGAGCTAAGGCTGTGCCACTGCACTCCAGCCTGGGCGAGAGAGCTAGACTGCACTTGAAAATAAATAAATAAATAAATAAAAATGGAGGCAACATTTTTAAAACTAAAAATAAATTTTTTTAAACCACCAAGAATGGCCAAGGCAGTCTTAGAGAAGAACAAAAAAATGTGTGAACTCACACTAATTGTGGTTGTCAGAATTCTAAGATGAGCCTCAATGACTTACATCGTTATGTAATCTCCTCCTGTTAGTGTGAGAATTTGTAGCTCCAGTAAAGATTATATTACATTATATGGCAAATGGATTTTGCAGTTATAATTAAGATACCTTAATCAGTTTATTTTGAGTTGATCAAAAGAAAGATTGTCTTGGTGGGCCTTACCCAATCAGGTGAGTCCTTAAAAAGAAGGTAAAGTGGCCGGGCATGGTGGCTCATGCCTGTAATCCCAGCACTTTGGGAGGCCAACGCGGGCAGATCACGAGGTCAGGGGTTCAAGACCAGCCTGGCCAACATGGCGAAACCCCATCTCTACTAAAAATACAAAAATTAGCTGGGTATGGTGGCGCGCGCCTGTAATCCCAACTACTCAGGAGGCTGAGGCATGGGAATCGCTTGAACCTGGGAGGCGGAGGTTGCAGTGAGCAGAGATCGCGCCACTGCACTCCAGCCTGGGTGACAGAGTGAGACTCTGTCTCAAAAAAGGAAGGTAAAGTATCAGAGAAAAGTTCCTACTGGCCTCTAAGAAGAAGCAAACTATTATGGGTTCTCATTTATGGGAAATGAATTCTGCCACATGTGTATGGGGGACTCTGAGCCTCCATTAAGATTAGGTGTCTCAGGCAATATCTCGGTTGTGGCCTTATGCCTGAGCACAGGACCTAACTAACCCATTCCCAGACTCCTGATCCATGGAACCTGAGGTAATAAATTTGTGTTGTTTTGTGGCAAACTGTGGTAACTTATAACGAAGCATTAGAAAACTAACACACTAGTGGATATAAGAATTTATTATAGAGTAATTTAAGACAGTGTGGTATTGGTGAAAGAATACATTGAAACACCAATAGAAGAAAAGTATGGTCTAGAAACAGACCTTCAAACATGGATACCTGATTTATTTTTAAAAGTTTCACAGCTGAGCAGTGAGGAAAAGGACAGTCTCAATAAACTATGCTGATTAAATGGGTTTAAATATGGGGAAAACTTGACTTCAATCTCACACAATATGTGAGAATCAATTCCAGATGAATTGTAGGTTAAAATGTGATGAGTAAAAACAACAGAACTTCAAAAACATAACATGAAACTATATTCACAAGCAAAGTTTTTTTTAAAGCAAGATACAAAAGCACTAACCATAAAGGAGAAGACTGAAATAAACTGGACCACATTAAGAATGTCAATTAATCAAAAGACACCATTAATGCAAAAAAAATGCAAATCAGAGAGAAAAAAATATTGACAACATATCGAACTTTTAAAGGGACTATACCCAGAATATATAAAATACTTCTAAAATCAATACAAGCAAGATGACCTAATAGAAAAATGGGGGAAAAGATCTGAACAGTCATTTCACAAAAGACAACACTAACATGGCCAATAAACATGCTAAAAGTGCTCACCCTAAATAGTCAACCATTGGGAAAGATTATTGGGAAGAGGATGTTCACATAGTCTCCATATTCCAGCCAAAGATTATTAGTTTAAAAAAAGGAAAAGAAAGGCTGCTTTTCAAATGGAGATATTTGGTACCATTACAAATAGTGGTACAAAGAGATCATATAAAAATTACATAATAAACTGGCATAAGATAAATGTATAGGCTGGGCGTGGTGGCTCACGGTTGTAATCCTAGCATTTTGGGAGGCCGAGGCAGGCGGATCACGAGGTAAGGAATTCGAGGCCAGCCTGGCCAACACAGTGAAACCCTGTCTCTACTAAAAATACAAAAATTAGCCAGGTGTGGTGGCAGGTGCCTGTAATTCCAATTCCTTGGGAGGCTGAGGCACAAGAATCACTTGAACCTGGGGGGTGGAGTTTGCAGTGAGCCGAGATCGTGCCACTGCACTCCAGCCTGGGCGACAGAGCTAGATTCATTCTCAAGAAAAAAAAAAAAGAAAAATGTATAATCTGAATCTAATTGTGAAGAAAAACAAATCAGTCAAATACAGATGTGCAGGCATTCTACAACAGTGCTTCTAAGCGTGGTTGCATATCTCCTGGGTATGGGAATATTTAAAGAGCTTCAAATGATTCTAAAGAGCAGTTAAATTCAAGAATAACTGTTCAACAAGACTCCTGACCAGGACTTATTTTAAATGCCCATTATTATGAAGGAATAAAAAAAACCATCTTTGATTGGCTCTTGGGCCCAGCAAAGCTACAGAGGACATTTTTGGGGAAAATGGAAATTTTGTTTTGTTTTTTGAGACGGTAGCTCATTCTGTCACTCACACTAGAGTGCAGTGGTACGATCATAGCTCACTGCAGCCTTGACCTCCCAGGTTCAAGTGATCCTTCTGCCTCAGCTTCTTGAGTAGCTGGGACTAAAGGTGCACACCGCCATGTCCAGCTAATTTTTAAAAATTTTTTGTAACATGGGGTCCCATTATGTTACTCAGGGTGGTCTTGTACTCCTGGGCTCAAGCAATCCTCCCACCTTTGCCCCACAAAGTGTTGGGATTATAGGCATGAGTCACTGTGTCTGGCCTGGAAAAATTACACATAGATAAAGACAGAGAGAGAACGTGTGGAAGAATACTTAAAACTGTTGAATCTAGGTAAACTGGTGTTTATTGTCCTCTAAAAAGGACAAACTGGGAATAAGTATCTGTAACTTAAGTGACAAAGAAAAGGCAAAGCGTTCCTAAAAATACAGAAGGGAAGGCTGGGCGCAGTGGCTCACACCTGTAATACCAGCGCTTTGGGAGGCCAAGACAGGCGGATCACCTGAGGTCAAGAGTTCGAGACCAGCCTGGTCAACATGGCAAAACCCTGTCTCTACTAAACATACAAAAATTGGCCGGGCATGGTGGCTCATGCCTGTAATCCCAGCACTTTGGGAGGCTAAGGCGGGCAGATCATGAGGTCAGGAGTTCAAGACCATCCTGGCCAACATAGTGAAACCCATCTCTACTAAAAACACACAAAAAATTAGCCAGACATGGTGACAGGTGCCTGTAGTCCCAGCTACTCACCAGGCTGAGGCAGGAGAATCAATTGAACCTGGGAGGCAGAGGTTGCAGTGAGCTGAAATCGTGCCACTGCACTCCAGCCTGGGTGACACAGCGAGACTCTGTCTTAAAAATAAATAAATAAATAAATATACAAAAATTAGCTGGGTGTAGTGGCAGACGCCTGTAATCCCAGCTACTTGGGAGGCTGAGGCAGGAAAATCACTTGAACCCAGGAGGCAGAGGTTGCAGTGAGCCAAGATCGTGCCACCGCACTCCAGCCTGGGCGACACAACAAGACTCCATCTCAAAAAACAAAACAAAACAAAACAAAAAACAAATGATTACCCTTTAAAGTTAAAAAAAAATGTAACTTAAAATTGCATTGAACCATTCACTCCTATCAGACTGGCAGAAACCCAAAAGAATAACACATACACTTAGTTTGGTTTGCTACAGGCATAAAAGCATACTCATATCCTGCTCGTGAGAATACAAAATAAGCAGCCATTATGAAGTGAAATATGGCAGTATTCAGTTACATTATATATGTATGAATTTACCACTGGACCTAGAAATCCCACTTCTAAGAATCTACCACAAAGACACATTAGCCAAAAATTGAAAAGATGGGGCCGGGCGCGGCTGCTCACACCTGTAATCCTAGCACTTTGGGAGGCCAAGGCGGGCGGATCACCTGAGGTCAGGAGTTCAAGACCAGCCTAACTAACATGGTGAAACCCCATCTCTACTAAAAATACAAAAAAAAGTTAGCCAGACGTGGTGGGCACCTGTAATGCCAGCTACTCAGGGGGCTGCGACAGGGAGAATCTCTCGAACCCAGGAGGTGGAGGTTATAGTGAGCCGAGATCATGCCATTGCACTCCAGCCTGGGCAACAGAGCAAGACTCCATCTCCACAAAAAAAAAAAAAAAAAAAAAATTGAAAAGATGTAGGCACAAAGCTAAAGCAGTATTTATATTGCAAAAGACTGGAAACAACCCAAATGTTGATTAGCAAACAACTGGTTGAAGGTATGTCGTACACTCACACTACAGAGTGCTAAGCGACTGAAACAAGACCTGAGGAAGACCTGCATATCCCACTGCAGAGTGAACTCCAGGTGCTATTATATGACCAAAGGAAGTCTGAGAAAATCAAGTATAATGTGGCAGCTTTTATACACAAAAGGAAAATATGTGTATCCCCATACAGATCTGCTTATATTAAAAATAACAATAAAAAGATAAGTCATAAAACAAAATAAATCATTCTTCATAAGGTGAGGAAAGGAACAAGGAACCAGATGGAGGGAAAGGGATGAATCCCAGACTGATCTCTGAATATACTTTGCTTTACAGATTTGTCTTTGGAAACATTTAAATATTTTTCATAATTATAAAAAATGATTTTCAAAATAAAAACTCTAAAAACAAACAGCAATGAAACAAATAAATCTAATTATATCTAAAGTTGATGCCGTACCACTCAGAGAATTATTTCTGCTAAATTTAAAACAAAGGAATCTAACTGTATGTCACAATGGGGCTGTGCCTTAAGGACAAAAGAACTGCAAAATAAATCTTAAACTGGTTTCAAAAATATTTTGTTAACAATAATATTGGTATTGTTATTTTGGTATATTATGCTTTACAGGATAAAGCAAATAATCATGTTAATGCCCTTTGGAATATAGATTTTCAAATTAAGAAAAAAGGCCAGGTACGGTGGCTCACAACTATAACCTCGGCACTTTGGGAGGCCAAGGCGAGTGGATCACTTGAGGTCATGAGTTGGAGACCAGCCTGGCCAACATGGTGAAACCCCCTCTCTTCTAAAAATACAAAAATTGGCTGTAATCCTAGCACTTTGGGAGGCCAAGGCGGGTGGATCACTTGAGATCAGGAGTTTGAAACCAGCCTGGCCAAAATGGTGAAACCCCATCTCTACTAAAAAAAAAAAAAAAAAAAAAATTGAAATTAGCCAGGCATGGTGGTTGGGCACCTGTAATCCCAGCTAATTGGGAGGCTGAGGCAGGACAATCGCCTGAACCCAGGAGGCAGAGGTTGCAGTGAGTCGAGATAGCACCATTGTACTCAAGCCTGGGCAACAAGAGTGAAACTCCGTCTTGGGGAAAAAAAAAAAATTAGCAGGGCGTGGTAGTAGGCGCCTGTAATCCCAGCTACTCAGGAGGCTGAGGCAGCAGAATTGCTTGAACCCAGGAGGCAGAGCTTGCTGTGAGCCAAGATGGTGCCACTGCACTCCAGGCTGGCTGACAGAGTGAGACTCCACCTCAAAAAATAATAATAATAATAATAAGCCGGGCACAGTGGCTCACGCCTGTAACCCCAGCACTTTCGGAGGCAGAGGCAGGCAGATCACCTGAGGTCGGGAGTTCGAGACCAGCCTGACCAACATGGAGAAACCCCATCTCTACTAAAAATACAAAATTAGCCGGGCATGGTGGCACATGCCTGCAATCCCAGCTACTCGGGAGGCTGAGGCAGGAGAATCGCTTGAACCAGGGAGGCGGAGGTTGCAGTGAGCAGAGATTGTGCTATTGCACTCCAGCCTGGGCAATAAGAGCGAAACTCTGTCTCATAAAAAAAGAAAAATAACACAAAGATTACTATAAAGGATTTCAAATTTATAAATTAGTAAGAAATATAGAACAAAATCAATAGAAAAGTACGTAAGGTATATGAACAAAAGAAAACTGAAAGGCTCAACCCTACAATCAGAGAAATTGAAATCAAAACAGTGAGATTTTCTTTATCCACCAGATTGGCCATAATTTTAAAATATGACTATATTAATTGCTAGGAAGAAGATAAAGAAAATGGTACTCTCGGCCAGGTGCAGTGGCTCATGCCTGTAATCCCAGCACTTTGGGAGGCTGAGGTGGGCGGATCACAAGGTCAGGAGATCGAGACCATCCTGGCAAACATGGTGAAACCCCGTCTTTACTAAAAATACAAAAAATTAGCCGGGCGTGGTGACGGGTGCCTGTAGTCCCAGCTACTAGGGAGGCTGAGGTAGGAGAATGGCATGAACCCAGGAGGAAGAGCTTGCAGTGAGCGGAGATTGTGCCACTGCACTCCAGCCTGGGCGACAGAGCGAGACTCCATCTCAAAAAAAGAAAAAAAAAAGAAAATGGTACTCTCATAAACGGCTGTGGTACGGTAACTTGGTAGACAAACTGGTAGCACCAAGTAACTCTGGAAATCCTTTCTCGCTCTGTTGCGCAGGCTGGAGTGCAGTGGCTCGATCATAACTCACTGCAGCCTTGAACTCCTGGGCTCAAGCAGTCCTCTTGCCTCAGACTCCTGATTAGCTGGGACTGGAAGCATGCACCACCATGCCCAGGTAAGTAAAATTTTTTTTTTGTAGAGACAGGGTCGCCCTATGTTACCCAGGCTGGTCAAAGACTCCTGGGCTCAAGCAATCCTCCCACTTTGGCCTCTCGAAGTGCTGGGATTACAGGCATAGGCCACTGTGCCCAGCCTGGAAATCCTTTCTCTTTATGCAGACAAAGTAAAGGATGTTTACTGAAGTATTACACACAATAAGGAAAAACGGAAATGACCTAAATGCCTTTCAATGAAAAAATGGATAAATGCAGTATGGTCTCAGAATATATGGAATAAAAAGGAATAAACTAATCAACTTGGATAGATCTTCTGTGCAATATTAATTTTTTTTTACAAGCTGTAGTAACATATATACCAAATGAGATGGGCTATATAATTCTAAAAAACATAATAAACAAAAATATATACTCTTCCATGATACAAACATACATCTCCACGTACTTATACAAAGAGAGTAAGAATCCAATGCATGTATGTAAATAGGATGGAACAGGGAGTCAAGGATCAAAACCCAGATGTGGTGGGCTGAACAATGGCCCCACAGATATCCACGTCCTAATCCCTGGAACCTGTGACTATGACTATAAATGGCAAAAAGGACTTTGCAGATGTGATTATGAAACTTGAAAAGGGGAGATTGTCCTGGATTATCCAGGTTGGCCATAAATGTAATCACATGTCTTTATAGAGTCAGAGGGACATCTGACTACAGATGAGAAGGCATTTTACAGACAAAGGCTGACTGAAGTCATCACGTGCTTTGAAAATGGAAGGGGCCATGATAACCTGAAATAAGCAAGAAAACAGATTCTCCCTTCACAGCCTCCAGAAGGTACCAGTCCCGCCACCACCTTGATTTTAGCCATATGACTAATTGCAGACTCCTGATTTCCAGAACGCTAAGATAATAAATGTGTGGTTTATGCTACTACATTTGTGATAATTTGTTACATTCAGAAACAGGAAACCAATACATGGGGGATATGTTATTTACCACGAGGTTGAAAAGATTCCTTGAATGAGATGTCATTAGAAGGAAGGTAAGAGAAGAGGGTGGTGTGGCGCCACAGGAACCAGCAGCACAGGCTGTGCAGAAAACAGGCAGTAGGGTCAGGTGCTGCAGAAAGGTCAACTAACTCAAAACCTGCAAAATACTGGTGACAGACCACAGTCTGGGAAAATGGCAGAGAGGGGAACGCCCAGGGTCCATCCCTCCACAGAAATACGGGAAAAAAAAGTCAGAGCAGCTTTATTAGAATTCTGGAATATAGACAAAGGTTTACAGCAAGTAAGCAAATCTTAATCAGGAGAATGGCAGCTGAAACCTGGTAGGAAAGATCTATGTTGTTTTAACTCACCTTCGCCCCATCCCCCTCACAAGCTGTATGAGTTTGCTAGCGCTGTCATAATAAAGTACCAGAGACCGGGCAGCTTGAATGACAGAAATGTATTTTCTCACAGTCTGGAGGCTAGAAGTCCAAAGTCGAGGTGTCAGGAGGGCTGCTTCCTTCTGAAAGCTCTGAAGGAAGGTTCTGTTCTAGGATTCTCTCCTTGGCTGGTAAACAGCCACCTTCCCCATGTCTTCACATGGTCTTCCTTCTGTACATCTCTCTGTGTCCAAATTTCCCTTTTAAAAGGACAACAATTGATATGGTTTGAATTTGGGTCCCCGCCTAAATATCATGTCAAACTGTAATCTCCAATGTTGAAAGAAGGGGCTGGTGGGAGATGACTGGATCATGAAGGCGGATTTCCTGCTTGCTGTTCTCATGATAGTGAGTTCTCACAAGATCTGGCTGTTTTTAAAAGCGTGTAGCACCTCCCCCTTCACTCTCTTCCTCCTGCTCTGGCCATGCAAGATGTGCCTCTTTCCTCTTTGCCTTCTTCCATGGTTGTAAGTTTCCTGCGGTCTCCCCAGTCATGCTACCCGTACAACCTGCAGAACTATGAGCCAATTAAACCTCTTTTCTTTATAAATTACCCAGTTTCAGGTGTTTCTTTATAGCAGTGCAAGAATGGACTAATTAATACACCAGTCATATTAGATGAGGGCCCACCCTCATGACTTCACTTTAACTTTATTATCTCTGTAAATAATCTATCTCCAAATAAGGCAATGTTCTGAGGTACTGTGGGTGGAGCCTACAATGAGTGAAATTTGCAGGAGGCACAATTCAACCCATAACACTGACTCAGTAACAGTCCTTAAGATGAAATCCCGTATTCCTGGTATGAGTTCCCAGTGCTTGAAGGAGCAGAATAGAGCTGGTTCTCAAACAATTGGGGTTGACTGTTTTGCTCTGTCTGGTGGTGGCCGAAAGAGTAACACACAGTGCTAAGAACTCTCAGACAGAGAAATGACAATGTGGCAGGCACCTATTGAAATCATTTAAAGGTAAATGAACCAGCTGTGGCCTTTGGGGCAAAGGATATTAGTTGGGGTGAACAACAGATACATAAAAATAAGCCTGGGAGGAAGAATGAGATGCTTTTGGGCTTTGGAAAAGCTTCTATATACTCCTGGGAATCCAGATGATGACACAGCAATCTAGGACAAGGCCCATGCTCAGAAAAGACCTGAGAAGGCCCTAATCTTTCACCTCTGTTAAGTGGTAAAACTATCTCTGCTTGTAGATGACATTTTCTTATGAACAGAAAATCCTTGAGAATCCACAGGGAAACCATTAGAGCTAATAAAGAAATTCAAGGCTGGGCGCGGTGGCTCATGCCTATAATCCCAGCATGTTGGGAGGCCAAGGCGGGCAGATCACAAGGTCAAGAGATCGAGACCACCCCTACCAACATGGTGAAACCCTGTCTCTACTAAAAATACAAAAATTAGCTGGGTGTGGTGGTGCATGCCTATAGTCCCAGCTACTCCAGAGGCTGAGGCAGGAGAATCACTTGAACCCAGGAGGCGGAGGTTGCAGTGAGCCGAGATTGCGCCACTGCACTCCAGCCTGGCAAAAGAGCAAGAGTCCATCTCAAAGAAAAAAAAAAGAAAAAAAGAAAAAAAAGAAATTCAATAAGTTATAAGACCAAGATTAACACAGAAAAATTAGCCATTTTTCTATAGCAATTAGAATCCAAGAAGTAAATTTTAAAAACAATTTATAATTTAAAAAAAATTCTAACTACAATAGCATCAAAAGAATACTTAGGAATAGATTTAACCAAGTAGGTCTGAGACTTATACACTGAAAACCATAAAACTTTTGCTGAAAGAAATTAAAGACCTAAATAAAGGGACAGATATTCCTTGTTCATGAATAGAATACTTAATATGGTTAAGAAGGCAGTACTTCCCAAAGTGTTCTGCAGATTCAATACAAAATCGAATAACCTTTTTTGCAAAAACGGACGTGACCGTCAAACTCATGGAACTGCAAGAGACCCTGAAGAGCCAAAACAATTTTGACAAAGATAAATAAATTGGGACTTACACTTTCTGGCTTCAAGACTGCTACAAAGCTACAGTAAACAAAACAGTATGGAACTGGCACAAAGACAGACATATAGATCAACTGAATGGAATTAAGAGTCCAAAAAGAAACCCATACATCTATGGTCAACTGATTATCAACAGGGGTGCCAAGACAATACAATGGGAGAAATAATAGTTTTTTCAAAATTAGTTTTGGGACAACTGGATATCCACAGGCAAATAAATGTGAAGTTGGACCACTTCCTCACACTATAAACAAAAATTAATTCAAAATAGGTCAAAGTCCTAAATGTAAGCGCTAAAACCATAACACTCTTAGGAGAAAATATAGAAGTAAATCTTCATGACCTTAGGTTTGGCAATGGATTCTTAGATATGACATCAAAAGTATGTGCAACAAAAGAAAATATACATTAACCAGACTTCATCAAAATTAAAACCTTTTATGAATTAAAGGATACTATCAAGAAAATGAAAAGAAAACTCATAGAATGAAATATTTGAAAATCATATATCTAACAAGGGTCTAGTACACGAGAGTACTCTTAACAATAAACCCAATTTAAAAATGGACAAAGGACTTGAATAGACACTTCTGCAAAAGAGATATACAAATGGCCAAGAAGCACATGAAAAGGTGCTCAAATGCATTAGTCACTAGGAAAAAGCAAATCAAAACCACAATGAGATACCACTTAACAAACACTAGAATGGCTATAATTTAAAAAATAAACAATAACAGGTGTTGTCAAGGATGTGGAGAAACTGTAATCCTCAAACATTGTTGGTGGAAATGTAAAATTATGCAGCGCTGTGAAAAAGTTTGGTGATTCCTCAGTAAAAGACAAAATATATGATCCAGCAATTCTATGTCTAGGTATATATCCAGAAAACTGAAAACAGGTGTTCAAACAGAAATTTATATACATATATTCATAGATGTACTATTCGCAATAGCCATTAGGTATAAACAACCCAAACATCCATCAACTGATGAATAAACAAAATGAGGTGCATCCATGTAAGAGATTATTCAGCAATAAAAAGGAATGAGGTCAGATACATGCCACAACTCAGATGAACTTTGAAAACATTATACTAGGTGAAGGATGGACATACAAAACACATATTGGCTAGGCACAGTGGCTCATTCCTGTAATCCCACCACTTTGGGAGGCGAAGGTGGGAGGACTGCTTGAGCCCAGGAGTTCAAGGCTACAGTGAGCTATGATTGAGCCACTGCACTCCAGTCTGCCCTGTCTCTATTAAAAAAAAAAAAAAAAAACAAGCAAAACCCATAGTGTATGATTACATTTATGTAAAATATCCAGAATAGGAAAGTCCATAGAGACAGAAAGTATATTAGTGGTTGCGAGGCAGTGCATTTAGGGGTGAATGGAAAGTGACTGTAAAGCATATACGTTTCCTTTTGGAATGATGAAATGCTCTGGAACTAAATAGTGATGATGGTTGCACAACATTTTGACTATGCTAAATGCCACTGAATTGTGCACTTTAAGTTGTTAATTTTATGTTATGTATATTCTACCGCAATAAACAAATATATCATTGGTGATGTTTACAGACAAAAGTCCAACAAATGGTAGGAAATAATCCATTCTGCATGAAGCATGGGTTGAAAATTTAATTAAGTGCAGAAACATTTGCCAGAAAATAATCTCTTAACTGAATATTCTACAGATTAAGCGACTTAAGAATTTTGGAAAGTTATTTTAAAGACATACCATCAATTTATTCTCTATATGTTTAAAGTTTTATCCAGAAAAAAAAAACAAAAAAAAAAAACAAGACTAACTGAAAGCCATTTACATGGTCTCTAGTAACATGGTCCCTAAAAAACTTCATTAATTCAGTGTGGCTGAGTACCTTGCTTTTTGCTTTCACTAAAGAATAATTACAGGTGTTTATTTCATGGTTGCCACCAGAAGGCTGTCCATCATTGTATAAAAAGCAAAAGAAAGGCCAGGCACGGTGGCTCACACCTGTAATCCCAGCACTTTGGGAGGCCGAGGTGGGCAGAGCACGAGGTCAGGAGCTCAAGACCAGCCTGGCCAGCATGGTGAAACCCCGTCTCTTCTAAAAATACAAAAAATCAGCCAGGCACTGTGGCACTCACCTGTCGTCCCAGTTACTCAGCAGGCTGAGGCAGGAGAATCGCTTGAACCCTGGAGACAGAGGTTGCAGTGAGCTGTGATCGCGCCACTGCACTCCAGCCTGGGTGACAGAGCGAGACTCTGTCTCAAAAAAAAAGGAAAAAAAAAAAAGCAAAAAAAAATATTTTTTCAGCTTTAATATCAGTCTTCACATATGTACCAAAAGGAACCAGGTAGCATCATTCTCATCAGCAATGAAAGCCATTAACAGATCATCTCTCTTTGCCATAGTTACCAGAAAGGTCAGAAATATTTGCAATTCAAATCTCATAACTAACTCCACATGATGTGTGTGTGTATATATATCAATATATACACATATATAGATATATACACATATATACAGATATCAATACCTGTGTATGTGTATATATATATTGCATATATATACACAATATACACACAGATAGGTGTATATATACACATATATACATACACATATATATGTGACATATATATGCCAACTTTGCCCTTGTGATCTGCTATTCCAATGCTATTGGCCTATAGACCTGAACCCTAGCATCATCGCCTGTAATCTTGTTAAAAATGAAAATTCTCAGGCCCTGTTCTGTTTTAATAAACTTTCCAGGTTACTTTTATGCACACTGACATTTGAGAATCATTGTGTTAACCCTGTTTCTTTGAAGTTCATTGTATCTATTTCGACTTTTCCAATTTGAGTATAAGGGTCAACCTGCTAAGATCCACTGTAAAGCAAAGTACAGAATTACTTCATCAACTCACATAGGATTTCTTCATTTTATGCTGATCCTGGAATAATGTAGAAATCTCTGAAGGTTTACCTGGGATAAAAAAAAATGAAGCAAGTCACTAGAAATATGAAATGCTTTGGATTTGCCTACTTAAAAAACTGCAAACATCACTGGGCGGGGGGTAGGGGGGTTGGTAAAACGTCTCTCTGTGGGAGAACATCCCTTTCAACCTGGAGAAGAGGCAGGAAGAAACCCATCAAGATGCACCCACGTGTATATTGGTGACAGTTACATGATCACATGGAGCTTGGATGTGTCCTTTTTTTTTTTTACTGAGTGGATATAACTGTTTTCGGCTGATTTTTTAAAACATGTGTACCACTTTGTGTTCTCAAAGAAATAAAACAATTATAACAAAAATGATTAAACAAATCACAACACACTAAATGCAGTAAAGCTATGTAAGCCTTCATCAGAAGTTTCATCGAACACGGATTTTTTTTCCTCGTTTTACTCCTTAAGTTAAAAGAACTCAACCAAAGCTATGAAAGAAGGATTGGAGGCACTTTAAGGTAAGGTCACTTAAGCTGTTTTTCTACAGTATATGTAGTTTCTCAAAAGACTGCCTTTTAAAGATGTCTGTTTTAACAGTGATAATGTGATTAGCACCGGCCTGGGTGTGAGGAGACTCAACGTCTACTCTCAGCTCTGCCACTAACACAAAGCCAGGGAAATTCACTTACACTCTCAGGGCCAATTTTTCCCAAGCTCAAACAAGACAAACAGAAAACCTTTCTTGTACTACTGTCGTACAATGTCAGAAGAAAGGAATTCATCAGCATATCTTTAGATGCCAGATTCATGGAGTGCAAAGATCTTGGGATCTGGGAAGAGGGAGTGAAAAAAGAGTGGGGGCTATACTGGGATTGGTGAAGACAGAATATGCTCAGCTCTAGCTCTAAAACAACTTTACCCACAGCACATCTCCCAAACTCCTCCAGTGAAGCTATATTTCCTGCATGGCCTAACCCTCCTTCATTCCTCTCAGCCCACTTTCCTACTCTCTTTTGAAATCTGGTGCAGACCTTCTCTGTGGCCTGTCTTCTGGATGTGGCAACATCATCCAAATCTTACTTATTCTGAGCCTTGTGTGCAAATCTAGTATCTGCTCCTTTCTGGGAGCTATTGCCTCTGCTCAGAAACTCCGATTTGGAGTGATTCTTTTCCACATGGATCTTGTTCCTCAAGATGTCTTATTTCACATGAAAGGGTCGTGATTGAGCAATCTAGGGGGTACGTGACAGGGGCTTCATGCACCGGTAGTCAGAGTGAAACAGAACAGAGCAGGGAGTTTCACAGTGTTCTTCCACACAATGTCTGGAATCTATGGATAACATCGGTTGCTAAGTCATGAGTTGATTTTTAACTACTTGGTTTAGGCCAGGCAGGCCCAGGCCTGGTTTCAGGTCTGGTTTTGGGTCTGGTGCCTGGCGCCGGGCCGCCTGCCTTTGGTTTCACTTCCTTGTTTTTTTCTTAAAACAGGTACTGAGTATAAAACAATATAAAACAATATGAGAGGGTCTCTCTCTCTCTTCCCTCACCATGATCCAATCACTTCCCAATAGGCCCCACTTCCAACATTCGGGGTTACAATTCAACAGGAGATTTGGTGGGGACACAGATCCAAACCATATTCCCAGTCAAAAGTATATTGCGAAAAATAAAAGAAATGAAGATATTTAAAATATCACATAATATACCATTATGACATCTAAGACTGGAAATCATTTTAAAAGTTATATGAAAAGCTTAATTTAAATACTAGGAAATATTCAAGCTTGATGTAGATGTGGGAAAAAATGTTTACTTCTATCAAATTGTATTAAGTTGTGTAAACTTTCTAGAAGCTTCTTGGTGTCATACTTCAAAATGAGAATATTCTTTAGCAATCTTACAGTTAAAATAATCCCAATAAAATAATTGTCAAGTGATTCTATACATTAGTCAGTTGTCAGAGAAAAGGCTTACATAAATATGAAGGCTTCCTTGGTTCAAAAATCTGCAGGGTAGGCCAGCAGGGAAGAGTTGCAGTCTGAGTCACCGTGCAGTCCACTGGCAGAATGCTCTCTTGCTTAGGGGAGGTCAGTCTTTGTTAATCTTTTCTATTCAACGTTCACCAATTTAAATGTTAATTTTATCCAAAAACACCTTCACAGAAACATCCAGACTAATGTTGACCAACTATCTGAACACTGTAGTCTAACGAAATTAATACATAAAATTAACCATCACATATACCTTGCAAATGAGTTCATAACAACAAACAATTGAAAGCAATGCAAAGACAAATTATGATAGAGCAGTAGATCACCATTAAAAGTATGGATGTGGATGTACTAACTCACAGTTGCGGGTGGTTTTCCACAGCATGTTTTAAAATCAAAATTGTAAGTTCAAACAAGAATATGTAAGGCAGGCTGGGTGCAGTGGCTCACACCTGTAATCCCAGCACTTTGGGAGGCTGAGGTGGGCCGATCATGAGGTCAGGAGTTCTAGACTAGACTGGCCAACATGGTGAAACCCCGTCTCTACTAAAAATACAAAAAATTAGCCAGGTGTTATGGTGTGTGCCTGTAATCCCAGCTACTTGGGAGGCTGAGGCAGGAAAATTGCTTGAACCTGGGAGGTGGAGGTTGCAGTGAGCCAAGATCGCGCCATTGCACTCCAGCCTGGGTGACAGAGCGAGACTCTGTCTCAAAAAAAAAAAAAAGAAAAAAAAAAGACTAGGTGTGGTGGCTCATGCCTGTAATCCCAGCACTTTGGGAGGCCGAGGTGGGCGGATCACCTGAAGTCAGGAGTTCAAGGCCAGCCTGACCAACATGGTGAAACCCCGTCTCTACTAAAAATACAAAAATTAGCCAGACATGATGGTGCACACCTGTAATCCCAGCTACTTGGTAGGCTGAGGCAGGAGAATCGCTTGAACCCAGGAGGTGGAGGTTGCAGTGAGCCGATATTACACCACTGCATTCCAGCCTAGGGGGCAGAGCGAGACTCCATGTCAAAAAAAAAAAAAAGTAGCCATGAAGCTCCTTTGAGACTTTGCTTAGAAATTTTAAGTTCAGGAGTTCGAGACCAGCCTGGCCAGCCTGGCCAACATGGCGAAACCCCGTTTCTACTAAAAATACAAAAAATTAGCCAGGTATGGTGGCGGCTGCCTGTAATCCCAGCTACTTGGGAAGCTGAGGGAGGAGAATCACTTGAACATGGGAAACGGAGGTTGCAGTGAGCCAATATCATGCCACTGTACTCCAGCCTGGGCAACAAGAGCAAAACTCCAACTCCAGAAAAAAAAGAAATTTCTTCCACCAGATATCCTAGTTTATTACTCTAAAATTCTGCCTTTCATAAAGGCCTTAGGCACAAACACAATTCAGTCAAATTCTTTGCCACTTTGTAACAGGATAGCCTTTGCTCCAGTTTCTAATAAGATATTCTTCATTACTGTCTGATACCTCATCATAAAGGCCTTTACCATCCATATTTCTAACAGCATTCTGGTCATGAACATTTAAGTAATCTCTAGGAAGACTCAGACTTTCTGTGTATCTATTCTTACATTCTGCGCCCTCACCAGAATTACCCTTAATGTTCGTTTCATAGCAACATAGACTTTTCTAACCTCTCTGCCAATTCTTCTGTCTACCCACTACCCACTTCCGAAGCTGCTTCCACATATTTTGGTATTTGTTATAGCAACACCCCACTCTCTAGCACCAAATATTCTGTCTTAGTACATTTCATACTTCTATAACATAATACCACAGACTTGGTGTATTGCACTGTTCTTGCATTGCAATACATAAATACCTGAGACTGGATAATTTATAAGAAAAGAGATTTCATTGGCCCACAGTTCTCCAGGGCTTTACAGGAAGCATAGTACCTGCATCTGCTTCTAAGGAAATCTCAGGAAACTTACAATCATGGCAGAAGGTGAAGTGGGAATAGGCATGTCACATGGTGAAAGCAGGAGCAAAAGAGAGAGAGTTGAGGGAGAGGTACCACACACTCTTACACAGCCGGATGTCATGAGAGCTCACTCATTATTGCAAGAACAGCACCAAACCATGAGAGGTCCGCCCCCCATGACCCCAACATATCCCACCAGGACCCACCTCCAACAATGGGGATTATATTTCAATGTGAGATTTGGGTGGGGACAAATATCCAAACTACATCACTGGGTAATTTATAATGAACAGAAATTTATGTGGCTCATGGTTCTGGATACTGGGAAGTCCAAGATCAAGGGGCTGCATCTTGTGAGGGCCTTCTTGCTGCAACATAACATTGCAGAATAAGCACATGGTGAGACAGGAAAGGAGGCTGAACTCATCTTTTTGAAAGGAACCTACTACCAAGTTAATGGTCTTAATCCAGTCATGAGGGCCCTGCCTCTAATTATCTATAATAGGTCCCATCTCTCAATACTGTTGCATTGGAGATGAAGTTTCCAACACATGAGCTTTGGAGAACACATCCAAACTGTAGCACATAGATCAACGGAATAAATAGAAAGCACAGGAATAAACCCGCACAAATGTGGTCATTTGATTTTTGACACAGGTGCAAAGACAATTCAGTAGAGAAAGGATAGTCTTTTTAACAAATGGTACTGGAACATTTAAACATACATATGCAGGCTGGGCGCGGTGGCTCATGCCTGTAATCCCAGCACTTTGGGAGGCCGAGGCAGGCGGATCATGAGGTCAGGGGTTCAAGATAAGCCTGGCCAAAATGGTGAAACCCCGTCTCTACCAAAAATACAAAACTTAGCTGGGTGTGGTGGCATGCGCCTGTAATCCCAGCTACTCCGGAGGCTGAGACAGGAGAATCGCTTAAACCCGGGAGGTGGAGGTTGCAGTGAGCCGAGATCGCACCACTGCACTCCTGGGTGACAAGAGTGAAACTCTGTCTCAGAAAAAAAAAAAAAAAAAAAGAAAGAAAGAAAAGAAAAATACACATGCAAAGAAACAAGCAAACAAGAATATTGACATATTTCAATGTCGTAAAAAATTATCTCAAAATGGATTATAGGCTTAAATACACTTAAAATTCTACAACTTATAGATAAATATGTAGGAGAAAGTCTTTGTGGCCTTGATTAGGCAAAGAGTTTTTAAATTGTATACAAACATCACAATTTATAAAAAAAATTACTAAATTGGACTTTATTAAAATTGAAACTTCTTGCTCTGTGAGGAGATACTGTGTAGAGAAAAAAAGGGAATGAAGGTTGGGTGCAGTGGCTCACACCTGTAATCCCAGTACTTTGGGAGGCTGAGGCGGGTGGATCACCTGAGGTCAGGAGTTTGAGACCAGCCTGGCCAATATGGTGAAATTCCGTCCCTACTAAAAGTACAAAAATTAGCCAGGCATGGTCGCAGGTGCCTGTAATCCCAGCTACTCACGAGGCTGAGGCAGGAGAACAGCTTGAACCCGGGAGGCGGAGGTTTGCAGTAGGACGAGGTTGCGCCACTGCACTCTAGCCTGGGTGATGACAGTGAGATTCTGTCTCAACAACAACAACAATAACAACAACGACAACAAAATGCAACCATTTGTCTTTTACCTACCTTTGACGTGGAAGCACCCTCCCTGCTTTCAGTTGTCCCGCTTTTGCCGCCTTTTTGGACAGAACCAATGTTCATTTTACATATGTTAATTGATGTCTCATGTTTCCTTGAAATGTATAAAACCAAGCTGTGCTCCGACCATCTTGGGCACATGTCAGGACCTTCTGAGGCTGTGTCACAGGCCTGCATCCTCAACCTTGGCAAAACAAACTTTCTTTTTTTTTTTTAAGACAGAGTGTCAGGCTGGTCTTGAACTCCTGACCTCATGATCCACCCGCCTTGGCTTCCCAAAGTGCTGGGATTACAGGCGTGAGCCATAGCGCCCGGCCGCAAACAAACTTTCTAATAACTGAGACCTGTCTCAAGTTTTCAGAGTTCACACAACAAATCACCATTTGGAACACCACAGTAGTAATGGTTGCAGCCAAGATCCACCAATGATAACTAAAATCAGTAGAAAAGTAGAAATAGGGTATTTGCATAGTCTCAAAGAATCTCTCCCTGAATTTACTAATCAGTGTGGTAATTTAAAAATATAACCACAAATTTAAAATGGAGCTTATTTCCTTTCCCCTTGAGTGTGGGCTGGACATGTAGACCCACTTCTGTATATAGACTGGAAAGGGAAAAATAGGGAGAAACCTATCAGACACCACCTTAACCAAGTGTTAAAAGACAAATTTTAGAAAATTAAGTTTAGCCGAGTTCATTTCAGCAAAGAAAGATTCTTGAATCAGACAATACTCAGAACTAGAAGAGGTTCAGAGAATTCTATAAAGTGGGCAGGGAGTATTTACAGACAGAAAACAGAAGTGCTCTACAGAAACAGCTTGACTGGTTACAGCTCAACTTTGGCCTTATTTGGAAATGGTCTGATTAGTTGGCAGCCTGTAACTGGCTTTAGCTCAGCTTCTGTAACTGGCTGACTCAGCCAGCTATAAAAGTTTAACAAGCTATGCTTTGTTTGTTTACATACCAAGGTAGGTTGCAGTCCTTACATCGGCCCTAAAGGTAGGGAGGCAGCCTCAGGACAAATTTCAGTTAATTTAATACATGTAATCATGGTCAATTAACCAGTAAAAAGTCATGTTGATATCATGCCATCTGATATCACACTATGAGAAAGCCACAACCTGTTTGTGGGGTGCTTCCTAAAAACTCACAACCTCAGTCTAATCAGGAGAATGTTACCATGTGGGTTCTTCTTGGCTGCTGCCTAGAAAAAAGCCAATAAACTGAGAACGACAGGATTGCAGCAGAAAAAGAGTTTAATAATTGCAGGGTGGCCAAGCAAGTATAAGAGATAATTCTCAAATCTGCCTTCCTGAGAATTTGGAGGCTACAGTCTTTCAAGGATGAAAAACTTTGAACCTCTCTAGCCTCCTGCCCATCAGGAGGCTAGAGAATGGGGAATGGTGATTGGCTGGGTCAGGGATGAAATCATAGGGCTGTTGAAACTGTCTTCTTGTGTTGAATCGGTTCTTGAAGGGGGTCACAGGATCAACTGAGTCCATTTTTTGCTATGGGTTACTGGTCCCAGTGGCACCAGTTGGTCCATCAGAATGTAAAGTCTGAAAAATAACTCAAACACTAGTTTTAGGTTTTACAATAGTGACATTATCTATAGTGACAATTGGAGATGTTATAAATCTTGTGACCACTGGCTATGTGACTCTGGAGTAGTAAGCAGTTACAAAAAGGCAGATTATAAAAGCAAAAACTGGTTAGAGTTTATGCCTGCATCTTACAGAATTCAGGTTCCTACCAAAATTCTAAACTTGTGGACTTCCACTAGTTTTACAAAAACGGTTTTTGTCCCCAAACAAGGAGGGGGTTAGTTTCAGGAAGGGATCATTATCGTTCTTGTTTTAAAGTTAAACTATAGGCTGGGTGTGGTTGCTCATGCCTGTAATCCCAAGCACTTTGGGAAGCCAAGGTGGGAGGACTGAAGTCAAGAGAGCGTGCTTTCATCTTCATAGCAAGGTCATGAAAGACAAGGTAGGAGCAAGAAACTATTACAAACTGGCCAAGGCTAAGACATGACAAGTAAATGTACTGTGATACTGAGAGACAGGACTAGCTGGATTTCCTAGGCCGACTAAGAATCCCTAAGCTTAGCTGAGAAGTTGACTGCATCCACATTTAAACAAGGGGCTTGCACTTAGCTCACATCCGACCAATCAGGTAGTAAAGAGAACTAACTAAAATGCTAATTAGGCAAAAACAGTAGGTAAAGAAATAGCCAATCATCTATTGCCTAAGAGCACAGCGGGAGGGACAATGATCGGGATAGAAACCCAGGCATTGGAGCCGGCAACAGCTACCCACTTTGGGTCCCCTCCCTTTGCATGGGAGCTGTGTTTTCATTCTATTAAATCTTGCAACTGCACTCTCTTCTGGTCCGTGTTTGTTACGGCTTGAGCTGAGCTTTCGCTCGCTGTCCACCGCTGCTGTTTGCGGCCTTCGCAGACCCGCCGCTGACTTCCATCCCTCCGGATCTGGCAGGGTGTCCGCTGTGCTCCTGATCCAGCGAGGTGCCCATTGCTGCTCCCAAGTTGGGCTAAAGGCTTGCCATTGTTCCTGCACAGCTAAGTCCCAGGTTGGTCCTAATCGAGCTGAACACTAGTCACTGGGTTCCACAGTTCTCTTCCGTGACCCACGGCTTCTAATTGAGCTATAACACTCACCACATAGCCCAAAATTCCATTCCTTGTAATCCATGAGGCCAAGAACCCCAGGTCAGAGAACATGAGGCTTGCCCCCATCTCGGAAGCAGCCCACCACCATCTTGGGAGCTCTGGGAGCAAGGACCCCCGGTGACAATATCCTTGATTGGTTGCTGGAACAGAAAAAGGGCATTAGTGGAAGAACTGCTTAAGTCTGAATAAACTCTGCAGTTCAGTTAATAGTACTTGTACCTATGTTATTTTCTTAGTTTTGATAAATATACCATGGTCATGTAAAATACTAACACTAGTGGAATCTGGGTGAAAGGCATATAGGAACTATTTTGCAACTCTTCTGTAAATCTGAAATTATGAGCAAATGAAAAGTTTAAAAAAGTGGACAATGACCCAGGAGTTGATTTTTTAAATGAAAAGTTGTAACACACGCACATGCTCATAGTGTGCTGAAAATGCCAGATGTGCACGTAAAAGAATGTACGTGTAGTGTAGTTCTGGGTAAAGTATGGTTGGTTTTGGGAAATGAGTGCGTGCTTTCTTCTTCAAATTTGTTACTCAAACGGCTTTTTTTTTTTTAAACATATAAACAATTTTATGTTTGGGTCTTGAATTGCTAGCTTCTGTTTTTCCTTATTCCAGAGAATAACCATACTGGTCACAGATTTTAGTTTTCTCTTCCAGTCTTTCAGTTAAACGTTACCATGCATGATCGTGAATGAATTCAAGCACACCTTTCCTTCTCTTGGCTTGTGTCTAACAGGCACATTGATTTGATCCACAACCTCTGGGGACACTGACAGAATCCTGGTTCCAAGCAGGAGTGGGTAACTGAGACAGTAATCTCTCAACCCACTATACAAGGCTGTTTTGCAGGAGAGCCTTATGATGACCAGCATGATATATAATTGTGAGAAATATACTGAACAATTTATGTGTCAGACACCGGTTTAAATGCTTTTACAACGTAAGCGCCTCCAATTCTCATAAAACCCCTGCTAGGTAGGCACTATCAGCCTCATTTTACAACTGAGGGTTGCGGCCAGAGCTGACAGGCACCGTCTAGCGCCGCTTCCAAGCCCCGCATCGCATCCACCAGCCTAACTCGGGCGCTCGGCCTCTCCCTCTGCGCATGTGCATCCCCGCCTCCCGCTCCAGGCGAGTCCTTCCCTGGACTCCAGTCCCTTGTGGGAAACAATCCCTCGCCTCCGGAGGCGGCGAGGAGCGGCGGGTGAGCCCCGGAGCACTGGGCGAGGGCCAGGGGGTCCCCGCGCTGCCCTGAAGGCGGGCGGGCGGCGGCTAGACCTCGGCGGTGGGGAGGGACCCCTGGCGCCTGCGGCGACGGTGGGACGAGGGCGTCTCTGTCAGAAGGGGATGAGGTCTGGCGTGGGAACGCGAGTTCCGGGGCTCCCGGGGGTCCGTATGCGTCCAGTCCCTGCGCCTGGCGCTCAGCGAAGTCCTGTAGCACGGGGTAGGCAATGCGCACTGGCCCGAAGGGGAGGGAACTGGCTGCGGGGAGGGGACAGCACGCGCGTGCGTAGCGTGTGACGTTTGTTGTGCGCGTGCGCATGGCGTTTGATGTGTGCGTGTGCGCTTTTTGTGCCCTGAGCCCGCGGGGAGGAGGCGGGGCTGCGGGGGAGAGCGACTGCGCCAGGTCCGCGACAAATGAATTAGACACAATTATCCACGGGAGACTCGGTTTTCCTCTCTGTAAATTACGGATATTAGGAATACTTGCCGCCTGGGGTTGTTTTGAGCACTTTCATTGTTTAGGTGCTGTATTTATTGGGTGTGCGTTCCCTGGGAGAGCCCGAGGGAGACGGCTCCTGCACCGGCCCCAAGGGCCTCTCTGCCCGTGGAGTGCAGGAGCGAAGGGGCTGGCCTAGCTGACCACCAGGGCCCCTGCTGGCTCTGACCGCCCTCCTATCCCAAGTAATTATTTACACGTTTCGCGTTCGCTTATGTATTATGTGTAATCATGGCACAGTATCCTGAAGCCGTCGGAGTCTGTGTGCTGGTGCAAGGTCTGGGACAAATTTAAGAAGAGAGAGGTGAGCTGGAGCTGAGGGGTGGGCGCGCAGGCTAACAGGAACGTCACCTCTGGAGAGTCTGAGGGCAGGGACGGGTGAAAGGCTCACGGCCACAGCGAAAGAAATGCTGTTATCACCCCTCCGCGAACACCGGGCACATCCAGATGAGCTGCTGAGCTTCCTCCTCTCTTGGCCTGATATCCCCGCCGGATGGTAGTGCAGTCAGGTCATACTTGGGTTATCTGTTTTGACCTTATTTGAAAGATGGAAAAACAAAATTGAGTTTGAGGAGGTGAGTAGTTCAGATCTTGTCATTCCTTAGAGGCAGAACTGAGATTAGAAGTCAAGTCTGCAGTTTCCCGAGCCACTGCTGCCCATTTTGTTACTCTATATCACAGTTTCTCATTAAAAGATCCTTTTGAGGAATTGTTAGCAAGTTAGAACAAACATTTTTAAACTTGCATTTAACATCCTATCCCTTTTTTTAGAGGTCTTTTGCATTATCTAACCTCAGGGCATTAATGGTGTTAACAGGTAAACAGATAAACAATATGGCCTCAGTTTTTTTTTTTCCCTACAAGGAATTTTGACAAACCCATAGTGTTTTTTCCTTCAGATTACTGTTAACTTGTTAAACTCATCTTTTCATGTTTTTAATTTTTCTGTGTCACAGAACCTAAATTGGTAATAAATCAATAAGAAATATTTACATTCACTCAGTGAAAAGTGTCATGTCTGAGCTCAGCATATATCGGAGCCACACATGGACACGTAAGTATCTTGTGTGTGGACCTGTATAGGCAGGTGAATCTCCGAACTGCAAGGCCGGCGAAGGCTCTCCTGACATTCTTCCTTTCTAATCCTTCAGCTCTCCTTCCTCCACTAAGAGCGGAAAATGAACAAATCCCAGGTGAGATTCTTGTTTCTTTATTCCCAGTTTGTTTAAAAATGGATTTCTGAAGTTTATAAGGGTTTATGTTTTGAAAATGGAAAAATAGAAATAGGCAAAAATTGACATTAAGGGAAATAAAACTGAAGTAGCAAATCCAAAATAGTGCAGTTGGCAAATTAGATGCAGGATTTTTAATTTTGCAGAATTATCCAAGTTATTGTAATATTATCTCTAATTGTTCTAGTAACAATTCTGAAATAAATGCAGTAAATTGTCTATAAGTATTTCTTTGTAGAAACAAAGAACACAGTTACAGAGCAGAACTCAGTGCATATGCTTTTCAGGAGAACAAACGCTGAGGTTTGATGGTCCTGTTTGATCCAGGAATAAAACCTTGACGATGTGGAGGAATGGAGGGACTGCATGTCCTCAAAACAGTTTTCCCTAACTGTTTGTGTCAGCTCGTTCTTATTTCTAGGTTGAATCACTGACAGTTCCGACTTGTTTCTGTGTTTCTCATTTATGTTTCAATCTGATGAATGCAACCTTATTCCCTCACCTAAACTCACCTGAATCAGTTCTGGCAAAGGCCACCAAATCATAGTCAAGGCTAGTGCATGTTTTTGCCTTTGCATTACTTGCCTGGTCTGCTGCATATATTGTTAACCATGGTCTTTGTTTGGAGAGTCTCCTCTGTTGGTGTCTGTAATGCCACCCTCTGAGCTGTCCTTTCCTAACTTTGATTCCCTCCCTAGTCCTCATGAAGGCATCTTTTCTTTTTGCTCCAGGCATTGCTTATGCGTGCATTTCCATCCTTAGCCTACTTAGGTTCTTCTCGGTCTGTTTTTCCTGACTGGTTTCATTTTTTTTCCTTAATAAAGTGCTTTTGAATTAATAATACATTAATGTAATAATACATTACTTTTACTTTTTTAAAAGTATAAGTGATAACAAAAGATGTACATATATATTCACACTCCCTTCCTCTGTTCATGCAGTTTCTCCAGGTAGGGTGACATTTAATCATTAAAACCGAGACATTTTCACTGAGAGTGAAAGAGGTTCTATAAATAATTATGCTGAGACAACTGGCATATATTGGGACAGTCCCAGACTTACTGGAATGTATGGTCAACCTACCAAAGATGTCTATTTTTTTTCTAGTTTTTGGTTTACTTTGCCAGTGTTTCTTTATCCAGTTTAAAGAAAATATGTATGTATATTCTTATTTGCTTCCTCAGTTTACTTAAAAAGGAATCTGTTATCTCTAGGGCTTATCAAACTTATATGTGATTGTGCATTCCTGGCATCTTTTTAACATGCAGGTTCTGATTTAGTAGCTGTGGATGGGGTCCTTTATTCTGAAGTTCTGATAAACCTCCAGCTTAAGCTGATTCTGATGGTTGACTTACACACTATTTTCCATTATTCCTTTTTCACTTAACAGCATACAGATGTTTCTCTGACAGAACATGAATAGCATTTTCTCTCTTTGTCACAATTGCCTAGTAATTCAAGTCCATAGTTCATTAAACTACTTCCAGCTGTTTGCTATGACAAACCATGTGGTAATGAATAACCTTGTACATTTATAATTTTGTGTGTATATGTTTATATATTAGATGAATTCCCAGAACTTGATCAGCTTAGTGGGAATGCCTGTCCTAGAGATAGTATTATTTTGTTTTCCCATTGGCAATGCATGGGAATGCTTATTTCTTCACAGCTCCTCCCATAGAATATGTGGTTCAACTTTTGGATTTGGGGCAACCGATAGGTAAAAAGTGGTATTTCATATAGTTTGCATCTGCGATTTTCTTCACTGAGTGAGGTTGAATACGTTTTCGTGTGTCTAAGGGTGTCTTATATTTATTTTTCTATGAACTTAACTGTTAGTATCTTTTGCCTATTTTTCTTTTGGGTTGTCTGGTCTTTTTTCCCCCCCAGTGTCTTTTACCCTTGTGTATTATATGAGTTGCAAGCCATTATTTTTTGGTATATCATTTGTCTTTTGATAATTGTTCATGGTGTTTTTCCCTATGCAGAAATATTTGGTTATTTTTGTTGTCCAGTTTATTAATCTTTTCCTTATGGTTTTGGACTGATAGCATTTGGAGACATAGTTAGAAAGTCCTTCCCACTTGATTATAAAGAATCTGCCCATGTATTCTAATACTTTTATGCATTTTATGTTTAAATCTTTAATCCATTTGGAGTTTACTTGTATGTAGAAACTTAATTAAATTACTACAGTATCATTCCATTTACTCCACCCCCCGATGTGTGCTGTTGTTTTGATGCTTTCTTCTCCTTGTGTTCTGAACCCCACAAGGTATCTTTAGTATTACGACTTTAGAGAGTGGGTAGGCTTTCGTATTTACTGAAATAATTGCCCTTTACTGTGCTTTTTCTTCCCTTTTGCAATATCATGCTTCATCTACAGTTATTTGCCTTTACCCCAAAGAAGTTTTATTGTTTCTTGTGCAGATCTTTTGGTGACAGATTCGTCATTTTTTTTTGTTTAAAGATGTCTGTGTTTCTTCATTTTGAAGGATATTTTCACTAAAGACAGAATTCTGGAGTGAGAGCTTTTTTTTTCTTTTCTTTTTAGCACTTTAAAAATACCATTCCGGTGGCCGGGCACCGTGGCTCCTGCCTGTAATCCCAGCACTTTGGGAGGCCGAGGTGGGTGGATTACCTGAGGTCGGGAGTTCGCGACCAGCCTGACCAACATGGAGAAACCCCGTCTCTACTAAAAGTACAAAAAAATTAGCCGGGCATGGTGGCAGGCGCCTGTAGTCCCAGCTACTCGGGAGGCTGAGGCAGGAGAATGGAGTGAACCTGGGAGGAAGAGCTTGCAGTGAGCGGAGATTGCGCCACCACATTCCAGCCTGGGCGACAGAGCGAGACTCCGTCTCGAAAAGAAAACAAAAAACCATTCCGATGACTTCTGGATTGTTGTTGTTTTTGTCTTAAATCATCCTCCCCCTTGAAGGCAATTGATCTTTTTTCCTCTGGTTGGTTATGAGATTTTCTCTTTTCTTTTGGTTTTCAGCAATTGTTACTTAATATAACTTGGTTTGGTTTTCTCTATATTTATCCTGTAGTATTTTGGCAGGGGTTGGTTCTGAGGTATGATATCCTTGTCATTTTAAAAATTCTCAGCCTTGGCCTGGCACGGTGGCTCACGCCTGTAAATCCCAGCACTTTGGGAGGCCAAGGCGGGCAGATCACGAGGTCAAGAGATCGAGGGTGAAACCATGTTTCTAGTATAAAGTACAAAAGTTAGCTGGGTTTGGTGGCGCACATCTGTAGTCCCAGCTACTCGGGAGGCTGAGGCAGGAGAATCGCTTGAACCCAGGAGGCAGAGGTTGCAGTGAGCCGAGATCACGCAACTGCACTCCAGCCTGGCAACAGAGCGAGACTCCATCTAAAAAAAAAAATTATCTGCCTTTTCTTTTCATCAAATATTCTCTACTTTCCTTTTGGTACTGCAGTTACACCTATTAGATCTCTGAGTTCTCTAAATTAAATAAAAACACAAAATGTGTGTACTGTTTCTATATGAAATATATAATTACATATATAAATACATATATTACATATATAAATACATATTTTACATATATAACATATATAAATATATATTGTATCTATATATCTATATCTATATATAGAGAGAGATAGGGTCTTATTCTGTCACCCAGGCTGGAGTGCAGTGACAAATTAGATTCGTTTATCCACTACAGAATAGCTGAATTACCATGAAGATCTCTCCTGTTGCCCTTTTTATAGCCACACCTACCTCCATCCTGGCCCTGTCATTCCCCAACCCCAGCCAACCCCTACTCCTCCCTAAATTAATCGGCAACCTACTAATCTGTTTCTGTCCTTTCAAGAATGCTACAGAAAAGGAAACATACAACATTAACCTCTTGGGGTTAGCTTTTTTCACTCAGTACAATTCCCTGGTGTTTCATCCGGGTTGTATATGTGTCAACAGTTCATTCCTTTTTGTTATTAAGTAGTGGTCCATGGTATGGATATATCACATTTTTTTTTTTTTGAGGTGGAGTTTCACTCTTGTTACCCAGGCTGGAGTGCAATGGCAAGATCTCGGCTCACTGCAATCTCTGCCTCCCAAGTTCAAGTGATTCTCCTGCCTCAGACTCCCGAGTAGCTGGGATTACAGGCATGCACCACCACGCCCGGCTAATTTTGTATTTTTAGTAGAGACAGGGTTTCTCCATGTTGGTCAGGCTGGTCTCAAACTCCCAACCTCAGATGATCCACCCACCTCAGCCTCCCAGAGTGCTGGGAATACAGACGTGAGCCACCGCGCCCGGCTGGATATATCACAGTTTAATCATCCACCTGTTGAAGGACCTCTGGGTTAACTTCCAATTTTGGGCTATGAAAAATAAAACTGCTGTGAACATGCCATTTTATATTTCCGCTAGCCACTGTACGCATGATCCAGTTTCTCTCTATCCTTGCCATCACTTGGTGTTAGCACTGGTTTTTTTTTTTTTTTTTTTTTTTTTTGGTCATTCTGATGGGTATATAGTGATTTTTTTTTGTTATTTATTTGCATGAAAATCTTTTCATGTGTATTTTCTGCCTGTATATTCTCTTCATTGAAATAGTCCTTCGTGTCTTAGAACTGTACTGGAAGAATGGTAATTTTTTTTTTCTTGAACCCCTGTAACAAGAGATAGATTAAGAAGAGAAAAGCAAGTTTATTAACAAGTATGTTTCATATATACATGGGGGACACCCAGAGAATGAGTGTTTCACAAAGAGGTGGCTTTGAATTCCAGCTTATATGGCATCTTCATCAAAGAACAGGAAATTTTTAGAGAAACGTTAAGACAAAGGAAAGGGGCTTGGAATCTCTAAGGCTGGCAACTTGGGGGAAAGCAAATAAATGGCCGATACAGGCTAGTTTGTGAAGCTAATTAATGTAGATTCCCCTGGTACCATCTCTAGGACCATCAGTTCTCAAGTTGTCTTCAGTTGTTAACCTTTGTTCTCCTTGATAGATGGGGAGGCAAGGATACCTTTTGTCTTCGTAAATCCATGTCCTGCTTTTAGGCAGATAGAGACAGGACAGCTTTCTTGTGTCTACTTCTTGCCTTCAGCTCAACAATTCTTCATATTTTGGGGTGGCATATTTCTGGTCTCCCACATTACTATTTTAGAATTGGATTTTTTTTAATGTATTGAGTTTTAATAGTTTTTTAAATTTTCTAGATAGTAATCCTTTGTCAGATATGTGGTTTGCAAATATTTTCTCCTTGTTGGTAGCTTATCTTTTCAGGGTGTTTCACAGAGCAAAAGTTTTTCACTTTGATAAAGTCCAGTTTGTCAATATTTTGTTACGGATGATGCTTTTGTTATCAAGTCTTAAGAACTCTTGCCTAGCCCTAGGCAAAGATTTTCTCTTTTTTTTTGTCTAAAAATTATATAGTTTTATATGTTATATTTAAGTACTTCATCTATTTAGAGTTAATTTTTGTGTAAGGTATGAGGTTTAGATTGAGGCTCAGTTTTTGCCTATGGATGTACAATTGCTTGCAGCACCATTTGTTAAAAATTTTTTTTCAACAAATTTGTGAAAATTTTACTGAACTCCTTTTGTACCTTTGTCAGAAATCACTTAAGTATATTTGTGTAGGCCTATTTCTGGGTTATCTTCTATGTTCCATTGGTGTATGTGTCTGTGCCTCTGCTAATACCACGCTATCTTGATGACTGTAACCATATAGTAAGGTTTAATATTGAACACAGTGATTCCTTTTACTTTATTCTTCTTCATAGTTGCTTTAGCTATTCTTAGCACCTATGCCTTTTATATAAGTTTTAGAATAAGCTTGTCTGTGCTTATAAAAATCCTTGTTGGGAGTTTGATAGGAATTTCATCAAGATACTGATTTTAAGGGTAAGATATTTTTTGACTGACTCTGCTATTTTTTCAGCAAATATCTTTCCTTTCCCTGAAGTTAGCATTTTTTATCTTTCTTAATCAAGTCATTCATTCATTTAGCAACTATTTATGACTGTTCTGTATTACTAAATCTTGTTGAATTGCAAACGCTGTTCAAAGAGAGTTGGTACAGTTTAAATTGCTCACTTGTAATGTGACAGCTATTTAATATACAAGGAGCTTTAGGCTCCCTTAGCTGGGCATTTGGGGTAGAGGAAAACAAGCCTGAGGTGCTTTGTTAGCCATTTTTTTTTTAAGACAGAGTCTCTTACTCTGTCACCCAGGCTGGGGTGCAGTGGTGTGATCTCAGCTCATTGCAACCTCTGCCCCCCAGGTTCAAGCAATTCTCCTGCCTCAGCCTCCAGAGTAGCTGGGATTACAGGCACCTGCCACCGTGCCTGACTAAGTTTTGTATTTTTAATAGAGATGGGGTTTCACCATCTTGGCCAGGCTGGTCTTGAACTCCTGACCTTGTGATCCACATGCCTTGGCCTTCCAAAGTGTTGGGATTACAGGCGTGAACCACTGCATCCGGCCCCCTGAACTTCTTTATATTTATTTTTATTTCTCTTTTGTACTGTCTTCCATGTTCATTCTATTTCTAAAACATCTTTAAGGGTTCTTTGAAAAATTTTTTTTTTTTGAGACAGTCTCATTCTGTTGCCGAGGCTAGAGTGCAGTGGTGTGCTCTCCGTTCATTGCAAGCTCCACCTCCCGGGTTCACGCCATTCTCCTGCCTCAGCCTCCTGAGTACCTGGGACTACAGGCGCCCTCCACCACACCCGTCTAATTTTTTTTTGTATTTTTAGTAGAAACGGGGTTTCACCTTGTTAGCCAGGCTGGCCTTGAACTCCTGACTTCAGGTGATCCGCCCGCCTTGGCCTCCCAAAGTGCTGGGATTACAAGGCGTGAGCCACTGTGCCCGGCCGTTTCTTTGAAATATTTAAAAAATTTTTCACCATTTGTGAAAATCTTACAATTTAACCATGTTTTTAAATTTCTTTCCTTTTTTTTTTTTCTTTAAAGACAGGATCTCACTCTGTTACCCAGGCTGGAATACAGTGGTGTAGTAGTCAGTAGTCATAGCTGACTGCAGCCTCAAATTCCTGTGCTCAGGTGATCCGCCTTAGTCTTTCAAAGTGCTGGGATTATAGGTGTGAGCCACCATGTCTGGCCTGTTGTTAATTTCTTACTGCTCTTTCTTTCTCCCTGAAAGCTTATCATGGCAGTGTGTTCTTGGTTTATGGAATGAATAGTTTTAAAAATCTGTTTGAAGATATTAGGATTAATTTTCCATTTCTATTTCTTATATTGATTTGGTTTCTTAGCATTCATTTCTAGTCATCTTGGTGAGTATGCTTTATGCTGTTGCTTTTCCTCAAATATCTAGTAAATCTTTATTTTCCATTCATATTTAAAAGTGAAGAACTAGTTTGATCAGCACAGGTAGCTAATGTGAATTCACTCAGCTGTTGAGAAGTGTGTCCTCTATTACTGTCTCCCACAATGGAAAGGCCAATTCAAGGATTGTAGATGAATTGGTAAGGAAACATAATAGGTAAGAAATCCAGCAGGTTTCCTGCCAGAACCTAGAACATCTCCAAGCTGGTGGCTGTGCTTGAAATGGACTTCATGCCTCTGACTTCTGTTTGATCTTACCATTCCGTATCTTTCAGAAATTACTCAAAATGTTTCTTCTGCTGAGGGGCTCCTTCCCAGGAGTATTCTTTTTTTTTTTTTTGAGACGGAGTCTGTCTGGCTCTGTCACCCAGGCTGGAGTGCAGTGGTGTGATCTTGGCTCACTGCAACCTCTGCTTCCCGGGTTCAAGCGATTCTCCTGCCTCAGCCTCCCGAGTAGTTGGGATTACAGGCACTGGCCACCATGAATGGCTAATTTTTGTGTTTTTAGTAGAGACGGGGTTTCCCCATGTTGCCAGGCTGTTCTCGAACTCCTGAGCTCAGGCGATCTGTCCATCTCAGCCTCTCAAAGTGCTCAGATTATAGGCATGAGCCACTGTGCCTGGCTGTATTCTGTTTTTCTTTTTTCTTTTGAGAGGGAGTATCGTTCTGTTGCCCAGGCTGGATGTAGTGCAGTGGCGTGATGTTGACTCTCTGCAACTTCCTCCTCCTGGGTTCAAGCGATTCACCTGCCTCAGCCTCCCGAGTAGCTGGGACTGCAGGTGTGTGCCACTATGGGCAGCTAATTTTTTTTTGTATTTTAGTAGAGATGGGTTTTACCACATTGGCTAGGCTGGTCTCAAACTCCTGACCTCAGGTGATTCACCCACCTTGGCCTCCCAAAGTGCTGGGATTACAGGCGTGAGCCACTGTGCCCTGCCTCTTTTATGTTTCTTCACTGATATTTTTGGAGTTAGGATAGATAAATATCTATTTCAGGCTAGAAATACCCATTCTTCTTTTAGCTTTTTATTTTGGAAAATTGCAAACTTACACAAAAGTGAGAAAGTAATATATTAACCCCCATGTACCTACCCATTCTCAGCTTCCCCAGTTATCAGCTCAGAGTTCTCTCACTTTTACTTTGACCCATTCCTGCTGAGATTATTTTGAATCAAATTCAAGATAATTTTTTTTTGTAAACATATCAGTAAGTATCTCTGAAAGTTGAGGCCTTTTTCTTAACTTTTAATATGAAAATTTTCCAACAAAATAAACACTTGTATAATTTTTACCTAGATTCAGCAGTTAACATTTTTGCCTTATTTGCTTTATCTCTCCTCTGTATATACATTTTATTCTGAAATATGTTTGAAAATAAGTTACCCACATTATAACACTTTACCCCTAAATAACTTGGTATGAATTTCTTCAGCATAAGGACATTTACTTACCTAACCACAATACAATTATCATGCTAAGAAAATGAGCAGTAATCCACACTGTTACCTAAATCCGTTGTACTTTAAAGTTTCCCAAAATGAGATGGTGTTTTAAAATAAGAAATAACTAGGATATTAGTGGAGGAGGTTGTGGTGAGGAACTATAGCCACAAAATATGTATGTGTATATAGTAATCTTGTGGCTGAGATTGAGCCACTGTACTCCAGCCTGGGTGACAGAGGGAGACTCTGTCTCAAAAAATAAATAAATAAATAAAAATAAAAATAAAAAGTTAGCTGGGCATGGTGGCTCACACCCAGCTACTCAGGAGGCTGAGGTGGGAGGATCAGTTGATCCCAGGAAGTGGAGGTTGCAGTGAGATGAGATTGTGCCACTGCACTCCAGCTTGGGCCACAGAGTGAGTCCCTGTCTCAAACAACAGCAGCAACAACAACAAAACACCACAATACAGTTACCACACAAAATTTGAAAATTTCTTAATGTATAATCGGTGTTTCCCAGTTTTTGCATTTTTTTACATTTGTTAAATCAGAATTCAAATATGGTTGAAATGTCTTTTATCTTTAAGACTTTGTGAGGTGTATGTTTCTTCTCCATATCTTTATTTACTGTAGTGTATTTATTGAAGATTTTCCTTGTTGTGTCACTGTGGTTATGTTTAACGTGTTTCTGTGATCCCTGTATTTTCTCTAAGTAGTTGAACTTAATCCTGATTGATGCTTATGTTTTGCTAAGAATTTATCATAGATTGTGTTGTGTACTTCCATCAGGGCCACATAACATCTCATTGTCCTCTCGGTTTGTTGTTGTTTGTTTTCTTGAGTCAGGATCTTGCTGTGTGCCCTAGGCTGGAGTGCATTGGCTCAGTCATGGCTCACTCCAGCCTTGAATTCCTGGGCTCAAGTGATCCTCCTGCCTTAGCCTACTGAGTAATTGGAACTACAGGTGCATGCCACTATACCTGTCCAATTAAAAAATTTTTTTTTTGTAGAGACAGGGTCCTGCCACCAGATCCTGTTGACCAAGCCGGTCTCGAACTCCTTGGCCCAGGCAATACTCCCATTTTGGCCTCCCAAAGTGCTGGGATTGCAGGAATGAGCCACCGCACCTGGCTTCATTGTCTTTTTGTAATGTTTGAAAGTCATTGATTATTGTCTAAATTTAGTAATTCATTAAAGATTGCAAAATGGTGAAATTCGAATTCTATAATTCCTCTTTCTGTTACCAAACCAAACTTGGGTCCTCTCACCAAGCACACAGAAAAAGCTAAAACTGACATTGGGATTTGCAGCAAGAGAAATGGAGGCATTTATTGCAGGGCATTGGGCAAGGAGAATTAGGTGGTTAACGCCTAAGACCTGTGATCCCTGATGGCTTATAAGCAAGGGTTTTTAAAGGTGATGGTACATTTCAGGAAAGCAGAAGTTACAGGCAAAAATCATACATCAGTACATGAAGATTATACATTGATTTCGCCAGCTGCCCAAGGTTTGTACCAGTTTACTTTGCCAGCAGCAGTGCGTGCATGTTCTTATTCCACATATTCATCCTGAGACTTGGTATTTTATTTTTTATTTTTGCTCTTCTGTTGGGTGTGTTGTGGTACTCTTTTGTGGTTATCCTAGAAGTTACAGGGAGCATTTTTGACATATTACAATGAAATACAAACTATTCATTGTACTACCTAAACCTGTAACTTTGAAACATGTTGACTCCATTTATCCCCCTTCATTTCTAGGCTTTTCACTCCTTCCTGCCTTTTCATAGTTCTAGTTTGGGTCATTTTTCCTTTTCATGAAAATTCCCTTTGATGTTTCTTATAATGCATATCTGTTGTTTGTCATTACTCTGTTTATGATTTCCAAAATCTTAAACTTTTATTTTTGCTGTATATAGAATTCTACCTTTGAGTTTTTGTTTTTTCCTTTTACTTTAAAGTTGTCTTTTCATAATGTTTTGGGTTTTTATATGGCTGCTTTTAAAGTTCTCTTTTGATTTTGTTTTAGCTTTTGTTTATTCTTATTTAAGATCCACTGAACTCTGTGAATGTGACTTAATTTTTTTCATGAGTTTTTTTTTTTTTTTAAATCCATTCTGCCAATCTCTGCCTTTTTTTTGGAAGAATTTAACCTATTTAGAATTAAAGGTGGCCGAGCATGGTGGCTCTTGCCCGTAATCCCAGCACTTTGGAAGGCTAAGGCAGGTGAATCGCTTGAGTCCAGGAGTTCGAGACCAGCCTGACATGGCAAAACCCTGTCTCTACAAAAAATACAAAAATTAGCCCAGTGTGGTGGCACGTGCCTGGAGTCCCAGCTCCTCAGGAAGTTCAGGTGGAAGGATCGCTTGAGCCAGCCTCTGGGAGGCAGAGGTTGCAGTGAGCCTAGTTGGAGCCATTGAACTCCAGCCTGAACCACAGAGTGAGACCCCCATCTCCAAAAAAACAAGAAAGAAAGAGAGAGAAGGAGGGAAGGAGAAGGAAGGGGAAAGGAAAGGGGAAGGGAAGAAGGAAGGGGGGAGGGAAGGGGGAGGGAAGAGGAGGGGGAGAGGGAAGGGAAGGGAAAAGAAAAGGAAAGGAAGGAAATAGTTAAAGTCGTTTCTAAGAAGGAAGGACTCACTTCTGCCAGTTGCTGTTTTTTTTCTGTCTTTCGAATTGTTTGTTCATTTCTTTCACTGCTCTGTTTAGCTGATTTTTTGTAGCATATTTTGATTTACTTCCCATTTCCTTTCCTGTATTTTTTAAGATATTTTGTTGGTGTTTACCATGGAGATTAACAATGAACATTCCACATTTATAACAATCTAGTTTAAATACCAGTTTTGTCTCAGTATCATACAAAAACTCTGCTCCTATCCAGCTGCCTTCTCCCTACGTTGTTGTTGCTACAGATTACATCTTTATACATTGTGCACTGAATGACATAGATTTATAATTACTGTGTATGCATTTTCCTAAACTCCTTTAGGAAATAAAGATTGGAGTTACAAACTACAAATTGGACTTACAAAATGCAAAATGCTGGCTTTTGTACTTACATTTTTTTTACTAGAGCTCTTTATTTCTTCATACGGCGTTGAGTTATGAAGATCTTTTAATTTCAACCTTCCATTTAGTATTTTCTGTAGGGCAGGGTTTATGATAATGAGTTCTCTTGGCTTTTATCTGGAATGTTTTAATTTCTCTTTCATTTTTGAAGGATCAATTTGCCAGGTTTACAATTCCTGGCTGGCAGGATTTTTATTTTTGTTTTTTCCCCTCTTAACACTTTAAAGATGCCATCCCACTGCCTTCTGGTCTCTATGGTGTCTGACCTCTGTGGTTGTTATTTGGCTTTTGATAGTTTGATAATAATGTGCCTCAGTGGATCTCTTTGGATTTTTCTTACTTGGGGTTTGTTGAGCTTTGTGGATGTAAGATTTGTGTTATTCTTAGAATTTGGGCAGTTTTTAGCCCTTATTTCTTTGAGTAATCTTTCTCCCCATTTCTCTCTCTTTTTTCCTTCTGGGACTCCTGTAATTGTATGATAGATAGTCCACTCAAAGGTGTCCCACAGGTCCCTTAGGCTCTATTCACATTTCTTTATATATTTTTTTCTGTTCTGCTCCTCATACCAGATTACTTCAATTTTTATATTCTCCAATTCATGATTCTTTCAGCTGTCTGTTCAAATGGGTTGTTAAAACCTCTAGTGGATTTTTAAATTTCGGTCATTTTACTTTTCAGCTTTAGATTCCTACTTGGTTTCTTTTTACAATTTCCAACTCAGTTCAGACATTGTTGGCCTCATTTCTTTTAGTTATTTGTCATTTTTGATGACACTTAATTTATTTAAAATCTTTGTTTAGTAAGTCCAATATCTGGGCTTCCTTAAGGAAGGAATTTGTTTTCCTTGAGTAGGCTCTGTATTCTTGTGTCTTTGAATACCTTCTACGTTTTTATTGGAAATTGGACATTTGAATATTTTAATATGGTAAGTCGGGAAATCAGATTTTTACGCTTCCCCAAGGTTTGCTGTTTTTCTTTTTTTCTTTTTTTTTTTTTTTTGAGGCAGAGTCTTGCTCTGTCGCCAGGCTGGAGTGCAGCGGTGCAATCTCGGCTCACTGCAACCTCTGCCTCCCGGGTTCAAGCAATTCTCCTACATCAGCCTCCCTTGCAACTGGGACTACAGGCATGCGCCACCACGCCCAGCTAATTTTTGTATTTCTTTTTTTAGTAGAGATGGGGTTTCACCATGTTGGCCAGAATGGTCTTGACCTCTTGACCTCCCAAAGTGCTGGGATTACAGGCATGAGCCACCATGCTCGGCCATATGCTATTTTTATAGTCTGGTTTCCTTGTTCTATATGTGACACTGAAGTCTCTGTTCCTTAGCTTGCTTTCAGCTAATGTTTTTACAGAGATTTCTTTGAATCCCTGGTGATAAAGACAACAAACATTTCTCTCAGTCTTTGCACATTGACTCTGCGCTGGGGTACTCTTTAACATTTAGCCAGGCTGTTTACAACCTTGCTTTAGCCTTCGTGTCCTGATTGCACTGAACCTCGAGAATAGCTGGAGGTGAAAGCTTATGATCTTCTTAAAGCTTGTATACATTCTGCCTTGGGTATGTTTCTGGATTTCTAATTTTCTCAGTATATATGGGGTTTTTTGAAAGCCCAAATTTCCCAAAGAAACCCTTTCCAGGTTTTCTTCTCAGGCCTTAAGTGGTATACTATATGTCTCAACCATAATCCTCTGCTGCAGACGACTGCAGATATTTTGTTCCCCTTACAGTGTTTTTGAGCAAGGACTATTTTTTTTCTATCCTAAATGAGTTCTGAGTTAGGTGAAACAGAGACAAGCATATTGCATCAGTCCTTCAGGTATTTCCCACATAGTTGGAACAGATAAGCAATTCCTTGTAAGTAAGGTCTGCTCTGGTCCCTCTAGAATCAAGGACCAGGACCCACACTTGGAATGCGGTCTGCCGTCTCAAGGCTGTCACCAAGCCAAGGAGGGTTGGGGTAAAGGCAAGTAGAAGTGCCACAAAGCTTTCCTACCATTTTGAAGTTGCCTTTTATTTTTTCTTTCTGATTTGGCATCTACTTGGTTGCGGTCAGCCTTTGACCTTTTCAGAATTCTGACGAAGTTTATTTTGACAGTTTCTGCTTGTTTTTTGATGTCTCTGAGGGGACCTGAGCTTGGTGCCACCTACCTCTCCATTTTGCTGACATCATTCCACTTCATTAATCTTGTCCTCTTGTATGTTTCTTTCTTATTATATAAACTTTCTGCTTTAGGAGAGTTTTAGATTTATGGAAAAGTTGTGAAGACAGTAGTACAAAGAGTTTCCATATACCTCCCATAGACACAGTTTCATTAACATATTAATGTAGTACATTTGTCACAATTAATGAAACAATACTGATATATTATTAAGTGATGACCACTTTATTGGGATTTTCTTAATTTTTCCCTAATGTAATTTTTCTGTTCCAGGATGCCCACATTCTACTTAGTCATCATGTCTCCTTAGGCTCTTCTTAGCTGTGACAGTTTCTCAGACTTTCCTTGTTTTTGATAACCCTGACAGTTTTGAGGGGTTCAAGTCAGGTGTTTTGTAGAATGTCCCTCAGTTGATATTTGTCTACTGTCTTCCTCATTATTAGACTGAGGTTAGGGTTTCTTAGAGGAAGACTACAGAGGTAGTGTCATTCAGTCACATCCTATCAAGGGAAAATGCTATGAGCATGATTTATCACTGTTGATTACCTGGTGGAGGTAGTGTGGTCATGTTTCTCCACTGTAAAGTTACTCCTTTGTCCTCCGTTTTCAACTGTACTCTTTGGAATGAAGTGGAGAGTTACGCTACACCTCCTTGATGGCAGAGTATCCATATAAATTATTAGGAATTCTGTGCAGGAGATTTGTCTGTTCTTTTGTGTTTACTTATTTAAGCATTTATTTATATTAGTATGAACTCATTGCTAGTTATTTTATACTTTGGTTATAATCCAACACTACCTTTTTTTTTTTTTTTGGTAGACAATTTTGTTTTTAATGCATGAAAGAAGGACAACAAAGTGGTCAGAGAAATTTACTCCAAAGGAAGTAGAGTTAAGTTAGGAAATAGAACATAACTTTAAAATAAATACTTTTAGTCATTGCCTCAGAAAGTTTCAGTAGATCATCATCACATAAAACAAGAGCAGGCTATTACTGAAAAACAAATAAGCATCAAAACATTCTTGGAAATTAAATACACATCTTTAGAAATGTGCACATTTAGACACATTCAGGTAAAAATTTTAAAAATCCACAGATAAAATTTTACTAGCTTCTAGAGAGGGATTATTTATAGCTATAAAAAATCATGTGAACATATGCCTTTTCATCTATGACACAAGATGCTAGAAAACAGAGAAGCTGAGAAGACAGTCTTAAAGAAGGATTTTCATCTGAATCTTCCTTTGGTTTAACCATATACCTTGTTATTTTGTTGTTCCAACTGCTTCAGCTTGGCCATGAGGCTGTGTTTTCAATTGGTTCCTGTGTCCCTTTGACATAGCCCACTATTGTGTTTTCATTTGAGTACTTTCTCATTTTCTGGTACCAGAAGTGATTTCAGGCTCATTATATACCTGCCAGACCTAGAAGCAGCTGGTTTTCAAAGGAGCACTGGTTTTCTTTTTTTCTTTTTTCTTTTTTTGAGACATAGTCTCACTCTTGTCCAGGCTGGAGTGCAGTGGCATAATCTCGGCTCACTGCAACCTCTGCCTTCCGGTTTGGGTGATTCTCCTTCCTCAGCCTCCCGAGTAGCTGGGATTACAGGTGTGTGCCACTACACCCGGCTAATTTAGATTGTTTAGCTTTGTAAGAAATTGCCAAACTGTCTTCCACAGGTGCTGTATCATTTTGCACTCCCACCAATTGTGAATCAAAATTCCTGTTATTCTGCATCTGAACTTAAAATTGATACTGTCATTGTTTTGAATTTAACCATTTTAATAAATATTATGGTATCTCATTTTTGTTTCTTTAATGACACATGATGGTGAGCATCTGTTCATATGTGTATTTGCTATTGGTCTGTCTTTGGTGACGTGACCATTCAGATCTTTTGCCTATTTTTCAAGTTGCATAATTTGTGTTCTTATTATTGAGTTTTGAGGGTCCTTTTGCATATTCTGCTTCTAACACCTTTTTAGGTAAGTGTTTGCAAATATTTTTTCTCAGTCTGTGGTTTGTTTTTTCATTTTTGTAGAAGCATCTTTTGCAGAGCAAAACATGAATTTGATGTTATAAATTTCTCTCTGTGAACTACTGTCTCTGCATCCCATAAATTTTGATAAGTAGTGTTTTCATTTAAAACATTTAAAAATTTCTTTTGAGACTTCCTCTTTGATCTATAGGTTATTTGTATGGTTGTTTAGCTTTCAGGTATTTGGAGGATTTTTCAGCCGTCTTGCTTATTGGTTTCTATTTAATTCCATTGTAGTCTGAGAACATGTGTTTTTTATGATAGCTATTGCATTAAGTTCGTTAAGGTGTGTTTTATGGCCCAAAATATGTTCTGTGTTGGTGAATGTTACATGTGAACACGAACAGAAGGATAGAATGTGTATTTTATTGTTTGGGATGAAGTATTGTATAAATGTCACTTAGATCAGGTTGGTTGATAGTGCTATTTTGGGTCATATATGTACCTACTGATTTTCTGCCTGCTTGATCCATCAGTACTTACAGGGGTGTTAAGTCTCCAATTATGGTGTATATTTCCAAGTTCTCCTTTTACTCCTCTCAGTTTTTGCCTTATGTATTTTGATAGTCTTTCGTTAAATGCATAAATGTTTCAGATTATGTCTTCTTTAATATGATTTTGAACCCATCCAATAAGCTCTTAATTTCAGATATTGTACTTTTCAGATCTAGAATGTCCATTTTATGTATGTGTGTGTGCATGTGTGTGTGTGTGTGTGTGTTTGTGTATACATGTATAAGAGGTGTCTTGAGACCACCCCCAGGTTATTAATGATGTCCTAGGATGACTCAGCATATATTGGAGCATGGCGTTAGAAACAAAAATTAGGGTGCTAGGTGTGTCAGTTGTTACTGATGTATTGTTTCTTGTAGACCCATAGTCATACTTATGGCTATGATTTATTGTAGTGAAAGGATACAAAGCAAAATCAGCGAAATTCCTAGAGGTTTCTCCCAATGGAGTCTCACAGAACACACTTAACTCCTCTAGCAATGACATGTGACAACGCACGTAAAATGTGTACCAAGGAAACTCACTAGACATTTGGTGTCCAGAATTTTTATTAGAGGCTAGTCACAGGTACTTCCTGCCTATCATGTACCAAAATTCTAGACTCCCAGGAGCAATGCACATACTGAGTATAAACCATATTACTTATGGTTATAGCTCAGGCTTAGTGAGCCGTTCTTATCAGAGAAGGTTAAGGTCAGAACCTTTCTGAAATCCAAGTTCCCAAATGCCCATCAACGGTGATCTTTTGTAGCAGACCTTTCAAAGGTTAGTAGTCTCAGGCTTGCTGTATTAACCTTTTTCTGTATAGCACACATACCATGTATGTGTTGAACTTCCCTCATTTTCTCATTTATTTTGTTAATATTTTCTTCTGTTTTGTTGAACATATTAATTATAATTCATTTTGAAGTTCTTGTTTGTTAATTCTACTATCACGGTCACCTGTGAGTTTGCTTTTTTTTTCTTTTTTTTCATTGTCCCTATCTCTTCACATACCATGAATTTTTTTACTAGATACCAAATATTGTATTTAAAAAAGAAACATTGGAAACATTGGTGGAAGCTCCAGAAGATGATCTCATTGAGCGGAGAGGATTCATCCTTTTCTCTGATGGGCATGTAGACTGCGGGGCAGTCACTTGAATCAATATGTGCTGAGCTTGGTCATATTCATTTCAATCCCATTATTTTAATAACAAAGTTTTACTTCCTTGATGACAGTTAACTTGATAATGTAAAAGGTAATATGAAACAACTAATATTTCCTCTGTAACTTCAATCTCCTTGGTACACACTGCTAGTTCCTGCAGTTTGCAACTTAATAAATGTTATTCTGTGTATCTCCTTTTCAGGTCATAAGCACTCTAGGAACAGGGACCATGTTTGTCTGTTTTCACCAGTAGGATTTGCAGCAGCTAGCACAATTCCAGACCCTTAGTAGAAACTCAATTTATACAAGATATTTTGTATTCTGTATAGTATAGCAGCACAGAGGGAGGTAACCTGTCATTTTTTAGTAAACTCTAAAGAGATTAGTTCTCTTAAATCTTTTCTGTATCATCTAGTTCTGACCATTTCATGTAAAAAGAGTATACTATTACAGGAACAAGTGTCATTCAAGGATGTATGTGTGGACTTCACTCAGGAAGAGTGGTATCTGCTGGACCCTGCTCAGAAGATTCTATACAGAGATGTGATCCTGGAAAATTATAGCAATCTTGTCTCAGTAGGTAAGGAGTTTTTTTCCGCACATGGCTATCAATAGCATGCATTTACTAGTTGATGCCCTGTAGTTTTCTGATGTAAAGCTTGAGATTGAAGGCTCTGAGATGACTGATCCCATTTGGCCACCATAAAGGTGCTCTTGCCTTGTCAGAGATTGGTTCATTTGTGCACATTCTTTGAGTAGCTGGTGAAGCTGTGCCTTTCTTCCCCATGATGTATTCAGAGCCCCTGAAACCAAGCTATTTAGCTCTAGTCCTGTGGTATTTTCTCTTAACAGGGTATTGCATTACTAAACCAGAAGTGATCTTTAAGATCGAGCAAGGAGAAGAGCCCTGGATATTAGAAAAAGGATTCCCAAGCCAGTGCCACCCAGGTGAGTTAGTGATTTCTGGCAGATGAAAGCCAGAGGAAATTAGAACTTAGGTAATTGGTTTAGGATTTGTCACCTTTGGAATATTTTTCACAAATGTCTCTTTTTAGCCCCAGACCTTTGGAAATGATCAAAAACAATTGGCCCACATCCCTGTTACCTTAATCACTCCTCCATATGTTATTCTCACTCATAAATGCTTTTCTTGGCTGGGTGCGGTGGCTCACGCCTGTAATCCCAGCACTTTGGGAGGCTGAGGCAGGCGGATGACGAGGTCAAGAGATCGAGACTGTTCTGGCCAACATGGTGAAACCCCGTCTCTACTAAAAATATGAAAAATTAGCTGGATGTGGTGGTAGCTGCCTGTAGTCCCAGCTGCTTGGGAGGCTGAGACAGGAGAACCATGTGAACCTGGGAGGTGGAGGTTGCAGTGAGCCGAGATTGTGCCACTGTACTCCAGCCTGGTGACAGAGTGAGACTCAGTCTCAAAACAAACAAACAAACAAAAAAAAACAAACACTTTTTTTTTTTTTTACATTTTAAAGTATTTTACTTATACCTATAATCCAAACCAGTTGGCTTCATTTTAGATATGTTTTCTTGGTTAGTTTGTCTTTATCTTTTAAAATTGTTTGCCTTCCTTCCGTTGTCTTAGACACCTTTTGTTAGCTGACAGGTATTCATGCAATCCTTCTATATATTCATTTAACAACATATGATGAGCACTCACTATGTCTGTTATGTTTTAGGTAATTAACAGAATAATGTCCCTGGTATCTTAGTGTGTGTATTAAAATAAAGGACAAAAAAATGCGTGTGTGTGTGTGTGTGTGTGTGTGTGTGTGTGTACATGTCTGTGTGTTTGTATATATGTACACACCCATGTGCATATGTGTGTGTATATAGGTACACACACACTGTGTTGGGTCATGGTAAGTGCTGTGAAGAGAATTCACACAGGAAAGGAGGACGAAGAATGACGGTATAGTCTGTTTGGCAGTAGGTTAGAGAAAACCTTTTTGAGGAGTTCCCACATTAGAGATGAGGCTTTAATATGAAAGTGTGAGCTATGTGGATTCAGTGTAGTCCAGGCAGAGAGAACATCAGGTACCAAACCTCTTAGACAGGTGTGTTCTTAGAATGTTTGAACAGTGTCAGGGAAATCACTGTGGTTGGAAGCTAGCGGGCATGGTGGAGACTGGTAGGAGATAATGTCAGGAGAAGAAACATGAGCTATGGTAGATACATAAATTTTACTTTTGGTGCTATGAGAAACTGTTTTGAGTAAATGTAAATCAGCTTAAGTCATCAGATTTGATTTACAGTTTAAAAGGATCTCTCTGACATCTATGCAGTGTATATACTGTGGTGGGTGGTTGTGGGTGGTATGAGTAGGGATAGGGTACCATTATGTGCTTCAGAGGAGAGAGGATAGTGGCTGAGACTGTTGGAAGTGCCAGAGGTACTGAGAAGTGGTAGGTTTGTACAAATATTTTGAAGATGGAGCCAAGAACATTTGCTTTCAGATTGGGTATGAGAGAAGGGAGAATCAAGTGTGATCCCAATAATTTGTCTCAAGCAGCTAGATAGATTAGGTTATCATTTACTGAGACAGAGAAAAATTAGAGAGGAGACATATAAGGGAGTTATCACAGATTTAATTTTGAACACCAGAAGTTGGAGATAACTCTTATAATCGAGTCTGTTTTTGACTAAGAGATTGGATATGTGTAAGTACATGGTTGAGGTCAGAACTAGAAGTATCCATTTGAAAGGCATCAACTTAAGATGATGTTAAAGGAATGAGGCAGAATGAGATCTTCAAGAGCAGAAGTCAACAGACTTTTTTTGTAAATGACCAGATAGTAAATGTTTGAGGCTTGGCAGGCCACATATGGTCGTGGTTGCAGCTGCTCCTCCTCATCTTCTTTCTTTTCCTTATTCCTTCTCGTTCTCCTCTTGCTCTTTCTCTCTCCTCTCTTTTCCTCTTCCCTCTTCTGTACTGCCTCATCCAGCTTTTTCCCTTCAAAAACTTAAAAAACATACTTAGCTCAAGGGCCATTGCCGTGCAGTTATATGCCAACCCCTTTTCTAGAGTGTGATTGTATGTAGGTGAGAGTAGTCTTGGGACAATAATGCTTTTAGTAAGTATTAAATTCATCCCTTAGAGGATATTGAGGAATAACAATCTGAGCTACACAAAAACCAGAGAGCCTGGTTTCCTGTAGTCAAATGAGGTACATTCTTCCATGTTACTGCTATCTTGAATGGCAACCATGGCATCACCGTACTAATAAACCTGTTAATATTTCCCACCAGTCTCTTTGTTCCTATTGTTATTTTTCATTTAAAGCTATCTTCTACATACCTTTATATTCTCACTTTTCACTGATATAACTCAAAAGCAAAACTATGTGTTCTCATTCCTGACTCAGTCTAATTGTTAGTTGTCTAATTTCTAATTCCTAGTTGGTTCTTTTCTCTTTTTTTTTAGCCTAAATTATTCAATTTATCTTCCTTTAGCTTAACAAACTAACCTAAAGTTGCTGCTTATTAATAAATTAAATTTCCCTTTCTTTTCTTTTCTTTTTTTAGTTTTAAACCTTTGTGTCAAGGGCTGACTTTCAATAGATTGCAGCAAGGGAGCTGCTCAGTAAATTTCCCTTTCAATGACTATAATAGTGTAGCCCTTGCTACCTGTCTTAAATTTCTTTGTTTCTGCTCCCTAAAATTTATGTCAAATCCCGTCCTATTCTATATCTTAAATTTTATTTGCAAATGTTTTCTCATTTACTGGAAAACTTCCGTTCTTGTTTGCCTTGCCTTTTTTCAGGTAATTCATACTGTGTTTGTAAAGTGTTTAGAAATTGAATAGTAATGGCTTATTATTTCACTTGTTTTAAGTTAGAACTTGATTTTTTGCTGAAACTTAAATAGCCCAGATTTTATGACATTAACTCACCAGTGGCTGTATGCCAAAAACTTAGACCTGTTCATATGGCTTAGGGTTGCTTAGGGTTTCTTTTTGCATTGAGATTTTTGTTCTCCAAAAGAGAAGGGCCTCTCTTACTAATTTGGGTATTTTGATAATTACTTTGTTGATTATCTGTGTAGCCAGATTTAGGAGAGATCATTCATTTTCATACATTCTGAAAGTATTCTATGATACTCTTCCTAAATACATATTCCCATATTTTGTCTTCGTGTATTATAGCTGATCAGGTGCAGGTTGGAAATAATTCAGTGCACGTTGCTTTATAAGAATAATGTACAGTTACATTATAGTAACACCTGCCAAGTTCTGGACTCTGGTCACAATAGGGGCGATAGCATTGAGCAAGGGATTTATTTTATGTTACAATGAATTATATAAACAGTAACTTCTAAAAGATGGAGCAAGTGGAGCCTTAAAATGGTAGAGATGTTATAGAGATTTTTGCTATCATTATTTTATTATTATTACTATTATTAGTTTTTGTTTTTAAGTTAAAGTAGCAGTTCACTGAGGGATATCCAGGATCTAAGGAGAGATAAGGATAAAATGTTTCTAGTTGAGTGGAAGGTATGTTATTAGGGATGAGCAATTTCTGAGAGTCTAATCTCTAGCCAAACTGCACAGAAATATTTTCAATAGATTTGCATGATGTTGAGAAGATGAGGGTGTAAACCATGCTTTACCTCTGCCAAACCTAATTCTTATGTTTCTCACTACCACTCACTCTATTTCCTTTTTAAAAAAACAACTCCCTTGAACTCATTCTCTGTGCATTTCCTGCTCTTTGAAAGAACAGCTCTCAGAATATCTCCATCTCCTGTTTATCATGTCTTGAGTTTATTTCACCTTCCCTAGTATGCTTTTCCTACAGCATTAAAAAAAACTATTTCTTCTCAATAAAACTTAAAGAAAACACTGGCTCTTGGGCTATATAGGACTGTTCTTTTGAATCCAAGGAAGTTGATGTTTTCAGAATGTTAATTTTCTTGCTGATTCAAAGATAGAAAGAAGCATGTACTCTGGTGGGAATTCTACCCCAGTAAACTGTGTGTGAGGGGATTAGGACCAAGCTCTGTTTTGTCTCCACCAAACCTAATGCATCCTCTGAAACCCCTTGTCTGCTAATCTTCACCATCACTTTATTCAGTGTTCATTGTCTCTGTTGGGTTCACCCCATTTTCTCCGAGTTTTTCTATTTCTGAATCAGCCACTCTGGTTCCCTGTGCTGTGAATTTTATTTCACCTTTTCTTTTCAGTTTTGAAGGTTATATTTATAAAGTGTTAAATATCATTGCCAATTTCTTCTCCCTGTTTCCACTGAAGCATGTTTTATGTTTTCCACCTAAACCTTGGAGGGTAAAGAAAATGTACACTTGAACTCAGTTCACACCAGGAAACTGAATTTAAAACAAAAGAATTGACTGTATGATAGTGCATTTGTGTAAAAGTCTGATTCCATCAGAAATGTATTAAGGTTCATAAGATGTGGTTATTTTTCTCATTTCTAGAAAGGAAATGGAAAGTTGATGACGTGTTAGAGAGCAGCCAGGAAAATGAAGATGACCATTTTTGGGAGCTTCTATTCCACAACAACAAAACAGTAAGTGTAGAAAATGGAGATAGAGGAAGCAAAACTTTCAATTTGGGCACAGACCCTGTTTCTTTAAGAAATTATCCCTATAAAATATGTGACTCATGTGAAATGAATTTGAAAAATATTTCGGGCTTAATTATTAGTAAAAAGAACTGTTCCAGAAAGAAGCCTGATGAGTTTAATGTATGTGAGAAATTGCTCCTTGATATTAGGCATGAGAAAATCCCTATTGGAGAGAAGTCTTATAAATATGATCAAAAAAGGAATGCCATTAATTATCACCAGGATCTCAGTCAGCCAAGTTTTGGCCAATCTTTTGAGTATAGTAAAAATGGACAAGGCTTCCATGATGAGGCAGCATTTTTTACAAATAAGAGATCTCAGATAGGAGAGACAGTCTGTAAATATAACGAATGTGGAAGAACCTTCATTGAAAGTTTAAAGCTGAATATATCTCAAAGACCTCATTTGGAAATGGAGCCGTATGGATGCAGTATTTGCGGGAAGTCCTTCTGCATGAATTTAAGGTTTGGACATCAGAGAGCTCTTACAAAGGACAATCCTTATGAATATAATGAATATGGGGAAATCTTCTGTGACAATTCAGCTTTCATTATCCATCAGGGAGCTTACACAAGAAAGATTCTCCGTGAATATAAAGTGAGTGACAAAACCTGGGAAAAGTCAGCTCTCTTAAAACATCAAATAGTACACATGGGGGGAAAGTCTTATGATTACAATGAAAATGGGAGTAATTTCAGCAAGAAGTCACATCTTACCCAGCTTCGGAGAGCTCACACAGGAGAAAAAACCTTTGAATGTGGTGAATGTGGGAAAACCTTCTGGGAGAAGTCAAACCTCACTCAACATCAGAGAACACACACAGGAGAGAAGCCCTATGAATGTACTGAATGTGGGAAAGCCTTTTGCCAGAAACCACACCTGACCAACCATCAGCGAACACATACAGGAGAAAAACCCTATGAATGTAAGCAATGTGGAAAAACATTCTGTGTGAAGTCAAACCTCACTGAACATCAGAGAACACACACAGGGGAGAAGCCCTATGAATGTAATGCATGTGGGAAATCCTTCTGCCACAGATCAGCCCTCACTGTGCATCAGAGAACACACACAGGGGAGAAACCGTTTATATGTAATGAATGTGGAAAATCCTTCTGTGTGAAGTCAAACCTCATTGTACATCAAAGAACTCACACTGGGGAGAAACCATATAAGTGTAATGAATGTGGGAAAACCTTCTGTGAAAAATCAGCTCTCACTAAACATCAGAGGACTCACACAGGGGAGAAGCCGTATGAGTGTAATGCATGTGGGAAGACCTTTAGTCAGAGGTCAGTGCTCACCAAACATCAGAGAATTCACACAAGGGTGAAAGCTCTTTCAACATCCTGAATGTTAGAAGCCTTCATACACTTGTGAAATTGGTTATACAGTTTCAAAAAAGGAGATCAGAGAAAGCCAAAGAATGTCAGAAATTTGTAGAAAATGACTTCTTGTTTGAATATGTAAAAGCTTTCAAGAAAAATTAAAACTTTTCATTAGAAAATTTGTACTGAGGGGAATTCTATTCATCTAAGTAATATGGTGAAAATATTTATCTGGAATTTATGTTGTTTAGTGTTATATTCCAGACGTGATACCAAAATTTTGTTGCAAATATAATGGACAATATTTATTTATACCCATATTCACAGTGGAATCTGAAGCTTATAAAAGTTGAATGACAGCAGCATTAAACATATATGTGAAGAGTCCCCGATGTTTGTAGACCTTATGTGAGTATGCAAATATATAAATTTGAGTATGCTTGATTTGTATATTGGAACTCAACATGATCATAAGGAGAAGATACGTACCCTTAATTGAGTAACTACTATGGTATTTGTTAATATTTTCTACACTAAATACCATTGGTGTCTTTATAGGTTGACATAATTATATATGTGTATGTACATATGTTTGTGTGTATATGTAAATATATTTCTACACACATACTTAAATATAGTGATGTGCTAGTATAACCTCATACTGACTTAAAAGTTCTGATTGTTAAATTTTAAGGAATTTTGTGAGCCAGTTATTAAAAGCAGTCATTATTTAAAATATGTAAACTTACAGTTAAAAACAAAGGTAATAAATACTCAGCACTCATCACTTCCTAATTATTTTGCTACATTTCACTATTACCTTTGCTGTTTTACTTATTTAATCTGTATGATGAAAATACTGTATAATAGTGTGCACTGCACATCTGTCTCTTCCCAGCTCCACATTCAGTGCTGTCTTGGTAGCTTGGACTTAGTGGGAGTGTTTACACCATGGAAATTGACAAACTATAAATCAGGGTTTTAATTTTCTCAGAGAACCTGCTGTCAAATATTTACAGCACATCACTGTGTATATATGAAAACGTATTTGGCAATACAAACCACATACCCCTTCTATTTCCTGACATAAATAAATGGCTATGGCCATTTACAGCTGAACCACGTCTTCAAGAAAGAAGCCAAAAATATTTCCGTGAGGTTTTTAACTACCTCTGAATCTGTCCTACTCTAAATACTACCGGAGTCTCTTTGTAGGTTGGCCAGTATATGTTTTTAGTGAAATATTATTTCACAAAGAACTATATCACGTACCTTTCCTCTGACTGTTTCCTGGCATATATGCATGAATATGGCCATTATTGAACTATCACTTCAGTAAAGAAGTTAAACAGTACTTTTCTGAGGTTTTTCAGCTACCTCTGGGTCATTCTGTAATGTAAATGTTGTTAATAAGAATGGTTTTTACATAAATTATGCAAAGGTTAACAAGCAGTAACACTGCACTCCTCAAAAAGTGGCGGTATGTAATGAAAGGCCCTTTTGATATCCTTGATTTTTCATTGTGTATCTGTTTGGGCACGGTCTATGTAACACTAGTTCTGCGTATTAGTATTTTAGAGTATCTCTGCCTCCCTTGTCCTGTTGTTTCTTTTGCCCCCTTGGAACACATTGGTCAGCAGTTCTAAGAGACACTGCCCACATGATGGCCATTCCCTACTTCATCCTTGCTGAGCTAAATTTTATATTTTTGTGCATCCTTCTCCCAGATGACTTAGGTGGTAAGTCCAGATTAGTCAAAGCTAATCATGGAAGTTCCATTTTAATGATTCTGTTGGGGTGAACTTGGGAGCAATGAGATGTTTGGGAAGTATTGTGTAGTACTTCTGGGAAAGATCTCCTTGATACAACATTGTCATGACATGAGAAGAGACTCTGCTGGGCTTTTTCATGTCTGTAACATGGTATTGGCTTATCGTTTTTATCTCTGAAGGGCAGTAGCCTGAAGATAACAGTGCACAAGGTGGGAAAAGCCAGCTCAGAGGTGACGTTGCCGAGCTACTCTGCTCTCTATACCTGTTCTCTACTGGGACTTTTTATAACCCTCAATAACTGTTTTTTATTTGGTCTTAGGGCTGTCTGATACTTAGAGCTGAAGGCATTCCAGCTGACACAGAGGAATATTTTTCTAAGTGTTAATGTTCTATATGGTAATTAGGGGGAAGAATTATTTCTTTTCACAAGTTAATATAGGGATGGCTGTTTGTATCAGCCATGGTTCTTTCTGGTGGAAAACAGAATTCTCCAACTAAAAATATTTTAATGGCAGACTGATTACAGTGGTGTGGGCCAGAAACAAGGGACAGTGAAACACCCAGAGACTTGTATCAGCAGGAAGCCATTGCCATTCTGAGCCTTGAAGGGCAAGGAGGGAAACAGTGTTACCAGAGCCCAGTAAGAACTGCTGTCATGAAGGAGGGGCCACCTTGTAAGAGACATCATTACTACCAGAACTGTGGTGCCAAATTGCTGGTGTCTCTCTTTGGAGAAACCAACCAGATACATCTGCTGGAGAGCCCAGGTGGGCACAGAGAAGGGTGGAGAGAGAATCTGGGAAGAGAAATGGAGAATAAGCAGCACAGTGTTATTCATTTCTGTAAATTCCTATGTAGAAGGCTCAGTGTTAGAAATAAAGTTATTCTACTAGTTGCAAGTTAAGTGTTTCTGTTTGTTCTGCTTTCCTGTTAGCATAAGTAAACTCCCTTTGGAACTACACAGGTATGTCTCTCCTTCAACATGTGTGAAGCAGACATTATATTAAATTACATTATTCATACCTCCCTGTGGTGTTTCTTATTGTATGTGGTGTAAGGTAAGCAGCTCTGTATTCTTCCAAATAAATAGCCAGTTGTCCCTGCACTGTTTGATTAATTCACCCTTTCTTGTGTTAGTTTGATACATTTTTATTATGTACTTAAATATGTGTTATGACTATTGCTTTTGACTGCTCAATGCAACTTTTCTGCATTCTTCTAGTAATAGAACATGTCATTGTGATCACGGGGTGGCATTTACCCCAATCCTGGCTCTGCAGAGTACTGTGTCTTCATGTCCTCCACATTTGTATTGATCCAGAAATGATAGTTTGTTGTAAAATAGGCCAGTGACAAGCCCTCCTAGAATATTTTTATTGGGAGGTCACTGTAGACCAGAGAGTTTGTGTCCTTATTGCTTCCAGCAGTCATATTGAGAAAGTACATTTGCTCTGTAATCTATTGAAAGTCAGTCCACAACACAAAAATGAAAAAAGAAAAGAAGATGGCTATGATAAGCGCCATAAAGAAAAATCAAAATAGGAAAAGTTGTCAGATACAAGGTTTGATTTTAGATAGGATGGAGAGGAAAAGACCTCACTGAGCAGGCTACATTGAGGGAGGAGTGATGTGGATAAGATCTCGAAGAAGAGTGTGTTCACATGTGTGTATCTAACACATGCATGTAAACCAACAAATTCTGTTTCGTGAGACCCTTACCCTAATTACCTGTAATGTACTTTGATATTTTCTCTTATACTGCATTCTATTAAAAGAAATACTTTTTCTCATACACTAGACTGATCTCACAATGAACAGTTTATCCCCCAGTGCACTCATGTTTAAACCAGGATGAGAATTGCTCAGTCATAGATTTGTGATTTCTGAAATGACTAATCACTCCCAGTCCCTGGAAATAGTTTTCTGGTAAACTCCTAAGAGCCTGTTTTTGGAATTGGGCCTACTTTCCATCTTGAAATTGCCCTCCTCTGGTCTAGTGGGCCCTGTCACTTCACACCCTACCTGTATTTAGCAGGGAAATGTGGAACTATTGCTTCTGGGAGGGTTCAGCCCTTGGGTATCCTTGATGCCTTCAACCCCTACCCCTGTTTGCTTCTGGCAACCAGAGACCGTGGCTGTGACTGCCCTGGATCCTTTCATCATATCTCTCCTTTTCTGAGGAAGACTTACCTATTCCCATTCCTATTTTTCCACTGAATCTTCATCTCTCGTCCAGTGACTGGACACTGCACACTCAACCTCCTCCCTTTATCTGAGGAACTCCAACTCCCTTTTCCCAACCTACCACTCTTCTCAGATCTTGCATTCCCAGGCTTCTCTTTCAGATGACAAAGAACCAATGTCTCTCCTAGACAGCACTTATGAAGAGAAAGGTCTCAGATACTTTGGTAGGTGAGAACTGATGACTAATATAAAGCTATCCCATGTTTGGAGTCCATACTTTGGTATGGCCAATACTCTCTGTTATTGGTTTCTTTGTCTACAGAATGGGGTAGTTATCCTCTCTACAAAAGTGGGCCTTACCGGTAAGCCTGCTTTCAGTAACAGCCAAAAATTCTCCCTTTACTGATCCCCTAAAGGAAGCTCAAGACCTCAGAAAAGAAGAGTTCAGAATTTCTTCAACTCAGACCCCTAGTAAAGGCTTGCCCTATTCTTGTGGATCTCTGATAACATCCCTTAAAACAGAAAACGAACTTGGAGAAGCTTGGCAGCCATGACTGGTGCCCATGACATAGTGAGACTTCCTTAGCTTTCTCAGGCCTAGATTCCCCTATGCTGATGTCTGCACCAGCTGCCATTACTGGGAGAATAAGTCTTCTTTGGCATTTGACAGATGAGTTCTCTTCAACCCACCTCACCCACATATTGGTTCACTTCCCTAAAGTAACTTGGTTTTTAGTTCTGTCTGGGCCTTTTTCCATGCACTGTAACCAATATATATGAGCCTGTAGAGAATTTATAATACACTGGAGTTTTATGGGCATTTGAGTATTACAAATCAAGAAATATGGTCAGAATATTAATCAAATGCTAGAATATGTACAAAATCATAAGAGATTTGTTGCCTGGAATTAGATCCAGGCATAGCCGGAGAGTTTTAAGTTGTATTTTTAATTGCTTCTAAAGAGAAATAAATAGTAGTATCAGCTCATCCACAGGAAATTAACTGTAGATGAATTGATACTACTATTACGTATGGTTTTTAGTTTTCTCAGATGATTTGGTGATTTGTACAGACATTATTGTGACATTATTACAGTTAAAAATATTTTAAAGTTCCTATAGAAAAGTTACCTAAGTTTTCAAACTGGTAATGTTAGTGGTAGTGATGAAAAACGTACCTGAACGTCCATAACTTTAGAAGAACAGTCAGATGCTATCAAAGGCTGTGAAAAACTTTAACCATGAAACAACATGGAGTTAGTTTAGTAGGTAATGATGAGGAAATAATACTCAGAAAATAGACATTAAAATCACTGACATGACTTTACCACAGAAGTCATACGGTTACACTCTCTGAAAATGTGTTTTTCCACTTATTTATATGAGAAAATTAGTGGGGAAAATAGTACTTTCTGTTATCTGTGTGTCATGATAGTTTTACCAGGGACTTTTGGTTTATATTACTTCTTATATTTCAGTGTCCTTTTAGGATACACACACACACTTACACAATGGAAATACAATATATATGGTGAACTCATTTACAATACGCGATTACCAGTTTTCCATGTTAGTTTTTCTACCCTTACCTGATCATTTTTACGACTACTTAAAATTTCTCTGCTGGATCAACAATATTTTATCTACATCCTATCAATGGCTCACTTTTAGGTAGCTTCCCATATTTTTACTCTTACAAATGAACATTATGGAGGAACACCTTTGAGCATATACCTTTCTACACTTGTCCAAGTTTTCTCTCTCTCTCCCCCCCTTTTTTTTTTTTCACCTGCAGACACAGGGCAACCAAGTTGTCGTCTTCAAATTAATTTCTCAGAGTCTACTCTCTGGATAATAGGGGTGAGTTTATTTTCAGTTCTAATGAAACTGACTCCAGGAGGTCTGTATGGATTTCATTCCCATTCAAAGTTTGGAAATGTGACGGCTGGGTGGGGTGGCTCATGCCTCTAATCCCAGCACTTTGGGAGGCCGACGTGGGAAGAATGCTTGAGCCTAGGAGTTCAGGACCAGCCTGGGCAATATGGTGAAACCCTGTCTCTACAGAAAATACAAAAAATTAGCCGGGTGTGGTGGTGCACACTCATAATCTCAGTTAACTTTGGAGGCTGAGGTGGGAGAATCACCTAAGCCTGGGAAGTTTAGGCTGCAGTGAGGTATGATTGTGTCACTGCACTCTAGCCTAGGTGACAGAGTAAGTGCCTGTCTCAAAAACAAAAGAAAAAATTTGGAAATGTGCGCCCACCATTGTCACAGTGGGTGCTGTTCTTTTTTTTGTTAAAAAAATTCCAACCTTACTAATATAACATGATAAAATATTTCTTAAACATTTTAGTTTCTAAATTTTCTACAGACATTGAACAATTTAAAAATAATTACCCTTCACTTTCTTAATGTTGGCTTATATCACTAGGCTCACTTTAATTGAGGTGCTCATCATTTTATAATAGCTAGTCATGGAAGATTATTAAGATATTTTCTTGGTTCATGTGCTCTTACAAATCTAAGTATATAGTTTACCTTTTTAGAGGAACAATGGAAACTATTGCTTTTTTCACTTTATGAACAACATATCAACAGGATAGTGTTTCTCATTTCTGGGAGATATACTTTAACATTTGTCTATGGGAATATTTTTTTTTAAGTTTTCAAATTACTTCAAGCTTTTAAGTAATTTTGGCTGGGTGCGGTGGCTCACGTCTGTAATCCCAGCACTTTGGGAGGCCAAGGCAGGCAGATCACGAGGTCAGGAGATCGAGACCATCCTGGCTAACATGGTGAAACCCCGTCTCTACTAAAAAAAAAAAAAAAAAAAAATCAGCTGGGTGTGGTGGTGGGCACCTATAGTCCCAGCTACTCAGGAGGCTGAGGCAGGAGAATGGTGTGAACCGGAGAGGTGGAGCTTGCAGTGAGCCGAGATCGCGCCGCTCCACTCCAGCCTGGGCTACAGAGGGAGACTCCGTCTCAAAAAAAAAAAAAAAAAAAAAAAAAATTTAAAATAATTTTTTGCCTCTGCAATTGGTATGCAGTCTTAACATTAAGATTATAAATGCTCATTATAATTTTTAAATGCTTTGGTAGTTTAAATTTTATATTTCCATATCAAGTATATTTATTATGTGAGGTAAACATTTACACGTACCATGTGATCTACAGAGAGAACCACTTACCCCAACACCATTTATTAAATAGACCTATTTCTCTCTACTTTGAAATGTCACTGTGATGGTTAATTTTATATGTCAACTTGACTGGGTCATGGGGTGCCCAGATGCTTGGTCTAACATTCTTCTCGGTATATCTGTGAGGGGGTATTGGATGAGATTAACATTTAAATCAGTAGACTAAGTAAAGCAGATGAGAGTGGGTGGGACTCATCCAACTGATTGAAGGCCTGAATAGAACAAAAATGCCAACACTCGTGAGTAAGAATTCCTACCAGTGACCTTCAAACTGGATATCAGCTTTTTCCTGCCTTTAGACTCAATTGAAACATTAGCTTTTCCTGGGTCTTGAGCCTTCAGCCTGGAATAACACTCTCAGTCCTCCTGGGCCCCGAGTTTGCTAACTCAACCTGCAGATCTTGGGACTTGCTAGCCTCCATAATCAGGTGAGCCAATTCCTTATCATAAAGCTCTTTCTATATATACATCTTATTGGTTCAATTTTTCTGGAAAACTGACATAGCCACCATTATCATATACTGAATTCTTACATCATCTTAGGCCTTTACATATTTTTTTTCAGACTCTAAAATACTTAGTTTATCGTAGCCATTAAAGATGCATCTTTGCCCTGGTATGGTGGCTCACGTCTGTAATCCTAGCAATTTGGGAGGCCGAGGTGGGTGGATCACCTTAGGTCAGGAGTTCAAGACCAGCCTGGCCAACATGGTGAAACCTTCTCTCTACTAAAAATACAAAAATTAGCCAGGCATGGTGGCATGTGCCTGTAGCCCTAGGTACTCAGGAGGCTAAGACACAAGAATCGCTTGAACCCAGGAGATGGAGGTTGCAGTGAGCCGAGATCGTGCCTCTGCCCTCCAGCCTGGGCAACAGAGCGAGACTCTGTCTCAAAAAACAACCAAAAAATAAATAAATAAAGACACATCTCTAGTCAAGCTTTAGTCTGTATCTTCACAAAATTCTTGACCCCCCTCATTATTTCACATAAAATTTACATTTGTTCTAGCTGCAGTACAGAAGATTTGAAAATATAGAACGTTGAGAATTTGTTTGGAATGTTGTGACATAATACGTTTCATTTTTTTGTTAAAAAATGATTAGTTCCTGTTGTTATTTGCTTTTTTTTTTTTTTTTTTTTTTTTTTTTTGGAGACGGAGTCTCGCTCTGTCACCAGGCTGGAGGGCAGTGGCGCAATCTCGGATCACTGCAACCTCCGCCTCCCAGGTTCAAGCAATTCTTCTGCCTCAGCCTCCCGAGCAGCTGGGACTACAGGCACGTGCCACCATGACCAGCTAATTTTTGTATTTTTAGTAGAGACAGGGCTTTACCATGTTGGCCAGGATGGTCTTGATCCCTTGACCTCGTGATTGGCCCACCTCGGCCTCCCAAAGTGCTGGGATTACAGGTGTGAGCCACCGTGCCCAGCCACTGTTTGCATTTTTTAAGCTGTCATTCAATAAACTTTTATAGTTTCCTTCACATAGCCTGCACATTCTGTATGTTTTTTAGAACATGTAAACATCTTGACCAAGTTTTATAGTTTCCTTCACATAGACCGCACATTAATTCTAGGTATTTTTTAGAACATGTAAACATCTTGATCAGGCTTGTCTAACCTGTGGCCCATGGGCTGCCTGTTGCCCAGGATGACTTTGAATGCAGCCCAACACAAATTTGTAAATTTTCTTAAAACATTGTGAGCTTTTTTTGTGTTATTTTTACTTTTTTTAGCTCATCACCTATCGTTAGTGTTAATGTACTTTATATGTGGCCAAAGACATTTCTTCCTTCCATTGTGGCCCACGGAAGACAAAAGATTGGACACCCCTGATCAAGATTGGACACCCCTGATCTTGACTATATTATTATAATGAATATAACAGAGACATTTTATTAATATGTATTTAATAAATATATATTTACCACTGAAGATTCTCATGGTACACAGTTCAGTGAAGAGATTATCACAAACCATCATGCCCTTTGTAGAAATGTCAGACTTTGCACTTCAAATGAACTGAGAGGATGAATCATTTCTTTTAGATTGTTTTCTGAATTTTTTTTCATTTTTGTTTAATATATATATAGTTTTTCCAAGTTGATGTATTTTGCAACCTGGGAAAACAGTCATGGAGATGACACTTTAATTGTTGTTCTCGTTTTCAGCTTTATTTAAATGTTTTTTTCTGTGTTCACAAGTGAAATTGATACGCAGTTTGTGGTAGCTTTCTATGTAGACAAGGCTGTTATTTAAGACCGCTCCAGACCATGTCCTTTGTGACTGTGAAGGGGCAAGGCCTCCAGGGAGAGATTAATTTGAGCAGCACCAACTTATTACAACTTTTGGAATGATTGCTACCGAGTGTCTACAGTGGCTCATGGGACACTAAATTCAGCAATGTGATGAGTTGGGCCTCTGACGACACCGGGAGGGGAAGGCATAGCCCCTTATGGGGGGCTTATGTTGTCTCCAGCCTCTGAGGGAGCTGATTGCTGAGGCTCCAGTCTTTAGCCTTTATCCTTTGGAGAACTGGTTCTGGGCGTAGAACTGGTTCTGGGCAGAGAACTGGAGAGGTAGTTTGTGCACTTTGGAATTGGAATTGGTTTGAGGGGAGTTCAGTGGTATTTGGTAGTTACAGAGAAAAGAAGGTGAGATTAGCTTATAGTAGATGGGATCCAAAACTCCAAATGACTGTCATTGGAATCCATTAGCGTCTTGTGTTTTCAAGCCTGTCCTGGATGTAGGTAAAGGCTTTTGAGGATAGGCTGTGCTCCAGGGTCAGGGTTGAAGAGGGAGTAAGGGTAGGGACTGGGACTGAGCAGTGGGTTGGCTGTGGTTGCCTTTGTTGCTTTCTTTGAGGAAAGCTCCCTGTGTAAGTGGCCAGGTATGTTCAGTAAAATGTGCAGGCCTTAATTCCAGAAGAACTGACCCTCTGCAGCTGTCTGTACTGCGGAGTGAGGCTCTTGAATGTGATTGAAGAGTTGTTAAAGGCCGTCTAGTAAGAGCTGGACTGAGGGGTGTGAGCAGTCCATAGTAAAGCACACTGTTCAAGAGCATGGACTTTGGAGTCAGTGAGGCCTGCATATACATCCACCACACTTAACAAATATGTGACTGGACAGGTAATTTAACTACTGAAAACCTCAGTTTCTTCCTCTCTAAATGCGAATGGCAGTAGTACCTACTTTGTGGGGTTATTCTGAGAGTTAAATAAGAACCAAGGAAATCCTAAATATATTCATCCAACCAATAGGTATGTCATTTTTGTAGTTGCTTAGGAGTTATTTCTAGATGAAACAGACAAAACTCTGTGCTTTTATAGAACTTATTTTCTAGTGGGGCAATAAATATAAAAAGTTACCATGACTTCCACAATGGCAGCATGAGGACCTCTGTAGACCTACTTCTCAGTGAAGTGAGCATAACTGATTAAAATTATGTAGGTCTTTGGGATCCCAGAGCACCTTTAGTCTCGGGAGACGCTCTGCCAGCCAGAAATGATGGAAGAATTGCATAGCCTGGACCCACGACGGCAGGAATTATTGGAGGCCAGGTTTACTAGAGTAGGTATTAGTAAGGAAAACTAGAAGAGGAAAAAACAATAAATATGCAAGAAGAAATAAATACATGCAAAACAGAATGGGAAATATTCAAGAGTTGGAAAATCAGGAAACAAAAGGCAAAATGAAGGAGAGTACATCAGATTTAACAAAAGGGACCACTTAATAGTGAGTCTTCCAACCAGAGCTTGTGCAGCATGGGATCCTTGAGTGATAAAGAAGTAGAGACTCCCGAGAAAAAGCAGAATGACCAGCGAAAGTGGAAAAGAAAAGCCGAACCACATGAAACTAGCCAAGGGAAAGGCACTGCTGGGGGACGTAAAATTAGTGATTACTTTGAGTTTGCTGGGGGAAGCGGGCCAGGGACCAGCCCTGGCAGAAGTGTTGCACCAGTTGCACGATCCTCACCGCAACATTCCTTATCCAATCCCTTACTGTGACAAGTAGAACAGCCCCTCTGTGGTTTAGATGGCAGCACTGCAAAGGAGGCAACGGAGGAGCAGTCTGCTCTGCCAACAGCCTCATGTCAGCAATGCTAACAAAACCTCGGCTTGACCCAGAGCAGCTGGCACAAAGGGGAGCTGGCCTGTGCTTCACTTCTGTTTCAGCTCAGCAAAACAGTCCCTCATCTATGAGATCTGGCAACACAGAGCATTTCTGCAGCTCCCAAAAACAGATCTCCATCTGGCACAGACAGACCCAGTCCGACCTCACAATATAAAAAATATCTGCACTAGAAAACAGTAAGAATTCTGACTTAAGAAGGAGGGAAGAATAGATGATTTATTAAGAGCCAACTGTGATTTGACACAGCAGATTGATGAACAGCAAAAGATGCTACAGAGATACAAGGATGATTAAATAGATGTGTGACAATGAGCAAGAAAGTCCTCATAGAAAAGTCAAAAAGAGAAGATGGCATGTAGAGATAAGAGCATGCAAGACCGCTTGAGATGGGGCCGCTTTACTACTGTCCGACATGGGGCCTCGTTTACTGAACAATGGGCAGATGGTTATGCTTTTCAGAATCTTATCAAGCATCAGAAAAGGATAAATTCACAGAGGGAAGAGATAGACAACGGAAAATGTTAGCAAAGCGGAAACCTCCTGCCATGGGTCAGGACCCTCCTGCAACCAGTGAGCAGAAACAGTGGAAAAGCAGGACCAATGGAGCTGAAAATAAAACGTTAACATTAGCAGAATACCATGAACAAGAAGAAATCTTCAAACTCCGGTTAGGTCATCTTAAAAAGGAGGAAGCAGAGATCCAGGCAGAGCTGGAAAGGCTAGAAAGGGTTAGAAATCTACGTATCGGGGAACTAAAAAGGATACATAATGAAGATAACTCACAATTTAAAGATCATCCAATGCTAAATGACAGATATTTGTTGTTACATCTTTTGGATAGAGGAGGTTTCAGTAAAGTTTACAAGGCATTTGAACTAATAGAGCAAAGATACGTAGCTGTGAAAATTCACCAGTTAAATAAAAACTGGAGAGATGAGAAAAAGGAGAATTACCACAAGCATGCATGTAGGGAATACTGGATTCATAAAGAACTGGATCATCCCAGAATAATTAAGCTGTATGATTACTTTTCACTGGATACTGACTCATTTTGTACAGTGTTAGAATACTGTGAGGGAAATGATCTAAACTTCTATCTGAAACGGCACAAATTAATGTCAGAGAAAGAGGCCTGGTCCATTATCATGCAGACTGTAAATGCTTTAAAGTACTTAAATAAAATAAAACCTCCCATCATACACTATGACCTCAAACCAGGGAATATTCTTTTAGTAAATGGTACAGTGTGTGGAGAGAGAAAAATTACAGAGCTTGGTCTTTCGAAGATCATGGATGATGATAGCTACAATTCAGTGGGTGGCATGGAGCTGACATCACAAGGTGCTGGCACTTATTGCAATTTAACACCAGAGTTTTGTGGTTGAGAAAGAACCACCAAAGATCTCAAATAAAATTGTTGTGTGGTCGGTGGGTGTGATCTTCTATCAGTGTCTTTCTGGAGGGAAGCCTTTTGGCTATAACCAGTCTCAGCAAGACATCCTACAAGAGAATACTATTCTTAAAGCTGCTGAAGTGCAGTTCCCACCAAAATGAGTAGTAACACCTGAAGCAAAGGCGTTTATTTGACGATGTTTGGCCTACCAAAAGGAGGACTGCATTGATGCCCAGCAACTGGCCTGTGACCCCCTACTTGCTGCATTATATCCAAAAATTGGTCTTTGTGAGTAGCCCTGCTGGGGCTGCTATTGCATCAACCTTTGGGGTGTCCAACAGCTGTTCTTCGAATTGAGACTGACTCCAAGGCCACAAACTGTTCAACACACACAAAGTGGACAAATAGCATTTAGCAGCAGGTTTGGAACGTAGAGAATCTGAATGGATCTGATGAAACCTGAACCAGGTGCTTATTTTGTTGCTTTTTTCCCATCCACTGAGCATGACAGCATGGATTCTCTTTAAGGAGAAACCATGGGCAGCTCCAGCCAGGCCTCATAGGAAAAGGCCCGGCATGAGGTTCTGGCGTCAATGGCCACTGTGTATGGCTGCTCTGAGTGAGGAAAAAACTAAAAAGAAAAACTGGTTCCATGTACTGTGAACTTGAAAACATGCAGACTCACGGGGGTTCCTGATGCAATGCTTCAGATGAAGATTGTGGACTTGAAAATACAGACTAGAAGGCCGGGCACAGTGGCTCATGCCTGTAATCTCAGCACTTTGGGAGGCCAAGGAAGGTGGATCACAAGGTCAGGAGATCGAGACCATCCTGGCTAACACAGTGAAACCCCGTCTCTACTAAAAATACAAAAAAATTAGCCAGGCTTGGTGGTGGGCGCCTATAGTCCCAGCTACTTGGGAGACTGAGGCAGGAGAATGTCGTGAACCCGAGAGGCGGAGCTTGCAGTGAGCCGAGATCACGCCACTGCACTCCAGCCTGGGCGACAGAGTGACACTCCGTCTCAAAAATAAATATATAAATAAATAATAAATAAAAAAGAAAATACAGACTAGGCTAGTCCAGTGTCTATATTTAGACTTGTTCTTTTAATAAAGTTTAGGTAACATCTTCTAAAAAGTTTGTAGCACAAAGGCTCAGCTGGGGATGGTGTTTGACTTCGGGGGGAAAAAATGCTGTTGCCTATTAAAGACACTAGAGTTAGTGTTTTATCCCTAAATAATTTCAATTTTTAAAAACATGCAGCTTCCCTCTCCCCTTTTTTATATTTGAAAGAATTCATTTGGTTGTAAAGTGAAACCCATATTAGCAAGTACGTGGCAATGTTCATTCCAATCAGATGCAGCTTTCTCCTCTCTCTGGTCTCCTGTTTGCAATTGCTTCCCTCCTCAGTAGGGAAAAAATTGAGTGGGAGTACTGAGATGTGTGGGTTTTTGTCATTGGACAAAGAATGAGGTTAGAAGACTGTGGCTTGGAGTCTCTCTAGGTTTTCAACTATTTCTTCACAATTTGAATACCTGATGGTTGTCCCTTTTAATTTATTTGAAGTGCTATTTTTTTTTTAAAAATAAAGGTTCATCCATGCAAAAAAAAATTATATAGGTCTTTGGAAGTGGTTCTTAGGGCATACAGCAACTAACCACTACTTATTCAAGAAAAATCTACTAAAAGTCATTAGGAACAGTGAGAGTCTGTGGTATTTGAACCACAATCAGTGCCCTCCCGTCTTCCTCCCAGGTCAATATGACAAACTCTAAGTGGGTGCAGCCAAGAAAACAGAGCTCCCTTGCCTCCCAGCTCCCATTTGAGGGCAGTGGCATCTACATGGGAGGGGCAGGCTGCTAGTATTTCTCATACATCTCCTGCAAGTTGTTTAAGAGGCTAAATTGCAGGTTAGTACAGCTGAGGAGAAATCCCGGACTCCCTTCCACCCAGACCCCATTCACATGACACAGGCTCTATCTCAGGCATGGTGTCCTGAGAATATAGGGGCCCAGTTACCCTTACTTTGACTTAGTAGTGTGGAGGTTCCAAGCCAGAAGAGGAAAGCCTAGAAGACCAGCACCCTCTTACCCTCCCTACCCAGCACCCTTCTCCTAAAACACGGTTCCTAGAAATAATCATTCCACTCTCTCCACCTTAGCCTCTGGGGCATGGCTCAGAGATTTCACCAAGTGGGGAAAACAATTCATAAAATCAAGAGGTCAAAAACTCTGCTAATGAACTGACCTTATTTGAATGAGTGTACAGGAAAGGTCAAATCTAAGGGTACTCAAAAACGAGATTTTGATGAAAAACAAGAAGCAGCTGACAGCTTCAGTGAGAATTCCAAGCTAAACATAGGCCACGTGTTTACCAGAGGTGAACCAACGAAAGAGACAACTAATAATAGGCCCCCCTTGTGTCAGAACAAACCTCCAGTACTGACCTCAGAAGCTGTTCCTGTAGGAAGGCTTGTATGGCAAATTGTGGTTACGTGTGGTTAATTTTAGCTCTGAGCATGGTAGTGGCTACCCATCACCCGTGCCAGCAGCTTTGTATGTGTTCCTGAAGCAGCTTGCTGAAGCCAGGATAGGCATTAAGGACCCTGTCCTGCAAATATTGGGGAACTGTGCTCTAGTCACTGATTGCTCCTTCTGATCGTGGAGGTGCAGACACGGAGGTGTAAACACAGAGGTGAGCGGCTATTGTAACTCATTGCCATTGTTGCAAGTCCTTCCCCTTATTCACTGGAGAGATGCTCTTTTGATTTAATGAATTGCTTCCCCCCTGGCCTTCATCCCCCCTTCCTTGGCAAAATTTCTGAGCCATTCCCAGAGCCTAGGGTGGAGAAAGTGAAATAGTTCTTTCTAGCACCCATGTTTTAGATGAAGTAAATTCCTGAGGATTTAAAGACTTCGTGCTTTCCCCTTCATTTCTCTCTCTCTCTCTCTTTTTTTTTTTTTTTCCATTATCGGAACCAGAAATGTAAGGACTGGGACCTTTAGCAACCACGTATACAGAGGAATTTAGAAAGTTGCCACACATGCCCAGGAAAAGGTCCAGGCTCAGAAGTGACCTCAGAAGAGCTTAAGTTTACATCTCAGTCTAATCTTTCATATGCAGACACCCTGTAACTATTTTTTAAAAATAAATGAATGAGAACAAAAAGCCTAGCAAACCTTGGGTAATGGGGAGAATCTGATCTCCAGAGATACCACACCATAAATTTCAAATGTCCACTTTTCAACAACAACAAAAAAATCAAAAGATGAACAAAGAAACAAGAAAGTATGACTAATTGAAAGCAAAAAAGAAAAGAAACTGTCCCTGAAAAAGACCAGATTGTGGGCTTACCAGACAAATTAAAACACTGTCTTAAAGATGTTTAAAAAGCTAAAAGATAATGTGGACAAAGTCAAGAAAACTATAAACAAAATGGAAACATCAATAAAGATAGAGAAAACAAATTCTGGAGCTGAAAAGTACAACAACTTTGCTAGAGGGATTTAAAAGCATATTTGAGCAAGCAGAAGAATGAGTGAATTTGAAGATAGGGTCATTGAAATCAAATTTAAGGAAAGAAAAAAGACTGAAGCTGAGCGCGGTGGCTTATGACTATAATCCCAGCACTTTGGGAGGCTGAGGCAGGCAGATCACCTGAGGTTAGGAGTTGAGACTAGCCTGGCCAACATGGTGAAACTGTCTCTACTAAAAGTACAAAAATTAGCCATGCATGGTGGCATGTGCCTGTAATCCCAGCTATTTGGGAGGCTGAGGCAGGAGAATCGCTTGAACCCAGGAGGCAGAGGTTGCAGTGAGCCAAGATGATGCCACTGCACTGCAGCCTGGGGTACAGAACGAGACTCCATCTCAAAAAAAAAGTCTGAAAAAAAAATGAAGAAAGCCTAAGAGACATGTGGGACACCATCAAGTGGATGAATATATGCATTGTTCGGAGTGCCAGATAGAGAAAGCATAGAGATAATTTGGAGAAATAATTGGTGAAACATTTTAAAATTTGATGAAATATATAAATATAAACCTAGAAGAAACACAATAAACTTCAAGTAAGATAAAATCAAAGAGGCCCACACTGAGGCACATTATAATCAAACTGTCAAAGGCCAAAGACAAAGTTTTAGAGCAGCAAGAAAGAAGCAGCTTATACATAACATACATACATACAAGCCATTCTCAATAAAGTTATTAGCAGATTTCTTATCAGATCTTGGAGGCCAGAAGGCAGTGGGTTGAAATGTTCAAAATGCTGAAGGGAAAAACAAATCTGTCAGCAAACAATCCTGTATTTGGTAAAATTTTCTGTCAAAAGTGAGGCTGAAATTAAGACATTCCTGGATAAACAAAAGCTGAGGGAGTCTGATAGCAGTAGACCTGCCCTGCAAGAAAGCTGAAAAGAGTCCTTTAGGTTGAAATGAAAGGACACTAGACAGAAACTAATGCCATAAAAGAAATGAAGATATCTGATAAAGGTAAATGCACAGGGAGTTATAATACAAAGATGTATTACTGTAACTTTGGTTAGTAATTCCACTTTTTGATTTTTACATGATTTAAGAGACTAATGCGTAAAAATGTTTTGTGTCTCTGGACACAATGTATAAAGAAGTCATTTTTTGACATCAATAACTTAAAAAGTGGTGGGGACAGTGCTGTGTAGGAGCGGAGTTTTTTGTATGTTATTGAGGTTAAGCTAGTATAAATTTAATTTATAGTGTTATGACTTTAGGATGTTAAATGTAACAAAACAGCTGTAGAGAACACACATAAAAAGAAATGAGAAGGGAATTAAAAGATTTTACTAGCAAAAATCTACTAAAAAGAAAAGAGCTGTAATTCAGGAAATGAGGGACAAAAATGCTGTAAGACATAGAAAACAAAAGCGCAATGATAGATGTAGATCCTTCATTTTTGGTTATTACTTTAAATGTAAATGGCTTAAATTCTTCAATCAAAATCAGAATGGATTAAATAAAACCAAATGTGATTGAACAGTACTGTCTACAAGAGACTCAGGTTCTAATCTGTGTCCGAAGACACTAACGGGTTAAAAGTGAAAGAATGAAAAGAGATATCCCATGCAAGTTGTAAAAAGAGCAGGAGTGAGTGCAGTTGATCCTTGAACAATTGGTGGTGGGTTAGGGGCACTGACCCCCAACACAGAAACACACACAAACACATGCACACGCACATAACTTTGGCCTCCCCCAAAATGTAACTACTAGTGGCATACTATTGACCAGAAGACTTACCAATAACATAAACAGCTGATTAACATGTATTATGTATATGTATTATATACTATATTCTTAGAATAAAGTAAGGTAAAGAAAAAAAAATCGTAAGGAAGATAAAAATGTTTATTCATTAAGTGGAAGTGGATCATCATTAAGGTCTTCATCCTCATTGTCATCACATTGAATAGGCTGATGAGGAGGAGGGAGAGGAGGAGTCAGTCTTGCTTTCTCAGGGGTGGCAGAGGCAGAAGTGGAGGAGATGGAAGGGAGGCAGGAGAGGCAAACACACGTGGTATAACTTTCCAGAACTACATCATAATTTCTGTCTGATGCTTTTTGCTTTTCTAAAAAGGTATCTGTACAGTAACAGTCCTATTGTTTGTTTTGATTTCAGCACCTGTATTATAAAAGGGTCCATGTCATAAAAGAAGTTAAAAGCAGTCTCAAATAATTGGAAACCTTCTGCCAGACTGTCTAATGGCAGTTTGTTTTACGACATTGTTTCTTGTACGTTCTTCTACGTCTTACGCCTCATGGTCGGGCTTTGGAAGTGCTCATCTCTGTCAAGTCATCTGTTAATTCCTCTGTTGTGAAGTCTATGAGATCTTGAATTTCTCCAAGATCCATGTATTGAAATCTTTACTCTCCTGCTTCCACCACCTTTTTTTTTTTTTTTCTTTTTGCCATATCCACGATCTCTTTTATGATTTCCTTGATTGGCTCTGTCATAAATTCTGTGAAGTCATATACAACATCCGGATATAGTTTTCTCCAGAAGGAATTTATTGTTTTGGGGTCAATGGCTTCTATGGCTTTTTCTGTAACAGTCACGCCATCTTCAGTGCCAGTGGTGTCATCCTTCCAGTCTTTCATGGTGTTCTATCAGGGTTCTCTTCCATAGCATTAACCATCCTTCCATGGAGTACCATTGTAATGAACCTTAAAGTTCCTTATGCCCTCCTCATCTAGAGGCCGAATTAGAGACACTGTCTGGGGGCACATAGACCACTTTGATGTCTTTGATGTTGAACTGCTGGGGTTCTGGGTGGCCGGGGGCATGCTCAATATCAAAGGAGCTTCAAAAGGCAGCCCCTTACTAGAAAGGTATGTCCTGACTTCAGGGACAAAGCATGGTGAAACCTATCCAGAAAAATGGTTCTCACTGTCCAGGCCTTTGTATTGTGCAACCAAAAGACTGGAAGCTGATGTTTATCTTTTCTCTTCAAGGCTGGGTGTTAGCAGTTTTATAGATAAAGGCAGACCTAATCATAAACCCAGCTGCATTTGTACTAAAGTAGAGTTAGCCTTTCCCTTCCTGCCTTTAATCTTGGTGTCCATTTCTCTTCCTTAGTAACAAATGTCCTTTGTGGCACTTTTTTTTTTCCCAAAGACACTTTTGTCTACATTAAAGACCTGTTCAAGCAGATATCCTTCCTCCTCAATGATTTTCTTTCTTCCTTTTTTTGAGACAGGGTCTTGCTCTGTCACCCAGGCTGGAGTGCAGTGGAGCGGTCATGGCTCACTGCAGACTTGACCTCCTGGGATCAATCGATCCTCTCACCCCAGCCTCCCGAGTAGCTGGGACTAGAGGCATGTGCCACCATGACCGGCTAATTTTTGTATTTTTTAGTAGAGATGGAGTTTTGCCATGTTGCCCAGGCTGGTCTCGAACTCCTGGGCTCAAGCAATCTGCCTGCCTTGACTTCCCAAAGTGCTGGGATTACAGATGTAAGCCACTGCGCCAAACCCTCAGTGATTTTCTTAATGGCATCTGGGAACTTGTCTGCTGCGTCTTGGTTAGCAGAAGCAGATTCTTCTGTTATTGTGACTTTTTAATTTTTATTGTTTACTTTTTTTGACACAACATCTCACTGTCAGCCAGGCTGGAGTACAGTGGCATGATCACAGCTTACTTGCAGCCTTGACCTCCCTGGCTCAAACAATCCTCCCACCTCAGCTTCCCAAGCAGCTAGGACTACAGGGGCATGCCACCACACCTGACTAATATATATATATATATTTTTTTTTTTGTAGAGACAGGGTTTTGCCATGTTGCCCAGACTGGTCTTGAACTCTTGGGCTCAAGCAGTCTGTCCACTTCTGCCTCCCAAAGTGCTGGGATTACAGGCACGAGCCACTGCGCCTGGCCTAGAAATTTCTAAAGCCAAACATCTTTCTAAAACTATCAAGCCGTTCTTTGCTGGCTTTAAATTGTCTAGCTTTAAATCCTTCATGGTTTTTTTTATTTTTTATTTTATTTATTTATTTATTTTTTTGCTCTAAGTTGTCATATAACTTCACTATTTCTCAGATTGCATTAGAGTCTGTAGGTGTGCCTTATGGCAATCCTGCAGCCACATAAAAACTGCATTTTCAATATGAGATTACAAGGTATTTTGCTAAAAGTGCAAAGTTTTTGCACCTGTGGCACAGCTGCAGTGACAGCTTCATAAATTTTCTTTTTCTACAGTGGTTCTTACACTGGATTCAATTATCTTGAAACAGTGGGTAACCACAGCTGCACACCTCAATCTAAAGTACATATTAAGCAATCCATCTTTTTCTTGTAATATCATGACTTTTCTCTGCTTCTTGGGAGCACTTGCAGCATCACTAGTGGTACTTCATATGGGTCCAATAGTGTTATTCAGTGTTTATGGAAATGCACTAAAAATGATGAAAAATATGTGAAAACTGTAAGAGGTTACTTTTACTGTCATATGCAGTTTACTGGAGAAATGAACTGCTCACACAAAGATGATTAGCTTTACATGATATTTTAAGCGGATACTTCAGCTCACCACAATAGCAACAGGACTTGGCTCTGAAATTATTATAGTAGTATAGTATATACTACAGGTAATTTTATGCCATTATGATTGAATACTACCTCTTCACGTCTGTTAACATTTCTCTTGACAGCTAATGGTACCATGTACAGTCTTTATTTGTGTATGTTTTAATAAATTTTAGCTTTTTATAGGAAATTTGTGTATTTCTAGATAGTAAATGATAAAATAGACTAGTATCTTCAGATATTTTATACATTTATTTCATACCTCTTTTGCTTAATTTTTTCAGTATTTCTAGGCCACATGGTTTATCTGCAAGTTTTTTTCAAATTGTCACATATCTCCAAAAACTTTTCCAATATGTTGGAAAAACTCCATATATAACAGACCCATGCAGTTTAAACCCATGTTGTTCATGGGTCAACTGTATGTTAACATCAGACAAAATAGGCCTTAAATCAAAAAGGTCACAAGAGATAAAGAAGGATATTGTATGTTAATAAAATTCAATACAGCAAGAAGATATAGCAATAATGAACATTTATGCACCTAATAAGATAACATCAAAATAAATGAAGTGAAAATTGACAGAACTAAAGGGTAAAATAGACAGTTCTACTATAATAGTTGGAAACTTCAATATGTCGTTCCAATAATGGATAGAACAACCAGACAGAAGGTAAGGAAACACAGGACTTAAAAACACAATAAGCCAACTTGATTTAACAGACATCTAAGTTAAATTATGTTTGCAGTTCAATCAAGGTTAAGGTTATTTTTAGGGCCTAACTGGCTTTGTCTGCTCTGGGATTATCCAGACCTGGTCTGCATTTAAAAATTTGCTTCAATACTCCCTTTTAGGATCAAGTAGTACACAACACTATATCCAACAACAACTACTACAGAATACCTATTCTTCTCAAATGCACGTTAGTTATTCTCCAGGGTAAACCATATGTTAGGTCACAAATTAAGTCTCAATAGATTTTAAAAGATAGATATTATACAAAGTATATTCTACGACCACAACAGTATGAAGTTAGAAAATAATAATAAAAGGAAAACTGGAAAATTTATAAATTTGTGGAAATAATTTAAATAATATACCTTTAAACAACCCATAAGTAAAAGAAAAAAATCACAAGGGAAATTGAAAAATACTTAGAGATGACTGAAAACAGAAACAAAACATACAGAAACTTATGGGATGCAGCAAAAGTTGTGCTAAAGGGGATATTTATAGCTATAGGTGCTTACCTTTAAAAAGAAGAAAAATCTCAAATCAGTTATCTAACATTACATCTTAAGGACCCAGAAAAAGAGCTAACTGAAGGCTGGGAGCAGTGGCTTATGCCTGTAATTCCAGCACTTTGGGAGGCCAAGACTGGTGAATCACTTCAAGTCAGGAGTTCAAGACCAGCCTGGCCAAAATGGTGAAACCCTGTCTCTACTAAAAATACAAAAATTAGCCAGGCATGGTGGCGGGTGCCTGTAATCTCAGCTGCTTAGGAGCCTGCAGTGGGAGAATCACTTGAACCTGGGAGGTGGAGGCTGTAGTGAGCCAAGATCATGCCACTGCACTCCAGTCTCAGTGACAGAACTAGACTCCGTCTCAAAAATAAATAAACAATAAATAAAAAGAACTAAGCTCAAATGTATCAGAAGGAAGGAAATAAAGAGTAGGGCAGAGATAACAAAGAATAGAAAAACAATAGAGAAAATCAACTAAACCAAGAATTGGTTGTTTGAAAAGATCAACAACAAAATTGACAAACCCTTAGCTAACTAGACTAAGAAAATGACTCAAACTACTAAAATCAGAAATGAAGACAGGGATATAAATACTGATTCTACAGAAATAAAATACAAGAAAGTACTAAGAACAACTTACTACAACAAATTGGATAACATAGATGAAATGGCTCAATATCTAGGAACACAATATCATTGACATAAGTCAATACTGACTCATGAAGAAATAGAAAATTATGTAGGTACATAATTAATAAGGAGACTGCATCAGTAATGAAAAAAAAACTCTTGACAAAGAAATGCCCCAGACGTGATGCCTTCCTTGGTGAATTCTACCAAACATTTAAAGACCGACTAACATTAGTCTTTTTTAGGCTCTTCCAAAAAATTAAAATGAAGGGAACACTTCCAAATTTGTTCTGTGAGGTTAGTATTACTTTGATATCACAGCCATACAAAGATACTACATGAAAATGAAACTGCACAGTAATATCCCTTATGAACCCTAATGCAACAATCTTCAACAAATGCTACCAAACTGAGTTCAGGAACATGTTGAAAAGATTGTGTACCAGCTGGGTATGGTGGCTACTGCCTGTAATCTCAGCATTTTGGGAGGCCAAAGCAGGTGGATCACTTGAGGCCAGGAGTTTGAGACCAGCCTGGTCAACATGGCGAAACTCCATCTCTACTAAAAATTAAAAAAAATCAACCAGGTGTGGTGGGGTGTGCTTGTAATCCCAGCTACTCAGGAGGCTGAGGCAGGGGAATCGCTTGAACCTGGGCAGTGGAGGTTGCAGTGAGCTGAGATCACATCCCTGCACTCCACTCCAGCCTGGGTGACAGAGCGAGATTCTGTCTCAGAAAAAAAAAAAAAAAGAAAAAAGGTTATATACCATGACCAAGCAGGAATAAGAAAAAAAGATTATATATCATGACCAAGCAGGATTTTTTTCTGTTTATTTCTGTAATACAAGGATGACTCAACATATGAAAGCCACCTAATGTAATACATCACATTAATAGAATGGAGGGAAAAACATGAAAACATGATGTCAATTGATGAAGAGAAACCATTTGACATATTTCAACACTCTTTCATAATGAGCTATGCACATGTGATAAATCAACATGTGTAAGAAATAGAAGGAAACTACGTCAATGTAATAAAAACCATATATTAAAAATATACAGCTAATGTCGTACTCGGGTAAAAGACTGAAAGTTTATATTCAGCATAATATGGAAGTTCTAGCCTGAGCAATTAGGCAATAAAAAATAAATAAAAGGCATACAGATTGGACAGAAGTAATTTTTTTTGTTCTTATATGATTTTATATGTAGAAAACCCTAAAGAGTCCATCCACTAAAAATGGTTAGAATAAATGGACTCAGCAAAGGAGCAGAATACAAAATCAACACACAAAAATCAGTTGTGTTTGTATATACTAACAATAAAAAATCCTAAAAGGAAATTCAGAAAACAATTTCAGCATCAAAAAAGCTACATCAAGGAGGCAAAAGACTTGTACACTGAAAACTACAAAATGTTGCTGAAATGCATTAAAGAGTAAATGGAGATGTGTAAATCCATTCATGTACATTGATAGGAAGACTTAATATTGTTAAGATACTATATAGCACTACCCAAAGCAATCTACAGGTTCAATGCAATCTCTATCAAAATACCAAAGATGTTTTTGCAGTAGTAGAAAAATATATCCAAAAACTTCTATGGAATCCAAAGGGACCCCCGATAGTCAAAATAATTTTAATAAAGAACAACATTGGAGGTCTCGCACCCCTTGCTTTCACTCCTCCTGATTTCAAGAGTTATTACAAAGCTATAAATCATAATAGTGTAATAGTGTGGTGCTGCTATAAAGACAGATGTATAGAACAATGAAAAAGAATAGAAAGCCAAGAGGCCCTCAAAAATATGGGTAAATGGTTTTAGACACGGGTACCAAGACCATTTAATGGCAAGGACAGTCTTAAAAAAATGATGCTGGAGGGTGTGGCGGCACATACCTGTAATCCCAGCTACTCGGGAGGCTGAGACAGGAGAATCACTTGAACCTTGGAGGCGGAGTTTGCAGTGAGCAGAGACCGGGCCACTGCACTCCAGCTTGGGCAACAGAGTGAGACTCTGTCTCAAAAAAAGAAAAAAAAAATGCTGGGAAAACTGGGTATTGACATGCAAAAGAATGAAGTTGGATTTTTACCTAACACCATGTTCTCAAAGTAACTCAACATGGATTAAAGGCCTACATGTAAGAGTTAAGATTGTAAAGCTCCTAGAGGAAAACACAGGGGGAAAGCTTAATGACATTGGATTTGGTAATGATTTCTTGGATATGACACCAAAAGCACAAGCCACAAAAGAAAAAATAGACAAATTTTACTTTATCAAAATTTATAACGCTTTTATGTTTTTTAAAGGACACTATCAACAGAATGAAAAGGCAACACACAAAATGGGAAAAAATGTTTGCAAAACACATATTTGATAAGAGATTAATATTCAGAATATATAGATAACTCCTAAAACTCAACAACAACAAAATGAACAAATTGATTAAAAAATGGGCCAAGGACTTGAGTAGACATTAAAAAAAAAGATATTCAGATGGCCCATAAGCATATGAAAAGATAGTCAACATCACTAGTTATTAAGGAAATGCAAATTAAAACCACAATGAGATACCACCTAATCCTCAATGGAATGGCTACTATCAAAAGAAGGAAGGGAGGGAGAAAGAAAGGAGATGGAAAGAAAAAATATCAAGTGTAGTTGAGGATGTGGAGAAGTTGAAACTCTTGTGCATTGTTGATAGGAATGTAAAATGGTACAGCTGCTATGGAAAATGGTGCAGCTATTATGGCAGTTGCTCATAAAATTAGAATTACTATATGATCCAGCAATTCCACTTCTGAGTATATATCCAAAATAATTGAAAGCAGAGTCTGAAAGATATTTTCACACCCATGTTTATGGCAGCATTATTCACAAAAGCCAAAAAGTGAAAGCAACCCATGTGTCCCCTGATGGATGAATGGATAAACAAATTGTAGTATGTTCACACAGTGCAATATTGTTCAGATTGAAAGTGTTAAACATAACTTTACTATCTTGCTCAACAATTCTACTCCTAGAAATATACGCAAGAGAAATGAAAACAGATACTCAAATGCTTGTACACAAATGTTCATATGTACATGTTTGTACTGCATGTATTCATATTTGTCCTGCAAATGCAAGAATCTGAATACTGTACCATATGTATGTATACACACATATGCATATGTGTGTGTATCTATATATATAATATGCTATTGGTGAATATTCTTAACATTGTGTAGGTAACCACCCAACACTTTTTTTAGAATGATGCAAAAAGAGTATTATTACGTTAGAATATTTTATATAATTTCCCTATCCCAGAGAATGGCTCCATCATGCACATTGACCCAGTGATCCCTTATATACTCCTCTTACAAGAAAAACAGACATGATGAAAAATTTTGGAGAGTTTATTTGAGCGAACAGCGATTTGTAAATCAAGAAACACCAAACCAAAAGAAGCATAAGGGACAGGTTTTTACAGAGTGAATGTGGAAATAAAGAAAATATTTGATGGGTTACAGTTGTACAGTTTCCTTATTTGGTCTATTCCATTGGAAAGTCCCTAATTATGTAAGTTAGTTGGCTGCTTCTGATTGGTTTAGTATATATCATATATTTCTGATAACCTGCTTTAAATTCTGCTCTATCTGAAATTAATATGGCTATCCCCAGTTTCTTTTCATTAGTACTAGCATTCAGATATTCAATTGTACCAGCATCATTTATTGTACAGATCATCTTTTCCTATTGAATTACACTGGCAACTCAGTAGTATACTCTCTGCCTAGGTTCAGCCCATGTGGAGAAATGGTAAATGACCTAGTGAAGAAAAAGCTAGAAATCCTCAGGGTGCCCAGGCAAGGCTCCTCCTCTCTAGAATTGAATTTCTGTTATCCTCATTACTTCTACCACTCTCCGACATCTTTGAAAATACAAAAAATACAACTGTTATTATTTGTCTAGTTTTTTTCTAGGTGTTGAAGTGGGTGCATTGGCCTAATACAACTTAGTAACTATATCTTCTTTTAGGAGTGGAACACAGAATGACATAATATGATTCCTTCTAAATTAAAATAAAATTGTAATGAATCAGAATTTATAAGCTGATATACAAAATAAAGTATAAATAATGTTTATTATCATTATACAATTATTTAGCTATTAAAGAAGAATGAACTCCATTGCTTTAGTGCTTGTGAATGAACCATACTCTTATTTTATGGACTTGGAAACTTCGTCAATGATTTGATAACCCATCCTTGATATTAAGATTCACATTATTAATATCAGGCTGGGTGCCGTGGCTGACGCCTGTAATCCCAGCACTTTGGGCGACCTAGGCAGGGTGAGTGGATCACTCTAGCCCAGGAGTTCGAGACCAGCCTGGCCAACATGGCAAGACCTTGTCTCTACAAATAATTAAAAAATAATTAGCCAGGTATGGTGGCAGGTGCCTGTAGTCCTAACTATTCGGGAGGCTGAGGTGGGAGGATCACTTGAGCCGGGGAGGCGGAGGTTGCAGTGAGCCAAGATGGCAACACTGCACTCCAGTCTGGGTGACAGAGTGAGACCTTGTCTCAAATAAAGAAATAAATAAATACATAAAATAAATAAGATTCACTATTATAATTCAAATAATCATTTTAATAATATATAACTATGTTTTCTACTCAGTAATTAAGTAGTAATGCTAGTTACAAGATTGAAAAAGTATTCTTGAAAATCCTCAGTTTATGAACTGAAGTTTGATGTTATAACAAGATACATATTCAAACCACCACCCTCAGGTACAGTTAATGTAGTAGACTGCACTCTGAAATATCGCTTGAGCCGGGGAGGCGAAGGCGACAGTGAGCCGAGATCACGCCACTGCACTCCAGCCTGGGTGACAGAGAGAGAAACCCTGTCTCAAAAAAAAAAAAAAAAAAAGAAAAAGAAAAAGGAAACAAGTTTAGAGAGGTGAAGTGACTTACCCAAGATCATGTAACCAGCAGCTGCAGGAACCTAGTTTTCGAACTCTGTTCTCCATGTCTTCTTGTTCTTTTTAATTATCCACCATGTCTAAAACCCAACATTGTTATTCACAGCATTGAGAACTGATGTGCCTTCACAGGAAACTTGGCCCGTGTGTTTCCAGGATTCTTGATGTTTCTTCTGAGCTCCAGGGTCAGGCAGTATGATTGAAGTTTCTAAGCCAGGTAAGCCTTGTCCAGCATTTGTCCTTGGGGGACTTTGTTTGAATTCATGGATGGCCCAGGCCTTGATTCTCAGGGAAAGTGTGTTATCTGAAGGTCAGATTGAAGGTTCCAACTAAATTTACTTTGTCCCCTTGTCCCAGCATCCTTGGAATAAAGTAGCTTTTGAGGTAATAAGGAGTAGTCCCTAAGAACCCACGTGGAAGGTCACACTTCTGATCTGAGACCTTTCAGCAGAGCCTCAGAGCAGAGTGGAAAAGGCCAGGAAAGAGCATGTCTGGAACTGCCTGTTCACTGAAGACATTCTTGGCACTCCTGTACAGTTAAATAACACTTGGTGATGTCAGCACATGCAGAAACCATGGCAGACTGTCCAGTGGATGGGCTTTCAGGAAGAATTAGGCTGCCAGCATGAGCAAGGGGCAGGCAGCACAGGAGAGGACACGTCACTGCCCACTGTGAGGACTGTGAGGACACAGTCTGGGGAAGGCATCGCCTAGATGGGGAACTTGTCCCTGTGCTCCTCCATAAGCCTGCTCCCTTCCTGTCTACTCACTGTCTTTGCAGCCTGTGGAGATGCATCATTGTTCCTATTCTGATGTTACAAAAATCAAGTGACAGTGTTGTATAAAGGTCAAAAAATGGGCCTAGAAAATGTGACTTATTTAATCATTTCATTTGTTAGTGGCATACTCAGAAAATAACTAATTAGGGCTGAGCTCGGTGGCTCATGCCTGTAATCCCAGCACTCTGGGAGGCCGACATGGGAGGACTGCTTGAATCCAGGAATTCAAGACCAGCTTGGGCAACATAGTGAGACCCGGTCTCTACAAAAAAAAAGTATCTGGCTGTGGTGGTGCGCACTTGTAGTTCTCCTACTTAAGAGGCCGAGACTGGAGGATTACTTGAGCTTCAGCCCAGGAGTTCAAGGCTGCAGTGAGCTGTGAATCATACCACTGTGGTACAGCCCAGGCAACAGAGCCAGACCCTGTCTCAAAACAAAAAACAAAAAAGTCTAAGTGCCATCCAGTCTTAAACAATTAAGCCACATCAAGTTTTTAAAATTAAAAGATCCTTTTGAGAAACTGCAACTGAGTTAAAATAAACAACTAAAGCACCTGCGTCTGTTTTCTGGAAATGTTGAGGAGGATTTTCGAACTGAAGGGACAAGTACTATCATTAGGAAGGCTGAGAAACAGTACAGCCAGGGCATTTTTTTCCAGTGTTTTAATGACTGCGCAGTTTTTCTTTTCTGTATTGTAATTTGCTTGATTGATTCTCTGTTGTTTTAAATTTTTCTTTTAGCCAATGGGAGGGGAACATGCATTTTTTATGAATTAGTAGGAAATATTTACAGTGATCTAATGAAAAATTGCATGTCTAAACTTTTGGTGACCTGTCAGAGTCAGCATGGACACGTGGGTGTTCCTCCACAGCGTCTCTCCTGTTCTTAGGGTTAAAGGGACATTCCCCCCAGGGACCTTGCATGCAAGTTTTCTAGGCAGGTGAGTCTGCAAGCTTCATGGCAGCCAGGTTGCACAGGATCTCATTCTCTTTCCTTCTTCCCCAGCTTTACCTTTATAATTCTCTTCCATTCTCCATGAGTAACAAGAAACGAACAGATCCCAGGCGAGTTGTTTATTCCCACTTTGTTTTACAATGGACTTTGTGAGATTTATAAGGGAACAGAAATTAAAATAGAAAAAACAGAAATAGATAAAACTCAACATCAGGGAAACTATAAAGTAGCAGGTCAGTAACTGAGCAAAGTCAGTTTTCAATACATGCAGGTCCTATAATGTCCCAGATTATCGAAGCTGAGCTGCAGATTTTTGATCTTTCTCATCAAAAATCCTCTGATCTTTCTGACAGCAAAAGAGAATTCAAAGAGAAGTCTTTCAGGAGATTAAAACATTGAGGTTCAAGTGGACAGTTTTTCAGTGGTCTTGCTTCATCCAGAGATAAGATTCAGAGTATCCAGAAGAAGGCTGAATGGTCTGCATGCCCTTAACATAGCTCTGCTTGAACAATTCCCTCCTTTCATCTGTGGTACTGCACATGAAACTGTCACTCACTCTGCTTCCTTGCTGACACTTGGTGTTGTCAGACTTTAGACTTCTTGCCAATCTAACTTCTGTGAAAACCCTGTCATTTTAATATGCATTTTTCAGATTACTAATGAGCTTATATATCCTATATTTATGGGTTTTTTGTAAACAAATTACTATTTTTGAATCATTTTTCTATATTATTTTTAAGGCTCTTGTATATATTTTGGAGAATAATTCTATGTGTATTATATTTGTTACCAACTCTCCAAGTTTTTCTCTTGCATTTTATTTATACAGTGCCTTTGGCTTTATGAGAATATTTTTATCTAGGCTGATCTGTTGATTTTTTTGTAATTGATTTTTTAAAATCTTAAAGTTCTTATTTAATTCAATATAATGTTTTTTTTTTGAGACGGAGTCTTGCTGTGTCACCCAGGCTGGAGTGCAGTGGCGCAGTCTCAGCTCACTGCAACCTCCCACTCCTGGGTTCAAGGGATTCTCGTGCCTCAGCCTCCTGAGTAGCTGGGTCTACAGGTGCATGCCACCACGTCCAGCTAATTTTTTTTATTTTTCATAGAGATGGGGTTTCACCATGTTAGCCAGGATGGTCTCGATCTCCTGACCTCATTATCTGCCTGCCTCAGCCTCCCAAGGTGCTGGGATTATAGGCGTGAGCCACTGTGCCCAGCAAATATAATGATATTTTTTTAAAAATGTTGTTTAGGCCGGGCACAGTGGCTCATGTCTGTAATCCCAGCACTTTGGGAGGCCGAGGCAGGCAGATCACCTGAGGTTGGGAGTTCGAGATCAGCCTGGCCAATATGGTGAAACCCCATCTCTACTAAAAATACAAAAATTAGCTGGGTGTAGTGGCAGATGCCTGTAATCCCAGCTAGTTGGGAGGCTGAGGCAGGAGAATCACTTGAACCAGGGAGGCAGAGGTTGCAGTGAGCCAAGATCGTGCCACTGCACTCCACCTTGGGTGACAGAGAGAGACTCCATCTCAAAAAAAAAAAAAGAAAAAATGTTGTTTAATGTTTATACACTGCTGGTGGGAATGTAAATTAGTTCAGCCACTGTGGAAAGCAGTTTAGCGATTTCTCAAAGAACTTAAAACAGAACTACCATTCTACCTAGCAACCCCATTAGTGGGTATATACCCAAAGGAATATAAGTCATTCTGCCATAAAGACACATGCACACATATGTTCATTGCAGCACTATTCACAATAGCAAAGACATGGAATCAACCTAAATATCAATCAACAGTAGACTGGATAAAGAATATATTGTACATATACACCATGAAATACTATGCAGCCATAAAAATGAATGAGATCATGTCTTTTGCAGCAACAAAAGGTGGAGCTGGAGGCCATTATCCTGAGTGAACTAACACAGGAACAGAAAACCAAATACTATATATTCTTACTTATAAGAGGGAGCTAGACATTGAGTACACATGAACACAATGAAAGGAACAATAGACACTGGGGACTGTTTGAGGGTAGAGGATAAGAGGAGGGTGAGTGTCAAAAAACTACCTATGGAGTACTATGCTTATTACCTGGGTGACAAAATAATCTGTAAACCAAATCTTCATGACATGCAACTTACCTATATAACAAACCCGTACATGTACCCCTGAACCTAAAATAAAAGTTTTTTAAATTTTCAAATTAATGTACTATGTCTGGTGTTTTCTTTTTTCTTTCTTTTCTTTTTTTATTTTTATTTTTGATAGAGACAGAGTCTCATTATGTTGCCCAGGTGTGTCTTGAACTCTTGGGCTCAAGCAATCCTCCTACCTCAGCCTCCCAAAGTGCTGGGAAAACAAGCATGAGCCACCACACCTGGCCTACTTCTAGTATTTTTTAATACTAGAAAAATATTTAAGTCTTGAATCAATCTGGAACTCATTATTGTAGATAATATGAGGACAAATCTAATTTTACTTTTTTCCACATAACACCAGTTGCAACCAACCCTAGTTATTAGCGTTTTTCTCCAGTGAATTATAATGCCACAGTTATCATTACATGTATTACTATGTCTGTGTGTATTTTTTCTTCCATTCATCCTTAATTAATTCTCCATTAGGTTCGTCTTGTCCTGTCTCACCCTTCTTACGAGTCTTACTGAGTGTAAGCTGGCATCCTAACCTTGCACCTGATTTTCAGAGATAAGTCAGGAAGTGTTAGCAAACACTGGAATTTTTCTTTTTTTGGAGACAAAGTCTCGCTCTGTCACCAGACTGGAGTGCAGTGGCGCGATCTCAGCTCACTGCAACCTCTGCCTCCCACGTTCAAGCAATTCTCCTGCTTCAGCCTCCTGAGTAACTGGGACTACAGGCGTGCGCAATCACGCTCAACTAATTTTTGTATTTTTAGTAGAGATGGGGTATCACTGTGTTGGCCAGGATGGTCTCGATCTCTTGACCTTGTGGTTTATAGTTTTTCTGGTTTTCTAATAACTCTGGTCCAATTTTGGATACACATTTATTTTATTTTTTCACATACTTATTTTAAAATTGTACATTTTTTAGGTTTTTTATTATATATTAATCTTTAAAAGGCATGATTCTTAAAATCTTTAATCTGTAGTTAATGTTAATTTTTCATTCCAGTTTTTATCAGTTATTATATTGCACTTTAATAAGGAAGCTGTTGATTAGAAAATGAAAACTGTCTTCTGGCTGGTCAAACATCTGAAGACCTAAAATGTTAGCATGTACATACAGGGTTGGCATTTTCAGATGGAGATGTCATTCTTTAAATACTCTGCAAGGAGAAGACATGTACACTTGACCTAACAGGGCCAGCTATTACTAGATACTATATAGCAAACTGTGATGATTTATTTTTATTTTTCTGTGTGTGCATATAGGTTGGGCAATGTACTTACATTTTGAAAAATTAATACAATATAAACAATATAAATCATACACAATGTGAATTCTGACTTCTATACCTGTTCCATCACCACCCTCCCCTTCTAGGGAATTATAGGGAACAAAGTTTTTACATGTGCATTTTTTTCATTTTTTTAATGCAGACAAGTAAATTAGGTTTTATATCAATCTACCTACCTGCATGTATATATGTGTATACATATATGTTTGTGTCCACACATAATATATATTTTTACCCCTTTCTTGTTATGTTTGTATTCATGTGAATATACATGTACATGTGTATCTGTGTATATATTTCTACACTCTTCTTACACAAAGGATAGAACACTATATACCTTGTCCTTTAATTTTTACATATAACAGTATATACTGGAGATCTTTCCAAATTAGTGCACATGGAAATTCCTCATTGTTTTATTAACATTTTTTTATTGAGATGAAAGTCACATACCACAACATCCACTAGTTTTTAGTATATTCATATAGTTGTACAACCATCACTCCTATCTGAATTCCAGAACATTTTCATCACTCTCAAAAGAAACCCCATAGCCATCAGCAGTCACTCCCCTAGGCAACCACTAATTGGCTTTTTGTTTGTGTAAATTTGCCTATTCTGTATATTTCATATAAATGGAATTATATAATTTGTCACCTTTGGTGTCCGACTTCTTTCACTTAGCATAATATTTTCAAGATTCATTTATTGTAGCATGTCTCAGTACTTTATTCATTGTTAAAGCTGTGTTGTATTACATTGTACAGATATACCAAATTTAGTTTATCTATTATCAGTTTGTAGACATTTGGATTGTTTCCACCTTTTGGCTATTATGAGATGGAAGCAATGCTGCTGTGCGTTTGTGTATACATTTTTGCATGAAAATATGGTTTTAATTCTCTGGATATATACCTAGGAGTAGACTTGCTGAGTCATATACTAACTCTCAAATTTAACTTTTTGAGGAACTACCAAACTATTTATTAAAGAGGAAGCACCATTTTGCATTCTAATCAACAATGTGCATGAGGGATTTAACTTCTCTACATCTCACCAATACTTGTTTTTGGTCCATCTTTTTTATTACAGCTTTTCTAGTGGGTGTGAAAGGAGATCTCATTGTGATTTTGAGTTGATTTTCCCTAATGACTAAAGCTGTTGAACATCTTTACATGGGCTTGTTGGCCATTAGTGTTATCTTCTTTTGAGAAATTTCTATTCATATCCTTTGCCTGCTTTTTAATTGGGCTGTCTTTTTGTTGTTGGGATATAAGAATTTTTTTAAAAATATATTTGGATACCAGACCCTTGTCAGATATGTAATTTACAAATACTTTTTCCCATTCTGTGGGATGTCTTTTCACTTTTTTGATGGTATCTTAGGAAGCACAAAAGTTTTAATTTTGTTGATGTTCAATTTATTCATTTTTTCTTTGGTAGCTCATGCTTTGGGTGTCATATCTAAGAAACCACTACCTAATCTAAAATTAATCTAAGATTTTGCCCTATGTTTTCCTCAAGGGGTTTTAAAGTATTAGCTCTTTCATTTAGGTCTTTGATCAATTTTGAGTTGATTTATATATGTATATCATGAGGTAGGGGGTCCAACTTCATTCCTGAAGCCTCCTGAAACATATCTAGATCTTTGTTTAAAGCGTAATTTACGTCCCCAGATACTTTGAATGTTTAACTTCAATTGCTTTCAAGAAACTATTCTTTACTACTCTAAGTTGTATGTCTTTAGACAAGTTTCTTAATCTTTATATGCCTTAGCTTCCTCATCTGTAAAACAGGGATAATAATATAACCTATCTCAAAGGGTTGTGAGGATTAAATCAGTTAGACTTAATTACTATTAGATGTTATAATTCTCTCCTTTCTTATCTTCCATTTGCAGTTAGGGGCTCTAGAAAAAAAAAACTATATTTGTTGATGCATGAGGTTTCTTTTTCTCACCTTGCTTATAATTCTGCTATATAACTGCCTCTATTTTTGTCTTCCTAATGTTTATGTGTAACTGATATTCTAATTGATTGATGGAGGAGCCAGTTGAGGGAGAGATATTTTTCTGTTCTCCCCCAAAATGGTAGAAACTACAGATGTGTGAACCAAGATGTAAAATCGAATTAAACAATATTATTTTACAAATACTTTTTTTGCAAAAAAAAAAAAGGTAACCTAGAATACTGAAAGGGGGAAAATGGGATTTGGTGATTAGGATTGGCTTATTACTAAACAACTCTGATAGACTAAGATGACTATATCAGCACTCATAAAAAGCTGTGAACCTAGTCTTGACACAACGATAGATCATCATTTGGTGTATTTATTCCTTACAAGTATTAAAGATTTGCCAGGTATTGTGGCTGATGCTTGTAATTCCAGCACTTTCGGAGGCTGAGGTGGGTGGATCACTTGAGGACAGGAGTTGGAGACCAACATGGCCAATGTGGTGAAACCCTGTCTTTAATAAAAATACAAAAAAAAAAAGCCAGCTGTAGGGGTGCATGCCTGTAATCCCAGCTACCCGGGAGGCTGAGGCACAAGAATTGCTTGAACCCAGGAGTCAGAGGTTGCAATGAGCCAAGATTGTGCCACTGCACTCCAGCCTGGGTGACAGAGCAAGACTGTCAAAAAAAAAAAAAAAGTATTATAAAGATTTGTGTTTGGAGAACACCACAGGTATTTCTATTTATTGCTTGCTTCCCCCCCTTTTATTATTACAAAATATTATTTCCCATAGTTAGATATATCAGTTAATCAAATAGACAGACTATAACCAATTAAGAAGAATTTGCATTTTCTTCCTGAGAGAAATGTATTTGAAGCCAAAGCTTAGCCACATTTAAGTGCAATTGTATAACCAATTCATAACAAACGTAAAATTCACCAGATGTGATTAATTTTCTTCTATTCTAGAAAAAGTCTGGGGACTCCAGAATATTCAACACCAGCAACCCAGACAGGTTATATTAATAAAAAACAAAATAATGATTAATCATAAAAAGACTTTACGTGGAAGGCATTTAATATTGGTATTAATCTTGTTGATTCAAGAAAAGTACTCTATCAGTAATATGATTCATATGATAAAAATTTGAAATATATTTCAGAATTAATGATTAGTAATAGAAACTGCATGAGAAAGGTGCCTCATGAATGTGATATATGTGGGAAGTGACATTGCATTTAAACTTGAGGAAACATCTACTGAAATTAAACCTCATGAATACAATCAAAATGGAAAGGATATCAGTCATAATGAATACTGTGTTCAGCTTCAAATTTTGGGGCCACACTAAGGATTTAATGAATATGGAAAAGACTTTTATAAGGCAGACTCTGGCAGCCAAAAGAGATCTCATGTTGGGAGAGGGGGAAAAAAAAACGCTTTTTGAATTTAATGACTGTGAAAGCACTTTCTTCCAAAAGTCAGTTGTCAGGATATATGAGAGAACTGAAATAGAAAGTAAGCGCATGAAAGCAATGAACATGGCAATCCTGCACAGTGTCAAAAAAATTATATCAAACAGCACATACAGGGGAGAGCCTCTTTGAATATGGTTCATTTGGGAAGACCTTTGGTTACTCATCAACAATTATTATACATCAAAGAAGTCAATCAAAGTAGACATCTCATGATTATCCTCAGTGTATGAAAACTATAATTGAACCATCACATTCTACTGTACGTACATCAGAGAGCTCCTACAGGACAAGAACCCAATGAATATAATGAATGTAAACAAGCAATTAAGATTTCAAACTTTAAGAGAATTGACACAGTAGAGAAACTTTATGAGTTTACTGAGTGTAGAAATGCCTTACACAAAAAGTTCCACTTTACCCATTATCAGAGAACTCACATAGAAATCTTGTGAAAGTAGTCAGTGTGGCAGAACCTTCAACAAAAAGTCTTATCTCACAAAACATCACAGGCTACACACAGGGGAGAATCCCTATGAATGTAGTGAATGTGGCAAAGCCTTTTATAGTAAGGTACATCTCACTAGACATCAGAGAATACACATAGGGGAGAAGCCCTCTGAATGTGCTGAGTGTGAGAAAACTTCCTGTGTGACATCAACACTGAGTGTGCATCAGAGAACACACATGGGAGAAACCTTATGAATGTACTGAATGTGGGACAATCTTTAACCACAAGTCAACACTCACTGAACATCAGAGAACACACACAGGAGAAACTATGAATGTACTAAATGTAGGATAACCTTTTTTGCAAAGTTAAAACTCATTGGACAACAAAGAATACACACTGGGGAAAAACCTTATGAATGTATCAGATGTGGGAAAACTTTCAGTGGTAATTCATGCCTCACAGTACATCAGAGAAAACACACGGGGGAGAAACCCTATGAATGTACCGACTGAGAAAACCAGTAGCAATTTAAATCTCACACTACATCAGAGAACAGATACAAGAGAGAAACCCTATGAATGTACTGAATGTGGGAAAACCTACACTCACAAATCAAGTCTCAATGAACATTGTAGAATATAGGGCAAAAGCTCTGTGAATGTAATAAATGTGACACATCATTGTGCCACAGTTCAGTCCTTACTAAATGTCAGAGAATTCAAAGAGGAAAGAAGCACTGTAAGTATAATGAATGTAAGAAATCCTTTTGCTAGAAGACAAACTCTGTGGTACATCAGATAGCACACATAGCGGAAAATGTCTTTTAAATGTTGAAAATGTCTTAAATATTGAAACTCCAAAATTAAATCCATAAACCAAACTCATTATATATGAGAGAACTGATGAAATGCAGCCGTGAACATCAAATAATCATAATCAACAAATCAATAAAAAAAACCTTGTATATATAAGCATAATTACTTGTACATCAAATTATTAGTCTAGGATTTAAACCTTATGGACAGTTGGTATTAACATTTGACAAGATTTAAAAAAATTATACATCTGAGAATCCATTTTTAGGGATCTTAACGTGGAAAAACATATTAAAAAGAAATGTCATCACAGTTTTTGCATCAGATGTGATGTGAAATATTTTATAGCATAAAGCCAACATTCTTATATGTATATGTGTACACGCATATATACACGGAAAAGTAGGAAATCCTTTAAAATTTGGATAAGTTTAATGATCAAGAAAATAGAAATAAACATATAAGGTCTCTGAGATCTATATGCATATGTTGCATCACAGGAATTATGCACATATTGGATTTGCATATGTGATTCCAGAATAAGTGGGTATAGAATGAATATATTTGCCCTTAATATAATCATTAGAACTAGACCCACTGAATTCTCCACACCACTTTGCCTTAATATCTTTCAACACTTTTATTTATTTTATCTGACAAATGTAAAATGTTATATTTGATACCCTTTCTTCAACATTTTTTTGGCCTAATTAGATGGTATTGGCCATTGGTATCGAACCACATCTTTAATAAAGAATCTGTGTTTATTGTTATTTGTGTTTGTTTATGTTTCCATCTGCTTTATTGAAATAAAAGTTTTATTTTTGAATAATTTTTTTTTAGACAGAGTCTCTCTCTGTCACCCAGGCTGGAGTGCAGTGGCGTGATCTCGGCTCACTGCAACCTCCGCTTCCCAGGTTCAAGCAATTCTGCTGCCTCAGCCTCCCGAGTAGCTGGGACTACAGGCATGTGCCACCATGCCTGGGTAATTTTTTTTGTATTTTTAGTAGAGATGGGGTTTCACCATGTTGGCCAAACCGGTCTTGATCTCCTGACCTTGTGATCCGCCTGCCGCAGCCTCCCAAAGTGCTGGGATTACAGGTGTGAGCCACCGCGCCCGGCCAATATTTTTAAATTCAGAGAAAGTTTCAATGATAATAGATTTCTCGTACACCTTTCACCCAGTTCCCATGATGTTATCATTATATACAACCTTGGCATATACGTCAAAATAAGAAATTAACATGGGTACAACACTATTAATGAAAAATTTTGTTTGGATTTCACCAGTTTCTGTTAATGGTGTTTTTCTGTAGACTGGCATCCAGTCTAGGATGCCACATTGTGTTTAGTTGTTATATCAGTTTTTCTGTCTTTTTCAAGACCCTGGCACTTACGAAGAATACTGGTCAAATGTTTTGTAGAATGTCTTTCAATCTGTGACTGCCTAATGTTTTCTTACAATCATACTGGGGTTATGGAATTTGGGGAATAATACCACAGAGATTAGGTACCCTAATTGCATCATATGATGGTGTGCATGATACCAACATGACTGTTGGCTGATGGTGCTAACTTTGATCACTTGATTAAGGTGGTGTCTGTCTGGTTTCTCACCTGTAAAGTTACAGTGTTTTCCTTTCCATACTCTTGTTTTTTGGAAGTGAGTTGCTAAGTCCAGCTCATACTCTAGGCATGAAGAGTTAAGCTTCACCCCTTGGAGTGGGGATAAATACATATATTATTTCTAGTCTTCCAAAAGGAAGGTTTGTTCTTTCTCATTTGTTTATCTGTTTATTCAGCCATTTATGTCAATGTGGCCTCATGGATATTTATTTTATTCTTGACATTACTCCTTTTGTTGCTCAGTTTGTTTCAGCTTTGGCCACTGGAAGTTTATAGGGAAACAGTTCCATGATGGCACCCTGGCAGTCTTACATGTCTCCATACATGGCCACATAGGACAGGCTCAACTGCAGGCTGACCTGTGTCTTGGCAGGTAGTGAGGAGCTATCATGAAATTACATCTCATTCACCTCCCTATCTTGTGGGAGGCAGTTTCTCATCTGCCTCTCTGGTCCCAGGCATGAGACTTTGTACCTTGTCACCCTCCTCCATGGGTAGATCTGCAAGCTATAAAACCACTTAACTGTGGTCTAGAATTAGCTCTTCTGCAAGAGAGTATCCCAGCTACTCATGCTGCCCATCCTATGGCCCTTTTATTCTTGGTATCATCCTGTGGGAGAGGAGATAAAGGCAGCTGACACTATGGTGATCTTGCGTATGTGGTCTATGTAAGGCATAAACTGTTTCAGTCCATTTGTGCTTGCTTTGTTCTTACCAGCCAATAGCTGCAGTAGTCACTGCTGCTTAGAGACTGCTTGAGAGAGCTCTTTCAGGTTGGCTTCTGGGTTCTTTCAACATGCTCCCAACCTTTTGTTGTTAAAGGAATTAAAATGTTTATTGCATTTATAAGGTTAATTTTTATTCAAATGGCTTTCTTCTTTTTGTCTTTTGTTGCTGCTTTTAATTATTTGGAGAAGGTTATATGCTTTTCATAATGACATCCCACTGAAATCCATCTGTCTCCCACTTCCCTGTTGTGGGGTGGCTATTTCAAGTTCATCAGATAAGCCAGAAGCTAATCTCCACCTCTTCAATTGGTATATGAAAAACAGAAAAAGTCCCATACAAAAGAGTATACCTGAAAACGAATATACCTGAAAGTAATAGTGTGCTAAAACTGCCAAGGCTTTACTCACATTTTTGTATCAGTGTATTCACATCTAGCATAATAAATGACCATTAACATATTGTGGAAATAAATAACAAAGGCCGGGCACGGTGGCTCACACCTGTAATCCCAGCACTTTGGGAGGCCGAGGTAGGTGGATCACGAGGTCAGGAGATTGAAACCATCCTGGCTAACATGGTGAAACCCCGTCTCTACTAAAAATACAAAAAAATTAGCCGGTCGTGGTGGCGGGTGCCTGCAGTCTCAGCTACTTGGGAGGCTGAGGCAGGAGAATGGCGTGAACCCGGGAAGCAGGTTCAGATCGCACCACTGCACTACAGCCTGGGAGACAGAGTGAGACTCTGTCTCAAAAAAAAAAAAAAAAAAAAAAAAAAAAAGAAATAACAAAGTATAAGAGAAACAAAAACATAGACCATTTTTCAGCCCCAAGGTGGGAACTTGACTGTTGTCATGTCAGAGCTAAACTACACTTCTAGTACACTTTTTTTTTTTTTTTTAAGATAATGGGGTCTCAGTCTCTTGCCCAGGCCAGACTGCAGTTGTTCAATCATGGCTCACTGCAGCCTTGACCTTCTGGCCTCAAGCAATGTTCCTATCTCAGCCTCCCATGTAGCTGGAGCTACAGGAGTGCACACTCACACTTGGCTAACTTTTTTTATTTTTTATTTTTATTTTTTTAAAAAATTATTTATTTATTTATTTATTTATTTAGAGACGGAGCCTCGCTCTGTCGCCAGGCTGGAGTGCAGTGATGCCATCTCGGCTCACTGCAACCACTGCCTCCCAGGTTCAAGAGATTCTCCTGCCTCAGCCTCCCGAGTAGCTGAGACTACAGGCGTGCGCCACTACGCCCAGCTAATTTTGGTATTTTTAGTAGAAACGGGGTTTCACCATGTTGGCCAGGATGGTCTCGATCTCTTGACCTCGTGATCTGCCCGTCTCAGCCTCCTAAAGTGCTTGATTACAGGCGTGAGCCACTGTGCCCGGCCTAACTTTTTATTTTGTAGAGACAGCGTCTCCCTATGTTGCACAGGCTGGTCTTGAACTCCCAGGCTCAAGCGATTTTCCAGCCTCAGCCTCCCAAAATGCTGGATTACAGGCATGAGCCACCATTCCCAGCCCTAGTTACTTTTTTTTTTTTTTTTTTTTGACACAGAGTCTTGCTCTGTCACCCAGGCTGGAGTGCAGTGGCGCGATCTCGGCTCACTGCAAGCTCCGCCTCCCGGGTTCACGCCATTCTCCTGCCTCAGCCTGCCGAGTAGTTGGGACTGCAGGCACCTGCCACCGCGCCTGTCTCATTTTTTTTTTTTTTTTGTATTTTCAGTAGAGACGGGGTTTCACTGTGTTAGCCAGGATGGTCTTGATCTCCTGACCTTGTGATCCGCCCACCTCAGCCTCCCAAAGTGTTGGGATTACAGGCATGAGCCATGGCGCCCGGCCCCAGGCAGGTTTTAAGTACAATTGAAAGAAAAGATAAAGCTTGTGGTTCATTCATCCACTTCCTACTAGAGTGGAAGTAGTGTCCTAAAACTTCAGGTGTTCTTAGTAAACTAAGCTGGAGGAATTTTTCCCTTGTTCTAGTCCAGAGCAAATATTTGTTTATTGAGAAATATATAACTCCTTCCCCTATCTGTGTTAGTCACCTGTAAAGAGATGAATACAGGCTAGTATCCTGTTCCTCTAGGCTTCTCAGTCAACACAGCTGATGTTATAGAGTTCATATTTTCTGAGAAGAAACTTTTTTACAATAAAGGTACCAGAGAGAGGCTGAATGCCATCAGCTGTGTGTACTTGGGTACATTTTTGGATGAGTAAGCTAATAAATTATCTGTTGTTCTATAATTATGTTTTACCTTGCCTGAGAGAAAAAGATCTTCATTGCCCTGTCCCTTGAAAGCACTGAGAAGGGGTTATCAAAAAAGACACTTCTGAAAATGGCTTATCTTTCTAGATTACCATAAAACACCATTTTAGTTGATACTGATATTCAGCAGACACCTTTTGAGCTCTTCCTGAAATGTTTGCCCTCTCCACCTAACAATAAGTTTATGGAGTCTGAAAAATTACTCTGTAGAGGGCATTTTTGCTCAAAGCAGTCTCCATTGGCTTTTTAGCAGTTTTTTTTTTTGAGATATAATTTATGTAACTTAACATTCATCCACTGTGTACAATTCAGTGATATATATTAAATTTTAAGAGTTGTGCAAACATCGCCACAATCCAATTTTACATTTATATCACCCAAAAACATTCCTTCACGCCAATATGCTGTCAGTCCCCACTCTAACTCCCAGCCAATCACTGATCTGCCCTGTGTCTATAAAATTGTCTTTCAGCCTGGCCAACATGATGAAACCCCATCTCTAACAAAAATGTAAACTTTAGCCGGGGATGGAGGCATGTGCCTGTAGTCCCAGCTGCTTAGGAGGCTGAGGTGGGAGAATCGCTTGAACCCAGGAAGCAGAGGTTGCAGTGAGCCAACGTTGTGCCACTGCACTCCAGCCTGGGAGACAAAGTGAGACCCTGTCTCAAAAAAAAAAAAAGTCTTTCTAGACATTCATATAAATATTTAGTCTTGTATGTCTAACTCCTTTTATTTAACAAAATGATTGTTTTAGTTTCATCCATATTGTAGGGGTTCCAGTTTCTCCATATCCTCAACATCATTTGTTATTGTCTGTTTTTATAATAACTATTCTAGTAATTATGTAGTGGTATCTTATTGTATGTTTAATTTGTACTTCTCTAGTGACTAATGATGTTTGCTTTGTTTGCATTTGTGTATTTTCTTTATTTTTTGAGACAGAGTCTCGTTCCATCACCCAGGCTGGAGTGCAGTGGTGGCTTCATGGCTCACTGCAACCTCCACCTCCCAGGCTTAAGTGATTCTCCTGCCTCAGTCTCCTGAGTAGCTAGGATTACAGGCACATGCCACCAAGCCTGGGTAATTTTTGTATTCTTGGTAGAGATGGGGTTTCACCATGTTGACCAGGTTAGTCTTGAACTCCTGACCTCAGGTGATCCACCTGCCTCAGCCTCCCAAAGTGCTGGGATTACAGGTGTGAGCCACCGTGTCTGGCCCTTGCATTTGTATATTTTCTTTGATAAATGTCTCATTCAAGTCTTTTGCATGTTTTCTTTTTTTTTTTTTTTTTTTAAGATGGAGTCTCACTGTTGCCCAGGATAGGGTGCAGCGGCACGATCTTGGCTCACTGCAACCTCCACCTCCTGGGTTCAAGCGATTCTCCTGCCTCAGCCTCCTGAGTAGCTGGGACTATAGGCACCCACCACTACACCTGGCTAATTTTTTATTAGTAGAGATGGGGTTTTACCATGTTGGCCAGGCTGGTCTTGAACTCCTGACCTCAGGTGATCTGCCCGCCTCAGCCTCCCAAAGTGCTGGGATTACAGACTTGAGCCACCATGCCTGGCCAAGTTGTAAGTCTTTATATATTCAAATTATGAGACTTATCAGAAATATTACTTGCAAATATTTTCTACTAATATATGGCTTATCTTTTCATTGTCTCAATGTTATCTTTTGAATCACAATAGCTGTCACTTTTAATGAAATCTAGTTTACTTTTTTTATATGAATTGTGCTTTGTTGTCTAAGAACTCTTTGTCTAACCAGTGGTCACAAAGATTTTTCTTCTATATTTTCTTCTATAAATTTTATACTTTTAGCTCTTATATCTGAGTCTTTGATTCATTCTGCTTTAATTTTCATATATTGTGTGAGGTAAAGGTCTAAGTTACTATTTTTTTTTTTTGGCATGGGGATATACAATTGTCCCAACATGATTTGTGGACATACAATTTGTTTTAATGCCAAATTTAATTTCCTCTTGAAGTATCTTGGCACTTTTGTCAAAAATCAGTTGACCAAAAATAAATAAATAAATAAATAAACCAAAAACCGAAAAACATACATACAAAAGCAAAACAGGAAAAAAGATCAGTTGACCAGTGACACATAGCATCCTGGGCAGTAAAAGTTTATTCCTGGACTCAATTAATTTCCATTATCTATGTGTTCGTACTTATGCCAGTGCCACACTGTCTTGATTTTGGTAACTTTATAGTATACTTTATTTATTTATTTATGTATTTTACTTATTATTATTATTTTTTTTGTTTTGAGATAGAGTCTTGCTCTGTCACCCAGGCTGGAGTGCAGTGGTGTGATCTCAGCTCACTGCAACCTCTGCCTCCCAGGTTCAGGCGATTCTCCTGCCTCAGCCTTCTGAATAGCTGGGACTACAGGCGTGTACCACCATGCCCGGCTAATTTTTTGTATTTTTAGTAGAGACAAGGTTTCACCATGTTAGTCAGGAAGGTCTGGATCTCCTGACCTTGTGATCTGCCTGGCTCAGCCTCCCAAAGTGCTGGGATTAAAGGCATGAGCCAAAGTGCCTGGCCTATAGTATACTTTAAAATCAAGTAGTATAAGTTTTACAAATTTGTTCTCTTTCAAGATTGTTTTGGTTTCTTAGACATGACACCTAAAACATGAGCTACCAAAGGAAAAAAAATGAATAATTTGGACATCAACAAAATTAAAACTTTTGTGCATTATCACAATATTCAGCCTTATTTAATCCATAAACATGGAATGCCTCTTTATTCAGTTCATGTAAATAAAAATTTTCATAAAATACACAAAGGTAGAATACAATTATTAACCCTACAAAATGAATTTTGAGAAAGAAAGCAGCTGTAAACTATATTATACTTTGAAATCCATAAAACAAAAAGTAGTACTGTTTAAAAAACTAAACTGATCTTTCATGCTCTTATTTTTTCAATGGAATGATTCATGTATAAACATACATTACATTAAAACTATGCAACCTCAAGATTATGTCTACATTTTTAATTATTTGCATTATATAGTCATATAATGCATATAGCACTTTTTTCTTGTTTTTCTAATTTTTACTGGGTTGTCTTGGAACTAAATAGTAGGCTATTGGAGCTGATGTTGTTGGTTGCCTACTCTACAAGTTATTCCACATTACTTCCCTGCTGTCAGCCTGGATGTTAACCCTCTCCCACATAATTTGGGAATGACATGAAACACAGAGGCACTGTGGGCATAAAAACAACCTATAATCAGAATATATTTGAATTCCAAATAGAACAATTCACTGTTTTTCCAGAGTAGAAGGATTCCCGTGAAATCATCCTGCCAAAAGAATCTGATTGATCTCTGCAAAAAATGGTAATATATTGAGTGCTCTGCATTGATCTCTACTTGTGAAAAGTCAGATATTTAGCAGGAGCTTGATCAGCCTTAGTGAGATAAAACCCATGTTGTCAGGCCCAGGTATAGTGCCCATTTCCTGCTGTCATGGCTACTCCATTCTTGGGCTTGTGTGAACACTCATGGGACCTAGGCTGACAGCCACTGGATAAATGACTCTGTCCACTGCTGCTTCTGTGGTAGCTGCTCTTTGATGGACATTAACAAAAGACTCAAAGATCTGCACAATTTGTGTGCACTACCAGATATCCAACCCCCTTCTTCTTTACAAGACCTCCTTGGCTCCAGTCTTCCAATCCTGTTCCAACCAATCAATCTATTTACCAATCTTCAAGAATCTGGGTATTACCTTAGCTCACTTTTCTTGCCACAAATAATAATAAACAAGTGTGTGATTTGAAGTCCTGTTCATTGGGAGGATTTCCCCATCATCACCATCTTTCAGGGACATTCCTGAGTGGAATTTTAGTGGCCATGGAAGACAGCAATGTGAGAGAACCAGGCCCAGGAGTTTCCTCTGATACTCTGTCACAGGGAATACTCCATGGAGTGTTCATTCTTGGCTGAGAGAGAAAGATCTCTATTGAACTCTGTACATGAATTGAAGTAGAGGTAGTCATATGACAGAGGTAAGTGCCATGGGTCACCTATTTATATAAATTACTAAGTTGCTGAGACCTGTTCAGGCCCAATTCCCAATGCACCATTTTTGTTGCACAATAAACTGTTGTTTCCCTGCCTGTTTTATGATTTGGTGTGAGTCTGACAGTAACCCCACATCATGGGCAGCTGTAGTCACATAGTCAATAGATTACACTAAGTCAGCTGCTCAGTTTGTACTAGGATCAAGTAGTACACAGGAGCTGCTTTTGAAACAATGAGAGGTTCTTTGCTGCAGATGGCATAGTTTTGCTCCAGAATCCTAGAGGACTGTGCTGTTACTGGTCTATTTTGGCTTGTCAGAACCCCACACAGTGTTATGTTATACCACTGAGAACTTCAGTGCCATTGGATGAAGGACAACAGATGGAACCTGCTATGAAACCCTTTCCTGCTGTGGGCCCCACTCAAAACTGGCCTTCCTCCAAGGCACCCAGTAAGTGGGACAAAACAATATTCCCAAATGTAGTAGGTGTTTTCCCCATGTATAAACAGACCTTCCAAATACCTTTCCTTTTTTTTGGCGGCAGGAGACGCAAATTGTATAATAACTTGATCTTAACGGTGGGGTAAGTGTCCAACCTTGTACCAAACACCAAAATGCTGACATAGGTGTTTTTGTTTGTTTGTTTTGTTTTTTGTTTTTCTCTCAACCTCTACCAAACACTTATCTTACCAAGGTAAGCAGAGTACTTGCCTCTTTCTCCTCACCGGGTTCCATTGATGTGCCATCCATGTAGTGGCCAGGATGATGTTTTGTGGAACTCACTGTGTACTACACTGTGACAGAGGGCAGGAAAATTAGCAAGACTAGGACGAGACAATATATGCTGCTATCTAGTCTAGAACAAAGTGAACTGCATTTGAGTCTTCTTCAGGGAAGTTGAAAAGGATCCTTTTGCAGTTTAATAGCTGCATATTAAGCTCCAGAGATTATTATTTTTTCTAGTAAAAGCACAATTAGCACAATAGCTATGATTGTTACCATTCTGAGATTGATATTGCTTCTGATTTACCAATTTAGCCAGGGAGACGGAAATCTTAATTGGCATCAGTGGCCTTAACTACAATTGGTGGCTCTTACTCCACAAGTCCAGGAGACAGCGTGAAGGCTCTGGCGCCTAATAAGTTTATCCATTCCAATTATTCACTCAAGGGCTGAGTAAAAGACCGCAGGACATATCTGTATACTCTGGACTTTAAGATGGACTTGGATGAGGACTCTAACATCTGGCCTTTGTACATTCAGAACATGCATAATGGTGGCATTTTGGGTTCCTTGGTTTCAGTCAGATTATACTCTAAACATTCCAAAGTTCTAATATTCCTTTTTTGCCAGTGTACTGTTGCTCTGGTAAATGCATAGACACCTCTTTGGGAGGCTGGGCACAGTGGCTCACGCCTATAATCCCAGCACTTTGGGAGGCCGAGGCAGGCAGATCACCTGAGGTAGGGAGTTCAAGACCAGCCTGACCAACATGGAGAAACCCCATCTCTACTAAAACTACAAAATTAGCTGGGCGTGGTGGCACATGCCTGTAATCCCAGCTACTTGGGAGGCTGAGGCGGGAGAATTGCTTGAACCGGGAGGCAGAGATTGCGGTGAGCCGAGGTCATGCCATTGCACTCCAGCCTGGGCAACAAGAGGAAAACTCTGTCTTAAAAGAAAAAAGTCTCTTTGGGAGGAATATTAAGGGACTAGCTATTGTATATAATTGCTATGGCTTTGGGAGGCCCTCAAAAAGATTCTTCCTTCCCTTCCATCCATAAACTCTGGATCTCAGAACTGGTTCAAGGAGGAAAACTGGGTGAGAGACTGTTAGTATTTTTCCATTACACCACCTAATGTCAACCCATCCATTCTTGACCTGTTTTTTATTGTGTAAGCCAAATGTTTCAGGAAGTGAATTGTCACTTCTCTTTCCACTTTCTTGATAACATCATTTGATGCACAAAAGTTTTTAACTTTGACAAAATCTTATTTATTTTTTGCTTTGGCTGGTTGCACTTTTGGTGCCCTATATAAGACCACACTGCCATATCTAAAATCATGAAGATTCACCCCTATATTTTCTTCTTAAAGTATTATGGTTTTATCTCCTATATTTAGATTATATATCCATTTTGAGGTAATTTGTGTATATGGTATGAGAGGGGTTCAGCTTTTTATGCTCTCCTTTAACAGTACAGTTTATCTCTTAATGGTTACTGCTTCCTGGGAATAAGATGGGGCATGATATGACCAGTGAATATCCAGAGAATTGTCTATTGCTAGGTATTCTTGGCTGTAAACTTGGCACCATTCTTTGACTAGATATGTTTGGAAATTTAAGCATGTGACATGGTCCACTCAAGAGTTCTTGAGTGGTATGGCCTGCATCTGCCACATAGATAGGAATTGTGCCATACCCAAAAAAGGTTTCTAGCACAGTCAATGCTGGTAGTATCCTCAAGAAGAGGGTAGATCATCTGTATGGTCTATTTGCTAGGGCCTTCCAGGTTTGGTGCCCCAAGGTGTATGCCCTGGAGTCCCTTTGCCATTTGTATTAGTTTCCTGGGGCTGCCATCACAAAGTACCTAAAACTGGGTGGCTTAAACAATAGAAATTTATTCTGTCACAGTTCTGGAGGCTAGAGTGTAAGCCTCCAGAATGTGGCAGGCCCATGTTCTTTCTGAAGCCTGCTGGGGAGAATCCTCTCTTGCCTCTTCCTAGCTTCTGGTTGTTGCTGGCAATGCTTAGCTTGTTGCTGGCAATTCCTTGACTTGTAGACACATCACTCCAATCTCTGCCTCCATATCAAATGGTGTCCTCCCAATGTATCTCTATGTCTACATTTCCATCACCTTATAAGGACACCAGTCATTAGAAAAGGGCCTACTTAATCCACTGTGACCTCATTTTAACTTGATTACATCTGAAAATACCCTATTTCCAAATAAAGTTACATTCACAGGTACCGTGTGTTAGGACTTGAACATGTCTTTCTGGGAGGACACAATTCGACCCACAACAACCTGCCCTCTGCCCCCCAACCCCCACCAAAATTCATATCCTTCCTATGTGCAAAATATATTCACCTTTTCCCAATATGCCCCCAAATCTTAACCCATTACAGCATTAACTCTAACCCCAGCATCTTATCTAAATATAATAAATTCAAAAACTCCTAAATCCAATCTTGTAAATCATCTTAATCAGTCATGGTCCATCCTGGGGTAAAATTCCTCTCTGTCTACAAACCTGTGAAACTCAAAAAAACAATCTGTTTCCAAAATACAATGGTGTGCAACATAGTACTAGAGGCAAGACCACAGTTGGTGGAGTGGTGGTTGGCTGCACATACTCTTGGTAGATTGACTTCATTGAATTCTTCAGGTGAGTTTTGCTGTTCCAGCCTTTGAAACTGAACCAGGTAATATTTAATGGACATCCATATACTCAAGTGTCTGTAACTGATAATGCTAAATCTATTATAAAAATTGATGTTTTCATTATGTGTAATACTTCTCCGAATTGTAAGGGATGTTCCCAGAGTAGAAATTACACAATTACAATGGATACTGGGACAAGTGCACAGGCAGTCTTCCCTAGCCCAGCCATGTAATGTCAGTCAATAAATGCAGGAGAAGATTAATAACCTTATTAAAGAGTTGGTAGAGACAGGAGTGCTTCACTGTTCAACAAGCTGTACAGACTGCTCTCCCACTCAGGCCAATTAGTCCTAATAAGCCTTTAGAGCTACAAATGTCAGTGCCTGGTCAATGTACAAACTATAGTCACCTAAGCCTCAATCACACCTTTCTCATACATAAAAAGGTAGCCAGTTACTTTCCCAAATGTGGGTAGCCCAGAGGTTGGAGTCTGTTGGGTGCTGGTACACTGAAGTCCCCGAGGAGGCCCAGACTGGGTTAACAGATTAACTGAATTAACGGCTAAGGGGTGTACTGAGGCATTATGGCTGTACGACTACAGGAAAAACTGTTACAAATTTTACATGAAAAAGAAAACTCCAACCAATGGGCAGAGTTGTGGGTCATGGGGCTTGTCCTGGATGGCACACCTTAAAATGCATCTTGCTACATTTTCACTGACTTATGGGTAACAGCCAACAAGATGGCAAGTGGTCCAAGACCTGGACGCAGGAACAAGTCCAAAACCCTGTCAGGTGGTACATTATAACAGCAGGTAGTCCAGTATGCTTACCTCTGTCACTCACGTGGGCTCCCATGGAAAAGGACCCTTCACAATGAATATCGTTGGCATCAACAGATGTTGGGTCCAGCTGATGGGACCTGAGCCACCCAGGTAAAGACCATAGACATCTGGATATACCATCACACAGGACATGGTAGTCCTATATTCCAGGACCCTTTTTGAAATAAAATCACATTCTAGGGTTCTGGGTAGACAAGAATTTTGAAAGCGCACTATTAAACCCAGTACATTACAAGGGTCGAATTAACCATCATATCCCCGCAGTTCACGTGTCCCGAATGGTCCCGAACAAAAACGTGTCCCGCACGGTCCCCAACAACTGTGCTCTGCGCCTTTTGCAATCTCCTGCAGTGCTTCCCTGTGCTTCCGTTCCTTGCAGAGACGCCCCGGAACCTTCAGCTCTATACACCACTCCGGGAGCGGATTCAGCCCGAGTGTGACAAGCAGGCGAGCTGAGGAGGTTTGGGCTAGGACCAGGGTCCCGCGCGGCTCGGGGGCAGTGGGAGCGGGGGCGGGGTGTCCCTGTGAGTCGGAGGGTGGCCGGGGATCGCAAGTTTGGGCACGTGCGCGCGCGTCCAGGCCCCGCGCGGGGTGCGCGCCTTGGCCCTGGAAGGGCGCGAGCTTTGCTTCCAGGCTGAGCTGGGTGTGAATTAGTCCCTACGCCAGAGGATGGACCTGCGTGGGACGAGGAGTCCTCACCTGTAGAGGGATGCTGTTAATATGTCTATCAAGAAGAGTCGTTTAAGTCTTTAATCCATCTTGAATTGATTTTTGTATAAGGTGTAAGGAAGGGATCCAGTTTCAGCTTTCTACATATGGCTAGCCAGTTTTCCAAGCACCATTTATTAAACAGGGAATCCTTTCCCCATTGCTTCTTTTTCTCAGGTTTGTCAAAGATCAGATAGTTGTAGATATGTGGCGTTATTTCTGAGGGCTCTGTTCTGTTCCATTGATTTATATCTCTGTTTTAGTACCAGTACCATGCTGTTTTGGTTACTGTAGCCTTGTAGTATAGTTTGAAGTCAGGTAGTGTGATGCCTCCAGCTTTGTTCTTTTGGCTTAGGATTGACTTGGCGATGCGGGCTCCTTTTTGGTTCCATATGAACTTTAAAGTAGATTTTTCCAATTCTGTGAAGAAAGTCATTGTTAGCTTGATGGGGATGGCATTGAATCTGTAAATTACCTTGGGCAGTATGGCCATTTTCACAATATTGATTCTTCCTACCCATGAGCATGGAATGTTCTTCCATTTGTTTGTATCCTCTTTTATTTCCTTGAGCAGTGGTTTGTAGTTCTCCTTGAAGAGGTCCTTCACATCCCTTGTAAGGTGGATTCCTAGGTATTTTATTCTCTTTGAAGCAATTGTGAATGGGAGTTCACTCATGATTTGGCTCTCTGTTTGTCTGTTGTTGGTGTATAAAAATGCTTGTGATTTTTGTACATTGATTTTGTATCCTGAGACTTTGCTGAAGTTGCTTATCAGCTTAAGGAGATTTTGGGCTGAGACAATGGGGTTTTCTAGATATACAATCATGTCGTCTGCAAACAGGGACAATTTGACTTCCTCTTTTCTTAATTGAATACCCTTTATTTTCTTCTCCTGCCTAATTGCCCTGGCCAGAACTTCCACCACTATGTTGAATAGGAGTGGTGAGAGAGGGCATCCCTGTCTTGTGCCAGTTTTCAAAGGGAATGCTTCCAGTTTTTGCCCATTCAGTATGATATTGGCTGTGGGTTTGTCATAGATAGCTCTTATTATTTTGAAATACGTCCCATCAATACCTAATTTATTGAGTGTTTTTAGCATGAAGGGTTGTTGAATTTTGTCAAAGGCCTTTTCTGCATCTATTGAGATAATCATGTGGTTTTTGTCTTTGGCTCTGTTTATATGCTGGATTACATTTATTGATTTGTGTATATTGAACCAGCCTTGCATCCCAGGGATGATGCCCACTTGATCATGGTGGATAAGCTTTTTGATGTGTTGCTGGATTCGGTTTGCCAGTATTTTATTGAGGATTTTAGCATCAATGTTCATCAAGGATGTTGGTCTAAAATTCTCTTTTTTTGTTGTGTCTCTGCCTGGCTTTGGTATCAGAATGATGCTGGCCTCATAAAATGAGTTAGGGAGGATTCCCTCTTTTTCTATTGATTGGAATAGTTTCAGAAGGAATGGTACCAGTTCCTCCTTGTACCTCTGGTAGAATTTGGCTGTGAATCCATCTGGTCCTGGACTCTTTTTGCTTGGTAAGCTATTGATTATTGCCACAATTTCAGATCCTGTTATTGGTCTATTCAGAGATTCAACTTCTTCCTGGTTTAGTCTTGGGAGAGTGTATGTGTTGAGGAATGTATCCATTTCTTCTAGATTTTCTAGTTTATTTGCGTAGAGGTGTTTGTAGTATTCTCTGATGGTAGTTTGTATTTCTGTGGGATCAGTGGTGATATCCCCTTTATCATTTTTTATTGCTTCTATTTGATTCTTCTCTCTTTTTTTCTTTATTAGTCTTGCTAGCAGTCTATTTTGTTGATCCTTTCAAAAAACCAGCTCCTGGATTCATTAATTTTTTTGAAGGGTTTCAATTCAATATGGATTAAAGACTTAAACGTTAGACCTGAAACCATAAAAACCCTAGAAGAAAACCTAGGCTTTACCATTCAGGACATAGCAATGACTTCATGTCTAAGACACCAAAAGCAATGGCAACAAAAGACAAAATTGACAAATGGGATCTAATTAAACTAAAGAGCTTCTGCACAGCAAAAGAAACTACCATCAGAGTGAACAGGCAACCTACAAAATGGGAGAAAATTTTCGCAACCTACTCATCTGACAAAGGGCTAATATCCAGAATCTACAATGAACTCAAACAAATTTACAAGAAAAAAACAAACAACCCTATCAAAAAGTGGGCAAAGGACATGAACAGACATTTCTCAAAAGAAGACATTTATGCAGCCAAAAAACACATGAAAAAATGCTCATCATCACTGGCCATCAGAGAAATGCAAATCAAAACCACAATGAGATACCATCTCACACCAGTTAGAATGGCGATCATTAAAAAGTCAGGAAACAACAGGTGCTGGAGAAGATGTGGAGAAATAGGAACACTTTTACACTGTTGGTGGGACTGTAAACTAGTTCAACCATTGTGGAAGTCAGTGTGGCGATTCCTCAGGGATCTAGAACTGGAAGTACCATTTGACCCAGCCATCCCATTACTGGGTATATACCCAAAGGACTATAAATCATGCTGCTATAAAGACACATGCACACGTATGTTTATTGCAGCACTATTCACAATAGCAAAGACTTGGAACCAACCCAAATGTCCAACAATGATAGACTGGATTAAGAAAATGTGGCACATATACACCGTGGAATACTATGCAGCCATAAAAAAGGATGAGTTCATGTCCTTTGTAGGGAAATGGATGAAATTGGAAGTCATCATTCTCAGTAAATTATCGCAAGAACAAAAAACCAAACACCGCATATTCTCACTCATAAGTGGGAATTGAACAATGAAATCACATGGACACAAGAAGGGGAATATCACACTCTGGGGACTGTTGTGGGGTGGGGGGAGGGGGGAGGGATAGCATTGGGAGATATACCTAATGCTAGATGACGAGTTGGTGGGTGCAGCGCACCAGCATGGCACATGTATACATATGTAACTAACCTGCACAATGTGCACATGTACCCTAAAACTTTAATTGAAAAAAAAAAAAAAAAGAGTCGAAGACCAGGCTGCAATGCAGTAAACCATGGCGTTTATTGAGGTTTTAGGAATTGCGATTCTGGAGACGCATTGGGCTGGAAGCCAAATTGTATTCCAAAAAGAGGGAGGGGAACAGGGAGGAAATCAGAAAGGAAGCTACGGGTGTTTATGCAAGTCCTGAAAGAATTATCCGTTGGTGGAAGCGGGTGGCTTAGTACCTGAGTCCATAGTTCATTGGTTGTTACTGTTCAGGAGTTGCAACGCTGGTGAAGTTCAGCTGTTTTACATAATTTTGTGGTCGTTGCAGTTTGGCCCACTTCAAAGGTTCAAGGCAAGTTCCTTTTTTTTGTTTTGTTTTGTTTTTCCCTGCAGGTTTGTAGAATGTGCAGGCAGCCCTTAGAATGACTTCCTACCTCCAGTTTAGAGCTCTCAATCAGAGTAAGCCCATTTTGTATAGCACATCCCATCAATAATATGTGCCATGCGGAGTGGTTCTGAGTTTCACATTTTTGGCATATGTAAAAAATTTGGCACAGAGCTTAGTAGTTAACCTCAGCTGATAAGGTATTTTGAAAATACTTTTTTCTTCTCATTAGCTCTTTTATTTAGTCCTTACAACAATCTTTATGTGACTGTCTTCCATCTTGACAAACAAGAAAACTGACGGTCTGAGGGTTCAAGTGAAATGGTGAAGGTCACATGGCCAGGGTAGACCACCCTACCTAAAACCATCTTGTATTCCTGAAATCATACTGAAGTGGGTGGGGGGCGGCTGAGTGTCACCTTGTAGTCATGTATTCTGGGGTTTCTTAGCATCTTGAAGTCCTTGGGTCAGGCTGCATGACTGTGTTGCTTGGACTCCTGCACCATCCAACCTTCAGCATAGTCAGTGCCTTCAGAGTTTAGACAAGGAAGTTCTTTGAGATTTGGAACCCTGAGTGAAGTTTCTGAGTAAAATGATTTTGTCCTTTAAGCTCAGGTTTCAGCTCCTCGGAAGAAAGCAGTTCTTGTGAAGTAAGAAGAAGGCGCCCTAGGAACAGGAATCCCACCTTGAAGATTGCTTCTCTAACCTGAACGTTGTCAGCCCAACTTCAGAGCAAAGTCAGGAAACTGCCAGAAAGGGCAGAGCCTGACAGTTTGCACAGCCTGAAGTAATTCTTCCTCCTGCTCAGAATGAGTGATGCTCTGTAAATGTTATCACATCCAGAAGGTCTCCCCACTATGATGAAAGGTTTGGACCACGTCTCAGAAAAGATATGTGACTGGACTGAGTGGTGGAAAGGGGTATGCTGTGGAAATATTAATCTTGGAGGGTTGGTGTGGGCATGGTCTGCAGGGAGAGATCACTGGGCATAGCTGGAGGAGTTCTATCTCCAGTCTTTAACCAACATGCCCCACATTCAGTCTCCATGGTCTTTGTCCAGATTCTGAGCTGCTCTCACGCCATGTCCATTGTGATATGGGCCCTCTAGAGATGTGGTGCCGCCTTACCTACCCTAATCCTATAGAGGCAGAGAGTAGGGGTGTCTGTGTCTGCATCATTGCAAAGCTGAGAAACCTTGACTCTTGGATGTATAAGTAACCTGTCCAGACTCATCCAGTTTGTAAATGGCAGAGCAGGAATAGAAAACACCCATCCATCTTATAACAGGTAAGTCACCTGCCAGGTTCTGTTGCAACTGAGTTAGAAGCAAACAATCTTAAAACAGATCTTTCCCCAAAGCACTCCCACCATTTGCTGCAGCATGATTTCCTTAAGGGTTAGCAACTCAGTAGGAATGTAAGTAAACAAATATCCTGAGTATTTCACCTACAGGAGTGAACATGGCAGGTGACAATTTGTCTTCTGATATAATATTATTTGTTGAATTAGTCCCGGATTAGTTCTGAAAGAAAAATGAAATTGACCATTAGGAAGTGCAACCCAGTGAAAAGTTGCATAGTCAACTTCTGTGACATCTTGTCAGATTTACATGTGTGAATTCTCACTCATCATGGCTCTTGCTGTCTCCTCAAGGGCCAAAGAAACTTTTTCCCATAGACGAGTGTGTAACCAGTTGGTGGGCAGCAGTTTTTAGGAAGCTGAATCTCAAAGGTCCGTAGCAGGCCAGATCTCGCATGACCACCCCTGTGTTCTTCTCCCGTAACTGTACATTCAGCTTCCCCTGCACTTTCCCAAGAGCAACAGAAAAAAAGCAAATGCCAGGTGAGTTGTTTATTCATTTCTCATGTTTCCATTGCATAAAATGATAAAAGATTAACATGATAAAAATTATCAAGGAATTTATAGTTAACAGATCTAAAATAGGGAAAAGTCAACATATTAATTATAAAGATATCAAGATAATTATAATAGTTTTAGTGTGTATATATTATACATTGTGTTGTATAACTGTAATTATTAGTAACGTGCAGACTTATCTCTGATACTCTGTGCCAAAGGACAGTGCTTTGTTTTGACCGTAAGAATAAACAAAAGAGGCCAGGTGTGGTGGCTCATGCCTGAAATCCCAGCACTTTGGGAGGCTGAGGTGGATGGATCATTTGAGATCAAGAGTTTGAGACCAGCTTGGCCACATGGTGAGACCCAGTCTCTGCTAAAAATACAAAAATTAGTCAGGTGTGGTGGCGTGGCCAGCTACTTGGGAGGCTGAGGTAGGAGAATCACTTGAACCCTGGAGGCAGAGGTTGCAGTGAGCTGAGATTGTGCCACTGCACTCCAGAGTCTGCATGACAGAATGAGACTCTGTCTCAAAAAAAAAAGAATAAAGAAAAGTAATTCTTCATGGAACACAAAGACTTCCTGGCCTGAAGTCTAAGAAAATGTCTTTAACTCTCTTCATGAAAGTGATGTAGTTGACACCCTCAGTCAACAAGCCTGAAATGCATGCTGCCTGTGATTGCCACGCTGTTTGTTCTTTAGTGGCACAGATGGCAGAAAGTCAAAGGACAGCTCAATTGATCCAGGTGGTAGATTTCTTCCGTCTGCTTCATGTTCTTGTCTTCCTGGAGTTTTATAGCCTAGCATATCCCCAGGTGTTTTATAACTCTTACCCTATTTTTCTTGACAGATTACATACTCTCTAGATTTTTAACCATATCAAAGGATAAGATAACCCCTCGAGAGCTGAAACACAAAAGGTGAATTTAGCGCTTTTAAAGTGATAGCTCTCACTGGTTAGATGTGCTCTCGCTGAGCAAAGCAAACTGTTAATTTTCTGTAGGATTTTTGCAAAATATTGGTGTATTAATTTCCTGTGACTGCGGTAACAAATAACCACAGTCTTTGTGTTCTGTTAACAGAAATGTATTCTCTCCCAGTTCTGGATCAGTCTGAAATCAAAGTGCCATCTGGGCCATGCTCCTGTTGACAGATCTAGAGTAGACTACTCCCCATTTCTTCTGGTGGCTGTCAGGAGAGAAGGAGGGAAATGGAATGGAGGAAAAACTTTAAGATGAAGAAAAATAACATGCCCTAAGCCCTGTGTCAATCACTGTTCTCCAGAGAAACAACTGATAGGATATGGGTGCATGTGCCTGTGTGTGTGTGTGTGTGTGTGTATTCATTTTCAGAAATTGGTTTATGTGATTATAGGGGCTGGTCGAATGTAAAATTTGTAGGGCAGGCCAGCAGGCTGGGAGCTAGGCAGACGTTAATGCTGCAGTCTTGAGGCATAATTCCTTTTCTGAAGCCCTAACCCCCTCAATGCCTCAGAATGTGACTGTATTGGAGATAGGGCCTTTACAGAGATAATTAGGTTAAAATGAGACCATTAGCATGGGCTGTGATCCAGTCTAACTGGTGTCTTCATAAGAAAGAGAGATGAGGACATGCAACCAGGGGGATGTGTGTAGAGAGGATGACCTTGTGAAGAGACAGTAAGAGGATGGCCACCTGTAAGCCAAGGAGAGGGGCCTCAGAAGAAACCAACCCTGTTCTGACACTAGGAGCATGACAAATAAATTCCTGTTGTTTAAACCACCTAGTCTGTGGTACTTTGTTATGGCATCCCCAGAAAATGAATGTATACATATAGTGATTCTATTTTTAACATTTTGAGGAACACACCATACTCTTTTCCATAGCGGCTGCATTGTTTTATGTCCCTCCAACAGTGACAAATGTTCCAATTTCTCTATATCTTCACCAACACTTACTTTCTGTTTTTTGATAGCCATTCTAATAGCTGTGAAGTGAAGTAACATTCTCTTGAGTATAATTGAGGATACTAATAATCTCCAATGTCTCCAAAAACAGTCTCTTCTGATTCTTGATACAGATTATTATTATTATTATTTATTTTTTAGACGGAGTCTTGTTCTGTTGCCCAGGCTGGAGTGCTGTGGTGTGATCCCAGCTTACTGCAACCTCCACCTCCTGGTTTAAGTGATTCTCCTGCCTCAGCCTCCTGAGTAGCTGGGATTACAGGTGTGTGCCACCACGCCCAGCTAATTTTTGTATTTTAGTAGGGACGGGGTTTCGCCATGTTGGCCAGGCTGGTCTCAAACTCCTGACCTCAAGTGATCCACAGGCCTCGGCCTCCCCCATTTTTTTTTCCTTTGATAGTCACGTCTTCAGTTCATATTGGTACATATGTAGCTTGTGTTACTGGTTCTCAAATTTGTAGTGAAACTTCATTTTCCATTTACATTTATAAGTGAAGATTTGGTTTGATTCATGTAGGTGGCTATTGTGAGTTTAGTCAGAAATGTGGAACGCTGTTACTTCATCTGTTTACTTCCCTCAATGAAAGAGCTGACTTCAAGGATCAGTAAATGAAATCATTGGAAAGATGAACAGGAATAAATTCCCTGTCAGGTTATCAACAGGGAGCAAATACGTGACTAAAGGGATTCTCCATGTCTAAAGTGCAGGTTTCTCATACTGTGGTGTTAGACCACTGTGACCTGTCTCATAGAAGACTTGCCTTAAAGCAAAATCTTTTTCTCTCTGGTTGATTTGGCCATTATCAGAGCCCCAAGTATTTACCCATATTTACATAATACATTCTTTTTATCTGCTTTATCTTTCAGCCTCCACTGTGCTTATACAGTAGCAACATCCCAAAGGGGTCTGATAGTCCTTCAGGTGTTTCCTCGGCTAGTCCATCAGCACACTGCCCACTTGGAGTTCAGCAGTGTCTGGTGGCAATATATATTATATATGTAACACACACAGACACACACAGTGCATACAGTTGGTTCTCACTTTGCATGATAGTATGGCGCTCTAAAAATGGCTGTAAATGCAGAAACCAGACTAGAAAGCCTTTTTTTTTTTTTTCTTGAGACAGTCTCACTCTGTTGCCTAGGCTGGAGTGCAGTGGCATGAACTTGGCTCACTGCAACCTCCACCTCCCGGGTTCAAGTGATTCTCCTGCCTCAGTCTCCTGAGTAGCTGAGATTACAGGTGCATGCCACCACGCCTGGCTGATTTTTGTACTTTTGGTAGAGATGGGGTTTCACCATGTTGGTCATGCTGGTCTCGAACTCCTGACATCGTGATCCGCCTGCCTTGGCCTCCCAAAGTACTGGGATTACAGGTATGAGCCACTGCAGCCGGCCTCCTTTACCTTTTAATCATTTTTGCAAAATGTCTTAGGGGTTTGTTGCTGGGAGATAAGGAGGCCCTACACAATTACATGCTTTGTGATTTGTGAATGAACTGAGTGACAGATGTGAGTGGTCAGCCACTGGCTGACTTTGAAAGAATGACATGATTAGTCATTGATCTTGGTGTGCATCGATTGTTTTTTTTAATTTTATTTTATTATTATTATACTTTAAGTTTTAGGGTACATGTGCACAATGTGCAGGTTTGTTACATATGTATACATGTGCCATGTTGGTGTGCTGCGCCCATTAACTCATCATTTAGCATTAGATATATCTCCTAATGCTATCCCTCCCCCCTCCCTCCACCCCACAACAGTCCGCGGAGTGTGATGTTCTCCTTCCTGTGTCCATGTGTTCTCATTGTTCAACTCCCACCTATGAGTGAGAACATGCGGTGTTTTGATTTTTTTGTCCTTGCGATAGTTTGCTGAGAATGATGGTTTCCAGTTTCATCCATGTCCCTACAAAGGACATGAACTCTTCATTTTTTATGGCTGCATAGAATTCCATGGTGTATATGTGCCACATTTTCTTAATCCAGTCTATCGTTGTTGGACATTTGGGTTGGTTCCAAGTCTTTGCTATTGTGAATAGTGCTGCAATAAACATACGTGTGCATGTGTCTTTATAGCAGCATGATTTATAGTCCTTTGGGTATACACCCAGTAATGGGATGGCTGGGTCAAATGGTATTTCTAGTTCTAGATCCCTGAGGAATCACCACACTGTCTTCCACAATTGTTGAACTGGTTTACACTCCCACCAACAGTGTAAAAGTGTTCCTATTTCTCCACATCTTCTCCAGCACCTGTTGTTTCCTGACTTTTTAATGATCGCCATTCTAACTGGTGTGAGATGGTATCTCATTGTGGTTTTGATTTGCATTTCTCTGATGGCCAGTGATGATAAGCATTTTTTCATGTGTTTTTTGGCTGCATAAATGTCTTCTTTTGAAAAGTGTTTGTTCATATCCTTCACCCACTTTTTGATGGGGTTGTTTGTTTTTTTCTTGTAAATTTGCTTCAGTTCATTGTAGATTCCGGATATTAGCCCTTTGTCAGATGAGTAGGTTGAAAAATTTTCTCCCATTTTGTAGGTTGCCTGTTCACTCTGATGGTAGTTTCTTTTGCTGTGCAGAAGCTCTTTAGTTTAATTAGATCCCATTTGTCAATTTTGTCTTTTGTTGCCATTGCTTTTGGTGTTTTAGACATGAAGTCCTTCCCCATGTCTGTGTCCTGAATGGTATTGCCTAGGTTTTCTTCTAGGGTTTTTATGGTTTTAGGTCTAACATGTAAGTCTTTAATCCATCTTGAATTAATTTTTGTATAAGGTGTAAGGAAGGGATCCAGTTTCAGCTTTCTACATATGGCTAGCCAGTTTTCCCAGCACCATTTATTAAATAGGGAATCCTTCCCCCATTGCTTGTTTTTCTCAGGTTTGTCAAAGATCAGATGGTTGTAGATATGCAGCATTATTTCTGAGGGCTCTGTTCTGTTCTATTGATCTATATCTGTTTTGGTACCAGTACCATGCTGTTTTGGTTACTGTAGCCTTGTAGTATAGTTTGAAGTCAGGTAGCGTAATGCCTCTGGCTTTGTTCTTTTGGCTTAGGATTGACTTGGCGATGCGGGCTCTTTTTTGGTTCCATATGAACTTTAAAGTAGTTTTTTCCAATTCTGTGAAGAAAGTGATTGGTAGCTTGATGGGGATGGCATTGAATCTGTAAATTACCTTGGGCAGTATGGCCATTTTCACAATATTGATTCTTCCTACCCATGAGCATGGAATGTTCCTCCATTTGTTTGTATCCTCTTTTATTTCATTGAGCAGTGGTTTGTAGTTCTCCTTGAAGAGGTCCTTCACATCCCTTGTAAGTTGGATTTCTAGGTATTTTAATCTCTTTGAAGCAATGGTGAAAGGGAGTTCACTCATGATTTGGCTCTCTGTTTGTCTGTTATTGGTGTATAAGAATGCTTGTGATTTTTGTACATTGATTTTGTATCCTGAGACCTTGCTGAAGTTGCTTATCAGCTTAAGGAGATTTTGGGCTGAGACAATGGGGTTTTCTAGATATACAATCATGTCGTCTGCAAACAGGGACAATTTGACTTCCTCTTTTCCTAATTGAATACCCTTTATTTTCTTCTCCTGCCTAATTGCCCTGGCCAGAACTTCCACCACTATGTTGAATAGGAGTGGTGAGAGAGGGCATCCCTGTCTTGTGCCAGTTTTCAAAGGGAATGCTTCCAGTTTTTGCCCATTCAGTATGATATTGGCTGTGGGTTTGTCATAGATAGCTCTTATTATTTTGAGATACGTCCCGTCAATACTTAATTTATTGAGAGTTTTTAGCATGAAGCATTGTTGAATTTTGTCAAAGGCCTTTTCTGCATCTATTGAGATAATCATGTGGTTTTTGTCATTGGTTCTGTTTATATGCTGGATTACGTTTATTGATGTGCATATGTTGAACCAGCCTTGCATTCCAGGGATGAAGCCCACTTGATCATGGTGGATAAGCTTTTTGATGTGCTGCTGGATTCGGTTTGCCAGTATTTTATTGAGGATTTTTGCATCAATATTCATCAAGGATATTGGTCTAAAATTCTCTTTTTTGGTTGTTTTTCTGCTCGGCTTTGGTATCAGGATGGTGCTGGCCTCATAAAATGAGTTAGGGAGGATTCCCTCTTTTTCTATTGATTGGAATAGTTTCAGAAGGAATGGTACCAGGTCCTCCTCGTACCTCTGGTAGAATTCGGCTGTGATTCCTTCTGGTTCTGGACTTTTTTTGGTTGGTAAGCTATTGACTATTGCCACAATTTCAGCTCCTGTTATTGGTCTATTCAGAGATTCAACTTCTTCCTGGTTTAGTCTTGGGAGAGTGTATGTGTCGAGGAATTTTTCCATTTCTTCTAGATTTTCTAGTTTATTTGTATAGAGGTGTTTGTAGTATTCTCTGATGGTAGTTTGTATTTCTATGGGATCAGTGGTGATATCCCCTTTATCATTTTTTATTGCGTCTGTTTGATTCTTCTCTCTTTTCTTCTTTATTAGTCTTGCTAGCAGTCTATCTATTTTGTTGATCCTTTCAAAAAACCAGCTCCTGGATTCATTAGTTTTTTGAAGGGTTTTTTATGTCTCTATTTCCTTCAGTTCTGCTCTGATTTTAGTTAATTCTTGCCTTCTGCTAGCATTTGAGTGTGTTTGCTCTTGCTTTTCTAGTTCTTTTAATTGTGACGTTAGGGTGTCAATTTTGGATCTTTCCTCCTTTCTCTTGTCGGCATTTAGTGCTATAAATTTCCCTCTACACACTGCTTTGAATGTGTCCCAGAGTTTCTGGTATGTTGTGTCTTTGTTCTTGTTGGTTTGAAAGAACATCTTTATTTCTGCCTTCATCTCGTTATGTACCCAGTAGTCATTCAGGAGCAGGTTGTTCAGTTTCCATGTAGTTGAGCGATTTTGAGTGAGTTTCTTAGTCCTGAGTTCTAGTTTGATCACACCGTGGTCTGAGAGACAGTTTGTTATAATTGCTGTTCTTTTACATTTGCTGAGGAGAGCTTTACTTCCAAGTATGTGGTCAATTTTGGAATAGGTGTGGTGCTGAGACAAATGTATATTCTGTAGATTTGGGGTGGAGATTTCTGTAGATGTCTATTAGGTCTGCTTGGTGCAGAGCTGAGTTCAATTCCTGGGTATCCTTGTTAACTTTCTGTCTCATTGATCTATCTAATGTTGTCAGTGGGGTGTTAAAGTCTCCCATTATTATTGTGTGGGAGTCTAAGTTTCTTTGTAGGTCGCTAAGGACTTGCTTTATGAATCTGGGTGCTCCTGTATTGGGTGCATACGTATTTAGGATAGTTAGTTCTTCTTGTTGAATTGATCCCTTTACTATTACGTAATGGCCTTCTTTGTCTCTTTTGATCTGTGTTGGTTTAAAGTCTGTTTTATCAGAGACTAGGATTGCAACCCCTCCCTTTTTTTGTTTCCCATTTGCTTGGTAGATCTTCCTCCATCCCTTTATTTTGAGCCTATGTGTGTCTCTGCACGTGAGATGGGTTTCCTGAATACAGCACACTGATGGGTCTTGACTCTTTATCCAATTTGCCAGTCTGTGTCTTTTAATTGGAGCATTTAGTCCATTTACATTTAAAGTTAACATTGTTATTTATGAATTTGATTCTGTCATTATGATGTTAGCTGGTTATTTTGCTCTTTAGTTGATGCAGTTTCTTCCTAGCCTTGATTGGTCTTTACATTTTGGCATGTTTTTGCAGTGGCTGGAACTGGTTGTTCCTTTCCATGTTTAGTGCGTCTTTCAGGAGCTATTTTAGGGCAGGCCTGGTGGTGACAAAATCTCTCAGCATTTACTTGTCTGTAAAGTATTTTATTTCTCCTTCACTTATGAAGCTTAGTTTGGCTGGATATGAAATTCTGGGTTGGAAATTCTTTTCTTTAAGAATGTTGAATATTGGCCCCCACTCCCTTCTGGCTTGTAGGGTTTCTGCCAAGAGATCTGCTGTTAGTCTGATGGGCTTCCCTTTGTGGGTAACCCGACCTTTCTCTCTGGCTGCCCTTAACATTTTTTCCTTCATTTCAACTTTGGTGAATCTGACAATTATGTGTCTTGGACTTGCTCTTCTCGAGGAGTATCTTTGTGGCGTTCTCTATATTTCCTGAATCTGAACGTTGGCCTGCCTTGTTAGATTGGGGAAGTTCTCCTGGATAATATCCTGCAGAGTGTGTTCCAACTTGGTTCCTTTCTCCCCGTCACTTTCAGGTACACCAATCAGATGTAGATTTGGTCTTTTCACCTAGTCCCATATTTCTTGGAGGCTTTGCTCGTTTCTTTTTATTCTTTTTTTTCTAAACTTCCCTTCTTGCTTCATTTCATTCATTTCATCTTCCATCACTGATACCCTTTCTTCCAGTTGATTGCATCGGCTCCTGAGACTTCTGCATTCTTCACGTAGTTCTCGAGCCTTGGCTTTCAGCTCCATCAGCTCCTTTAAGGACTTCTCTGTGTTGGTTATTCTAGTTATCCATTCGTCTAATTTTTTTTCACAGTTTTTAACTTCTTTGCCATTGGTTTGAATTTCCTCCTGTAGCTCGGAGTAATTTGATCATCTGAAGCCTTCTTCTCTCAGCTCGTCAAAGTCATTCTCCATCCAGCTTTCTTCCGTTGCTGGTGAGGAGCTGTGTTCCTTTGGAGGAGGAGAGATACTCTGCTTTTTAGAGTTTCCAGTTTTTCTACTCTGTTTTTCCCCATCTTTGTGGTTTTATCTACTTTTGGTCTTTGATGATGGTGACATACAGAAGGGTTTTTGGTGTGGATGTCCTTTCTGTTTGTTAGTTTTCCTTCTAACAGACAGGACCCTTAGGTGCAGGTCTGTTGGAGTTTGCTAGAGGTCCACTCCAGACCCTGTTTGCCTGGGTATCAGCAGTGGTGGCTGCAGAACAGTGGTGGCTGTAGAACAGCGGATCTTGGTGAACCGCAAATGCTGCTGCCTGATCGTTCCTCTGGAAGTTTTGTTTCAGAGGAGTACCCGGCCATGTGAGGTGTCAGTCTGCCCCTACTAGAGGGTGCCTCCCAGTTAGATTGCTTGGGGGTCAAGGACCCACTTGAGGAGGCAGTCTGCCCGTTCTCAGATCTCCAGTTGCGTGCTGGGAGAACCACTACTCTCTTCAAAGCTGTCAGACAGGGACATTTAAGTCTGCAGAGGTTACTGCTGTCTTTTTGTTTGTCTGTGCCCTGCCCCCACAGGTGGAGCCTACAGAGGCAGGCAGGCCTCCTTGAGCTGTGGTGGGCTCCACCCAGTTCGAGCTTCCTGGCTGCTTTGTTTACCTAATCAAGCCTGGGCAATTGCAGGCGCCCCTCCCGCAGCGTTGCTGCCACCTTGCAGTTTGATCTCAGACTGCTGTGCTAGCAATCAGTGAGACTCCGTGGGCGTAGGACCCTCCAAGCCATGTGTGGGATATAATCTCCTGGTGTGCCGTTTTTTAAGCCCGTTGGAAAAGTGCAGTATTAGGGTGGGAGTGACCCAATTTTCCATGTGCCATCTGTCACCCCTTTCTTTGACTAGGAAAGGGAACTCCCTGATCCCTTGCACTTCTTGAGTGAGGCAATGCCTCGCCCTGCTTCAGCTCACGCATGGTGTGCTGCACCCACTGTCCTGCACCCACTGTCTGGCACTCCCTAGTGAGATGAACCCAGTACCTTAGATGGAAATGCAGAAATTGCTCACGCTGGGAGCTGTAGACCAGAGCTGTTCCTATTCGGCCATCTTGGCTCCCTTCCAGTGTGCATCGATTATTAATGTGGTGATTTGTGGACTTAAGAGCTAGGAGTGAAGTTTGTATTTTATGCAGTTACAGATAATATACCATGCTAAATGAAATCTGACCTTTGTTGTTGGGAGACTGGTGTTACTTAACTGAATTGTCATAACTGAAATTCCTGCATATCAGAATCATGCAAAGTGTGGACCACCTGGAAATACATCTATATTCATACATACCTATCTATTGCTACAAATATGTGGATGCTGAAACTTTTTTCCTTGTAGGGTGAGTCATCAAATACTTTGGAGACCATTTGTTTAAAGGAATAATCCCCAAATCGCCACATAATTCCATTCCCTAAACAGCTCAAGGAATTTATATCATTAGAGCTCAAACTTGCCCAGGCTCAGTGGCTCACACCTATAATCCCAGCACTTTGGGAGGCCGAGGTGGGCAGATCACCTGAGGTCAAGAGTTCGAGACCAGCCTGGCTGACATGGAGAAACCCTGTCTCTACTAAAAATAAAAAAAAATTAGCTGGGCATGGTGGCCTGTAGTCCTAGCTACTCAGGAGGCCGAGGCAGGAGAATCTCTTGAAACCAGGAGGCAGAGGTTGCGGTGAGCCAAGATTGCATCACTGCATTCCAGCCTGGGCTACAGAGCAGGATTCTCTCAAAAAAAGAAAAAAAAAAAGGCTCAAAAAGTGTCTTAGGTGTTTTAATATCCACATAAACTAGTGCAGATTCATGCATATAATATATTGTATCTGCATGTCTTATGCATGAATTAGAAAATTAACTGGGTATTTTTACTGTTTTTCTTTCTCCCACAAAATATGACATAAAATAGAGAATATAGTAAACATCCTATATTAACTTTTTCTGATGATCTTAACAGTCAACATGGCAAAGAATTAGTTCCTACATATTATCAGGGGAACCTGTCCCCAGTAATTCAAAATGAGTCCTTTTCTATTTTCCCGGTGTCGGCCTATCTGAGAAATAAAGGGAAAGAGTACAAAAGAGAGAAATTTTAAAGCTGGGTGTCCAGGGGAGACATCACATGTCGGCAGCTTCTGTGATGCCCCCAGGCCACAAAACCAGCAAGTTTTTATTAGTGATTTTCAAAAGGGGAGGGAGTGTTCTAGTAGGGTCTGGGTCACAGAGATCACATGCTTCACAAGGTAATAAAATATTACAAGGCAAATGGAGGCAGGGCGAAATCACAGGACTGGGGTGAAATTAAAATTGCTAATGAAGTTTCGGGCACGCATTGTCATTGATAACATCTTATCAGGAGACAGGGTTTGAGAGCAGACAACCGGTCTGACCAAAATTTATTAGGCGGGAATTTGCTCGTCCTAATAGACCTGGGAGTGCTACGGGAGACCGGGGCTTATTTCATCCCTTATCTTCAACCATGAAAGACAGACATTCCCAGAGCAGCCATTTTAGAGACCTCCCCCTAGGAATGCATTCTCTTTCTCAGGGCTGTTCCTTGCTGAGAAAAAGAATTCAGTGATATTTCTCCTATTTGCTTTTGAAAGAAGAGAAATATGGCTCTGTTCCGCCTGGCTCTCAGGGAGCCAGACCTAATGGTTATCTCCCTTGTTCCCTGAACATCACTGTTATCCTGTTCTGTTTTCAAGGTGCCCAGATTTCATATTGTTTAAACAATTTGTGCAGTTAACACAATCATCACAGGGTCCTGAGGCAACATACATCCTCAGCTTATGAAGATGACAGGATTAAGAGATTAAAGACAGGCATAGGAAATGACAAGAATATTGATTGGGGAAGTGATAAATGTCCATGAAATCTTCACAATTTATGTTCAGAGATTGCAGTAAAGACAGGTGTAAGAAATTATAAAAGTATTAATTTGGGGAATCTTCACAATTTATGTTCTTCTGCCATGGCTTCAGCCGGTCCCTCTGTTCAGGGTCCCTGACTTCCTGCAACAACATATCTTTTCTGTCTTCTACTTTTTTTCATTGGAACCCAACAGAATCAAACTCAAACATTAAAATCCTTACTTTAATAACCATTATGACTTAATTCTTGTAAATCACTGTGTTCTTTTTTATATTAATACAGTCTTTTATGTGAAATAATATTTGATACATTTTAAGTATTACAGGTAGCCAAAGGCCTGTGGGACCTGACCAACTCAGCATTCTGCTGGAGGCTATATGATCAAACAGCAAACTGTTTCTCATGAATGCAGGATGTGGGCAAACTCACACTGCCCTGCCACCAAAAGGTTTGCTTAGGGAGATCACTCGCTGGAGCCAGGCTCCTTGAAGTTATCTACTGAGAAAATTAGCACCTATTGTTCAAAGGAGGCAGTCTTGCAAGCCTGCTGTGAACCAAATGGCTGACTGAAAATTACCCGACAATCATCCCCTCTTTCTTGCTATCTCTTTTGCCTAATAAATATGGAGAGCTGTGTAAAGCTCAGGGCCCTTGTCCAGTAAAGGCATGGTGCCCCCGACCCCTTCTTCCAAATATACTCTTCTTTTGTCTCTTGTCTTTTATTCCTGCATTCACCCTCCTTTGTTCAGTCCAATAGGTCCATGGCAAGTATCCTACTATAAGCATTTTCCTCTACCGTTTCCTGGCATATATTAATGGAAATGACCATTGTTATTGAGCTGCCTTTTCAATAAAGAAGCCCAACAGTGTTTTTGTTAGACACACATTTTTTTAAAAAAATAATTATTTACATGAAAAATGCAGTGATCAAGTACATAATTTTTACATTTAGCACAGCCTAAATTAGTTTAAGGAAACAGCTGAGAATGGTAATGCTCATTGTACTATCCCATAAAATGCTTAGTAAGAAAACCACCCATATTTCAATATCTTGAAATGTCTACATGGGAAGCCTCGAGTGTGCCAAGCTTCACTTGTATGTAACCCAGGAACTATTTGTATGTAGCATACCTGTGTTGTTATTTGCCATTGCTTTCTAGTACTGGCAACCTGGTATAGTACAGGAGTTGGCCAAAAACTTTTATAAAATGCTATAAATACTTTAACCTTCCAGGCCACATACTTATTTCTGTCACTTTTCTTAACCCCCCATCCCCCAATCTTAGCTCATGGTTCATTGAAAAACAGATTCTCAGCCAGATTTGGCCTCTGGTCCAAAGTTTGCTTACCCCTGATACAGTGGTTAAGAACATTGACCTTGAAACTAGACTTCCTGGGCTCAAATCCCAGGTCTGTTACATATTAGGTGTGTGATCTGGGGCAAATTCTTGAACATAAGTTCTTTAGTTTCCTCTTCTGCTAAATGATGATACTAATGTTACCTCCCTCATGGGGTTCTAGTAAGGATTAGTTAATTTAGTAAAGTACTTGACCAATGTGTAGAACATTCCAAGTGTTAGCACTATTATGAGGAACATTATTCCTTGCAACAGATTTGTAGGAGCTTTTGTAGGTTTTTGATTTGCTATTCAACAGTTATCCCCCACTTATTCCATGCCAGCAGAACCTTGATTTTGTTTCATTGTCTACCTAGAATTATTAGTTCACCCTAATTTTGAAAAATGTTTCCTGGCCAGTGAAATACTGAGAATGCTGAATGAGATTTGAGACAATACAATTTCATAATGATTAACAGATTTCATAAGACAGCCCTTTGATTTTGGTAGATGTTCTTATGTCTGCATGTGTGATTCTATCTTTTGGTCTTGAGGTAAGATCTGACAATAGCAGAACACAAAACTGGGAAGCAGTTGGATTGATGGTCTCTAGCAGGTAAATTAACCAACCTTGAAGCTTTATATGAGATAATAGTTTTTTTGGTCTCATTATACTGGTTTAGTTGGGATTTTCTGTTTCTTAGAGCTGAAGGTGGTTTAACCAACTCAGGCAACCTTTTTGAAGAATTATTAATTCAGAAATATTAACAGCAGTCTCTGGGGAGAATATGCTCTTAGGAAAAATTGATCATGGGTAGCTGTGTTTCAGCCCTAGAAATCTTCATGTGGCAAGCCTGATTCTTTGAAGTAAAGTTATTCACTATTCCATTGTAAGAAACAACGAAGCTCTGCTTCATTGCACTTTTTCATTGCATCAGCACAAGAAAATCACTTGGAAATTACCATTATCTCATGTATATCTTATATTTAAAATATGTTTACTAAGTTTAATTGTTCATTGATCTGTCCCTATGTTGTTGCTATGAGGTAAGGATTTAACTTTGTTTTCCCAAATGAATAGCCAGTTTTCTCTACACCATGTGATCAGTTCACACCTTTCCCACTAATTTGAAATACTATCTTCATGCTAAATGGTCATTTATGAGAGGTATTTCTCAGCACCCCATCCCTCTGTTCTTATAGTTACCAACCTGCCTTCATGACCTAAGGGATGGCAGATATTCCAGAGATTTCACATCCTTCTGGCTCAACATTTATTCCAGGGAAGGGCATTTAATCCAAGATGGGCCAATAAGAGTCTGTGGGTTTTTGTAGTAGGAGATCATCACATTCTGTCTGTTGGTGACCTTGGAACTGCCAGTAACCCTGTTGAGAAAATGTGTCTACATGAAAAAGTTACCATATGGACATTTGAAAGGCAGATGGAGTTGGGATGTTGCACAATCCAGGAAGCAATGACTCCTTTCTTCTAGATGCCCTAAAGGCCTGCACCATCATGCCATCTCGTTCTTGTGGTTTCATTATTAAGCCAACAAATACTAATATCCTGACATTTTATGTTTCTGACATTTGTTTCACTGATTTCTTTGTTTGTGCTCATACAAAAGGTAATGTTTTAGTATGTCTTTATAATACTTTTTTTTCCCCCAAGACAGAGTCTTGCTCTGTCATCCAGAGCTGGACTGCAATGGCATGATCTCAGCTCACTGCAACCTCTGCCTCTTGGGTTCAAGCAATTCTCCTGCCTCGGCCCCCTGAGTAGCTGGGATTACAGGCATGCACCACCATGCCAGGCTAATTTTTGTACTTTTAGTAGAAACGGGGTTTCACCATGTTGACCAGGCTTGTCTCGAGCTGCTGACCTTGTGATCCGCCTGCCTCAGTCCCCCAAAGTGCTGGGATTACAAGCATGAGCCACTGCACCCAGCCTATAATACTTTTAATAAAGAATAGCACTTTAGGCCAGGCACAGTGGCTCATGCCTATAATCCCAGCACTTTGGGAGGCCAAGGTGGGTGGATAGATTGAACCCAGGAGTTTGAGACCAGCCTGGGCAGCATAGTGAAAGCCTGTCTCTACAGAAAATTATCTGGGCCTGGTGGCTTGTGCCTGTAGACCTGGCTACTCAGTAGGCTGAGGTGGGAGGATTGCCTGAGCTCAGGGAAGTTGAGACTACAGTGAGCTGTGCATTGCACCACTGCCCTCCAGCCTGGGCAACAGAGCAAGACCCTCTTTCAAAAACAAAACAAAACAAAAAACCCAGCATTTTCTATTTCTTGAAGTTATTCCCCCCATATATTTTTGTTAAAGGTTTTATTTACTCCATTTGTTAGTTTCCCTCACCCCATACAAAAGTTTTGCATTCTGATTGGATTTGCATTACCCTGAGGTGTAAAAACTTTTCCTTGCTTTCCAAGATCAGGCCAGAATCCAGGGATTGGGACTCAGATTGCACCTGCTTTTCCCTCTTCTGGACAGCTCTGCTCCTCAGAACCACCTCAACATTACCAACTGGCTTGGGGTCAGCTCCCTGAGCCCTGATTTTGCCTCCTCCCTGCCTAGCGGTTCTTCCACAGCAGGTCTGTCTTCATTTCCAGCAAATGGAAGCCTCATCTGGACACCGATGCATCTCCAGGTTTTCTTTCTGTCTGCTTAAAAATGTCTTCAGGATGCCACAATTTGGGGTTATGTGTGATTCTATTCAGAGCAGATTTTCCCACTCTGAATGTGGAGACAATATTGAGCCTTTGGGCTCTAACCTCAACTCGGTATTTGCTTGTCTGACTGAGCAACATTCTAACCACTGCCTACCTGCCTACTAATCTTTACTAAAAAGGCTCTGTCTTGTTGGTTAGCTGACAGCTTTCACTAAGCCATCTATCTGACCATAGTTATCTGTGTGACTAACAGAGATGAATGGATTAAGGCCTTTTGCCAGGGTGAGTGTCTGGGTGATAATTTCTCTCCTCATTCTTCACAGCTCTGGAACACATCCCCTGCTCCTGCCTCCGCACCTTCTCCCATCTGGAACACATTAAGGGGTTTCATAAGCAGATGTAACTTAGCATACTTCCTGACCTAGCACCCAATGTATAGTTTCATGAACTTGTTCATATGTGAACTGCATGTTTCTGGGGAGTGTGTTGGTAGCTTCCATCATACTCTCAGAAGAGTCAGTAAACCAAGAACCACAGCACAAATGAGACCTTCAGAAAACTCTCAGATGGCTCAGACTGCCCCCAAACACCACTTTACTGCTTTTCTTTTTAAATTTATTATACTTTTTTACATGGGTCTAGCAACCAAAGGAATGTTTTACTGCTTTTCAAATCTGCTCTGAGAGCCAACTTTGAGAGTTGGAGTTGAGGATCAGGGCTGCATGTTAACCTTGTTGGCTGTGAGAAACCTGCACAAGTGGCTTCCAAGAGAGGTCCAAGGGAGTCCATCTGATCCTTCCTTGCCTAGTGGTCTCCTTTAGCACAGGACAGCAGAGCATTCTCTCTGTAGCTCATTCAGAACCCTTTCACTCTGAACTGAGAGATAAAGAATAAGATGTCAGATGTGTTTCTGCATTGGGATAAGTAAGGACAACGCATATCCTGTGGGAAGGATAGCTTTTACACCCAGAACTGTCTGAGATTTTACAGTTAAGCTACATCAAAAACATTAAAAACAGGGAAACAGAAATATCAAGTAAGAATGAATCTAGTAGAAATATCTCAAAAGATAATAACAATATGATTATATATTTGTACTTTGTGTTAATTATTTGTGAAATATTTTTCTTGCATGAGGCAATAGAGGCAACTCCTGCTTCTTTGAGCAGAATGAGAATTTAGTTTAAAGATATAGGGGAGAAAATAGAATAAGTACTGTGGCATTGGCTTGGAATAGGTGTTATTGTGAGTATATGACTTTCATTAAAATAAGAAATATGTAAAAGTGCAAATGTGGCTGCTTGTATGCACACATCCCAACTCTGTCCACTGAGGGGGCATGGTAGCGCTAATAAACTAGTAGTAATAAGCATAGCTGGTTTCTACATTTTGGTTCCCAAATGCCATTCTTTACTAAAAGAACCTGGTGTCCTTGAAGAAATAGCTGATTGCAGGACTGGGACAAGGAAATTACAAGATTAGCCTGAAATATTTTTTTGTGTGAAAAAGTAAAGAAGTGTTCACAGCATGATGAGACTGTCAAAAGTACACAGTTTAAAGCAACCTAAAGGGACCCCTATTGGCAGAATCTGGGACAGTGTAAGAATAATGATAGTAATGGACTGTAGAACATTGAGTAAAATAGAAATCCATAACTCTACACTAATACAAATGAATGAAGAGAAGAGAATGCTCTTCCTATCTGATAAATGCAGAAGGAATAATGGTACTAATAAATTACCATTTGGTTGTCATCACAGTAATGATTACTTCAGGCAAGAAACACGAGTGGATACCAAAATTAATGGAAGAAAGTGGAATGAGGAATCGTATTTGATATAGTCTCAGAGTATCACTCTACAACATTCTTAGTAATTCAAGGGTGAAAAAACAGAGTGGAAAACATAGCAAACACCGTTTTGATCAAGTGATCAAAGTTAATACCATCAGTAATTGATTAAATCAGCATCATGGTGCCTCCTGAGAGGACACAGTGGCAACTTGGCATCATTTCAGTGGCAATTCAGCCACAGGATACTCTGGGTCTACTTCTGAGAAAACATCAGACAGAGGAAAACTGAAGTATATTCCACAAAGTGACTGAGTTATTCTCAAAAACATCAAGGTAATCAAAGTGCAGGAAACTGAGGAACTGCTCCAAATTGAGGAACTGCTTTGGTTGTCTGATCTGGAGGAACTGCTCCAAATCAGACAACCGGGTAAGCCACACAACCCTGGATGGATTCTTTTCCTATAAAGGGCTTTATTAGAACAATTGGTGAAAGTTAAATTTGGTTTAGTATATTCTTGAGTTTTTTTGTGCTGTACTTACTACTTTCCTGAAAGTTCAAAATTGTTTCAAGGATACCACGGCAACTAGAAGGTGAAGGAGGAAATCCAAGAAAAAAGATTCACAGAGGGTGGAGTTCCAAATTCTGTACATAAAATCAGCTAGTATATCTAGCTGACATCTGAACTGCAAATTCCAACCAAGCCATCTTAGGCTGAAGAGATTTCAGCTGCTTTCCACGACCTAGTAGAAAGAGCTTGGAGTTTGAATCCAGACAATAAACTAACTACTGGAAGAGAAACTATCAGTAATATTTAGAGGAACAATATAGAACCCAGAGTCTCTACCATCTATCATACACAACGTCCAGAATCACTTTGCATATGAAGAAACAGAAACACATGAACCACATCAGAAGAAAAGACAATCAATGGAGACAAGTTCTGAGATGACCAAGATTTTCATGGAAAAGTTATTTTTTTGTTTGTTTGTTTTCTGAGTCAGAGTTTCACTCTTGTTGCCCGGGCTGGAGTGCAGTGGCATGATCTCGCCTCACTGCAACTTCCACCTCCCAGGTTCAAATGATTCTCCTGCCTCGGCCTCCCGAGCTGAGATTACAGGTATGTGCCACCACGCCTGACTAATTTTTTATTTTTTATTTTTAATAGAGACAGGGTTTCGCCATGTTGGCCAGGCTGGTCTCGAATGCCTGACCTCAGGTGATCCACTCGCCTTGGCCTCCCAAAGTGCTGGGATTACAGGTGTGAGCCACCACACCTGGTCAGAAAAGTGTTTTTTTTTTGTTGTTGTTGTTTTTTAAAGTGGCTTTTTTTTTTTTGGATGGAGTTTCACTCTTTTTCCCCAGGCTGGAGTGCAATGGCACAATCTCAGCTCACCGCAACCTCTGCCTCCTGGGTTCAAGCGATTCTCCTGCCTCAGCCTTCCGCGTAGCTGGGATTACAGGCATGCGCCACAACACCGGGCTAATTTTGTATTTTTAGTAGAGATGGGTTTTCTCTGTGTTGGTCAGCCTGGTCTCAAACTCCCGACTTCAGGTGATCTGCCTGCCTTTTGGCCTCCCAAAGCGCTGGGATTATAGGTGTGAGCCACTGCGCCCGGCCTAATGTGGCTTTTAAAACTGTGCTCGGCTGGGTGCGGTGGCTCATGCCTGTAATCCCAGCACTTTGGGAGGCTGAGGCGGGTGGATCACGAGGTCAGGAGTTTGAGACCAGCCTGACCAACATGGTGAAACGCCGTCTCTACTAAAAATACAAAAATTAGCCGGGCAGTGGTGGCACATGCCTGTAATCCCAGCTACTCAGGAGGCTGAGGCAGGAGAATTGCTTGAATCTGGGAGGCGGAGGTTGCAGTGAGCCGAGATTGTACCACAGCGCTCCAGCCTGGGTGACAGAGTGAGACTCTTGTCTCAAAAAAAAACACAACCCAAAAAACTGTGTTCAAGAACATATACTCATAATGTCATATATGACATATGTTCATAATGAAGGAGAAAATGAATGGGAAGTCCCAGCATAGAAATATAAATTACAGAAAAAACCACATGGAAATTATAGATCTAAAACATAAATTACCTAAAATAAAAAATTCACTAGATGTGGCCAAGTGCAGTGGGTCATGCCTATAATCCTAAACTTTTGAGAGGCTGAGATAGGAGGATTGCTTGAGACCAGAAATTCAGGGCCAACCTAGACAACATAGTGAGACCTTGTCTCTTAAAAAAAAAAGCCAGGTGTAGTGGTGTATACCTGTAGTTCCAGCTGCTCAGGAGGCTAAAGCAGGAGGATTGCTTGAGCCCAGTAATTGGAGGCTACAATGAGCTATGATCGTGCTACTGCACTCCAGTCTGGGAGACAGAGTGAGACCCTGTCTCTAAAAATAGAATAGGTAGGGTGCCAACAGTGGAGGAGTGTGCAGCTGCATAGAGGGGAAGCCTGACCCTTTCCCACCCATCAGAGTCAGATTTACCCAAAACACACGAGGCCATGAATACCACAAAGATCTGCATGGTGACAGCTCTTGGGCTCTTGTGCTGCTCTGGGCCACCTTTGTATTTGGTTTGCCTCGACCCTCTCCTCCCAAATTCTATCTGTGGAGGTCGCAGCCCCACATCTAAATAAGGACGGAAACATGTGGCATGCAAAACTGACTCGTTTCTATCAGTGCTGAGACACAGCACTGGATGAGAACTCCACAGAAATCATCTTTCTTTCATCTTGGCCTTTGCAGAGTCTCTGGCTAAGTGCAGACTCAGACCCAGCCCTACAGTGCAGGAACTGGGTCTGTGGGTACATCTCAGGGCTTGGAATTATTCCTGGCACCTAGCATGGATGGATCCTGCCAGGGAAAAAGGAAGAAAAAAAGCACACATCTAGTGACTGCTGTAATACAGCTTCTCAGGAGATCAGCTATAAATTTCACCCAAAGCTTAGGGGAAAATAATGGCTAATGGTAGGTAACATGGAGTACCTGCAACACTCTGTTATGGAACAAAGCTAAAAGGAGACTGCATGGTTAGCTTTCTTCTTAGACAGCTTGAGAGCTGAGTTCCTACAAGTTCTCCCCTTGATACATAACCTGCAGTGGGCACTAGAGGGCACAGCAGTGTCACTGTTCTGCTGCCTTCTGGACTTTCTAGAATGACAACTACAGCTCTGGAGAAAGGGGCACCCAACGTGGACCCAGATCCAGGTTTCCCCTGTGAGCTTTCAAGACCTGAAAAGGGTCTGAGATTTTACTCTCCTGCAAGCTAACTCCTGAGCCTGCCAGTTTCACAAAAGCTGGCAGAAGACATGAGACACCTGTGTCAGAGGACAACAATGTTATTACACACAGAAGCTGCCATAGTCAGAGTATCTGAATTTTGTGATGCCAGTTTGTCAAGCCCCACATGGTGATGGAAAAGACCAGATGATGTGGATGTGCAGTGGGTTGTGCTACAGGAGAGAAGCAGCGACCCTGAGCTTAGAGAACCTGGATCTTTTACACTGGCAGGAGGCATGACTGCCCTTTGCTCCTAGGGACACACTATCTCCACCTTCTAAGGCTGTTTGCTGCACAAACATCCTGGAAAAGAAAAAAGACTTTGTTCAGACAAGTCCTCAACAAAGACTTGCAGGAGACATGAGATATCTCTATCCAGGAGATGAGTAAAACACAAGAGATGCAGGCAGCACTGTCTTCAGACAGTGGCTGTGCTTGGAAGCAAAGGCCTTAGGGATAGTGACCCACTAGTGCACTTTATAGGAGCAGCTAAATGGCTCAGGCATTAGGAGCCCAAAAGGAGCCCAACCAGCATCCATGCAGTCACTCATCATTCAATAAACTTTGCTTGAGCACCACTGTGTACCAGGCATACAGCCCTGGTTCTACTCAAATTAGAGTCTTCACCTTACACTTTTGATGACAGCCTTCACAGTTATCTTTTATCTTTCCTCAAATCCTCTAAAAACATTCTTAATCTTTTTATGCATTGGGTCTCTTTGATAGCCACGTGAAGCCTAAAGACCCTTTCTCAGAATATTTTTAAACTATTAAAATACCTAAGAAAATAAAACACCTAAATTAGATAAAATAAATATGAAAATAAATAAGGAAAATATCTAATAAACTATTACTATTATTAAAAACCAGTTGTCAAATATTTTAAAAATATACAAAGTATATAGAATATTTTTAAAAACTTATTTGGGAATAGTCTACGTGCTTCTCTGAGCATTAAAATAAAAAGATTTAGTGGTGGGTCTGGTAACTACTATGACTTCAAAGTCGTGACGAGCATAAAGGATATTTAGAGGTCTGCTACACAACGGTAACTCCCGACTCTAGACTGGCCTCCATGTTTTGGAATAATGCCAATATTTCAGACAAATGTCCTCATTTGGGGTCTAGAGAATAAGACCCCTGCACATATGTAGAATCCCAGAGGATAGAGACCATCTAGGAAGAAGGTGGAGCTCGGCCAGCCTCTGTGTCACACCGTGGGAACAGCAACAGAAGTGTGCATGTGCACTTGGGTGAAGAAGGCAGCATCCGCATGGCCCAGCCCAGACCAGTGAGCAAAGACCCCATGAAGAAGGGTATGTCTTAGCAGAGGCCCCAAGGGCACATGAGGAGGAAGGGGGTGAACTGGACAGAAGGCGGGAGGCCCCAAGAGAAGAGCAGGAGTGGAATGGTGTGACGTGCCTGAAACTACAAGCTGCTTCAAGTCGCTACGTGGGAAGTGGAGGCTGGGAAAGGCCAGGGCCTGGAGTTGGACAGACCGGGCAACATCAGTCATTCCAACGGAGCCCATTGCCTGCTTTCTAGAATGTGGAAAGACATGGCCAGGCGCAGTGGTTCATGCCTATAATCCCAGGACTTTGGGAAGCTGAGGTGGGCAGATCACTTGAGGTCAGGAGTTCAAGACCAGCCTGGCCAACATGGTGAAACCCTCTCTCTACTAAAAATACAAAAATTAGCCAGGCGTGGTGGCACACACCTGTAGTCTCAGTTACTGGGGTCAGGAGGGGTGGGGACTGAGGCATGAGAATTGCTTGAACCTGGAAGGCGGAGGTTGCAGTGAGCCAAGATCGTGCCACTGCACTCCAGCCTGGGTGATAGAGCGAGACTCTGTCTCAGAAAAAAAAAAAAAAGACTTTCTTACTGGTTAGTAAATAGCAGCTGCCCCAGGGTCCCTATACTAACCCCACTTGCCCAGACAAGCACACTTCTCTCCCTGGACCCCCACCACTCCCAAACTCAGAAATTAAAAGACTAACTCCCAGGCCATTTGGGGACCCCTATGCTCTGCCCCAGCATGCATCTGCTCTGATTGATGAGTCTTCATGCTGCAGTGGCCTGCACACCCGGGGACCAGATGTGCTATGGAAGACAATGCACAGTCAGCTTTGCATGTTCAGGAAGTCACGCCAAGGCAGTAGGCTCACTTGGAGCTGCTTCCTTGGTCTTTAGCTTGAGCAGAAGGCTCTTAGCTGTGAGGATGGAAAGGCCCTGGCTGATGGAGTGTTCAGGAGTGTCCTCTGGTGGCCCTCCTGGACCACTGTAAGTTGTTCTCTGCTGTCAAGCATTAAGTTCAGCCTAAAGCTGCCTCCTTATGTGGTTTAAGCTCACTAAAAGATTTCTCCATGCACAGTGAACTGTAACCTAACAGGATGTGTAACAGGCTGGCACCTACAATTGTGATTGTACCAATCAGAGCTTCGGCCAATCACAGGTGGCTGACTGCTCAATCTGTGTTCAAAGAAGGCAGAGGTGGAGCTGTGACCAGTCCAGCTGTTTCTGTGCCTCACTTCTGTTTTCTGTCCCTCACTTTCCTTTTTCTGTCCCTAATATTATCCAACCATGGGGCAGCCGCAGAGTCTCTTAGAACCCCTTTCAGGTTCTAGGGGCTGCCTGGTTTGCAAATCATTCTTTGCTCAGTTAAACTGTTTAATTTTTCTAAAGTTTTTATTTTAATAGAAGTCAAATTGAAGAGCCAGCCTGCACACCCATGGTCTCCAGCATTTTCATGGTTCACTGCAGGACCGTGGGCTGACTTTGCCCTCCTGATCCTGCCCCTTTGCAAGGCTCAGATGAGCTTTCGTGAAGTTGGTGGGGTGGCGACCCTGCTGGTTCCCTTCTAAATGACAGCACATCTGCTGTAGCTGGGTCTCCCTGCAACAGAAGTCAACCCTTATCTTGGATCCCCAGCAATGAGCGTGGCCCGGGACTCCGGGTACTTCTGAGAACTCATCCAGGAACTACTTACCAGTTGGTTTCCCTGTGCATGTGATCAAGGTTCTGGCTTCAAACAGCCTCTTGGTTCATGTTTAAAAAACAGATGGAGAAGGAAATACCATTGAAGAGAAGTAGCAAGGGAAGAATAACCCTAAAGTAGTTGCCCTTCCCAGGGTAATGCAATAAGTGAAAACCCAGATAATTCAAGTATTTTATTTTAGTCAACATTAATTGAATATTTCTTTCAGACAGGAATTTGAGATTTTTTAGTTTTAAGTTTTTATTTTAGTGTAACTAGATTTGATGCAGTGCCTGGCATATAGTAGGTGCTCAATAAATTATTAAGGATAGTTCCAATAAGTTTACTGCACCTGTAAGTTAATAGAATTCAAGATATTGATATAATTATCATTAGATATCTTGGTGAAAAAACTGAAAACTCAGGTGTCAAGCAAAATCCTCAAGAGACTCTATACCAGCAACAAATTGGAAAGCAGTATTTAGTGAGAATAAATTTTCTGTGGACAATATGCCTATTAATAAATGTGCTAAGGGTGCATTTCTGTTTTTAAATGAGCAAAAATGTGTAAATGCAACTATTAGAAATGTAAAATGAATTGAAGAACAAGAAAACAGATGAAAGGAAAATAACTGCTATTGAATTAATAGATTGTATACCACTCCTAAAAGGAAACTATGTGTATCAGCCTGAAAATTTCCTTCAAAAATGGAAATGTCTCCTAAAGGAAACAGGACCAGGTATGCTGGACATCTGACCAGGTGTGGTAGGCACCTAACTCTGTATGCTAGACACCTAACCAGGTATACCGCACACATGACTAGGTATGCTGGACACCTGACCAGGTGCAGTAGACACCTAACTTGGTATGGTAGATACCTGACCAGGTATACTGCATAACTGACTAGGTATGCTGGACACCTAAGAATGCTTTATCCTGACGGACAAGAGATCATTCCCTGGAGTCAATCTTCCTTCTCAGGGCATTTAAATTGTGTTTCTAAGTTGGTAAGATATTTTCCACATAACTTCAGAAAAATCTCAAATGATAATAATGGCTATTATTTATTAAGCATTTGCTATGTGCCTTGCTCTGAGCTAAATGTTTAACATACATTCTTTTGTTTAATGCTCACAATACTTATGTGGAATAATTTTTTTCAAATGGGGAAACAGATTTAAAATTGGAAAATAATTGCTTAAATTCCCATGAATAATAATAAGTTCATCTGAGCACAGGTGTGTCCCATGTCCGACTCTTAGCTCTGTCACCTCCTGTCCCAAACAATGTCACTGGTTTGAGCCCACAGTTACTTACACCTGCGTAACAAGACCATAAATAAGAATATCTTGAAATATACAACAGCAGGCAATCTGGGGGGCTTGTGTAAGCAATTCTGCAAATACTTGGAGTGAAGAGGCAGTAGTCATTGGTGGCATCATGCCACAGGTAAGCATTTAAATGTTAGAGATGCTTTCATTTGATTGGTAAAGCAATATTCTCAAACTTGATCTCATACACCATGCTAATACATCTCTAGATCAGTATACCTGTAGGTCAGTGGCACAGATGTCCAAAGTGTGCTTTAATAAAATGCAAACACTGAGTGTATTTTTGAGGCTGGAGTTGTGTATTCCTCTTTGTGAGAAAAGCAGGAATTTTTTTTCTCATTAGTGCTTGAGGCAAGCTTGAAATACAAGTTAATAGGACTCAAAATTATCTCCATCTAATGTTTTTAAAGGCAATCTTCTTTAACGTAATCAGAGGAAAATAGTATACTTCGGAGACCAAAAAAAAGTGGCATATCTTAGATCAAAGGTTTTTCCTGGTGATTGTGTTTGATTATCTTTTAAAAATATGCATAAGAGTTTCTAGAATGCAGCAATTGGATTTTTTACTTTCTATACTTCTAATTCTGACTTTTATATCATAAGACAATTGGTGTGTCTGTTTATAATGATGGTAATCCAGAAGGGCGAGACTATATTTTCTTAATTTTTCATGAATACATTTATTTCTAGAACTGTAACTAAGGTTTTTCAATAGCTTCACTGAGAACACAGCATGCTGCTGGCTGGTCCCCAAGTTTCTGGTGCCTTCTCAGTCTCATTTATGAGAAGATAAAATGAGAAGTCCTACGCACCCAAGCATATGATCCTGGTGTATGTGTGCTTTGAAGAACAGCAAAAGTCCAGGAAAGGTAGGACTTTGCATACAAATGTGGAAGGTCTGTTGAATGAGGCTTTTCTCTAGGTGGTACAAAGAAATCCCCTGTGAAAATACCTGATATTCACACAAAGGGCTTGGTATGGGCCCAGCCTGTGGTGCACCTGGTAGGGAACAGTATTACTGTCAATATTGCACCTGAACAAAGTCATGCACTTCCATAGATGGATGTCTCAGGATGGCTGCTGTCATCTACACAGAGCAGAACTTGAATAAAAATAAGACACGGAAATTGAGAAGTATCTGTGGGCATGGCTTTGGGGCCAAGGGCAGTGGGGTCTGAAGGATGACCATAAAGATGGCTGCCTGGGAGACAGACTAAGTAATTAATAAGCTCGCCAAGGTTGCCCCACATGCTACAATGATTTGCTTGATTTTGAGCTGTAGGAACAGGAGGCTGCCACGATGAAATGCCACAGGCTGGGTGGCTTGAACAACAGAGGTTTATTTTCTCACAGCACTAGAGGCTGGAAGGCCAAATCAAAGTGTCCTCTGGTGATGGTTTCTTCCTGGCTTGCAGATGACAACCTCAATGTGTGCTCACATGGCAGAGAGAGAGAGAGAGAGAGAGAGAGAGAGATGGAAACAGAGATAGAGATGGAGAGAGACAGAGACAAAGATGGAGGCAGAGACAGAGAGACAGAAACAGAGATGGAGACAGAGAAAGAGAGAGACAGGGACCAAAATAGACAAAGACAGCTAGATGGAGATGAAGATAGAGATAGGGAGAGAAACAGAGAGAGACAGAGAGATACAAAGATGGAGAGAGACAGTGATGAAGAGAGGAGACAGAGCAATCTCTTCCTCTTCTAAATACTCCAGTCCTGTGAGAATTAGGGCCCCACTCTTAGGACCTATTTACCCTTAATGACCTCTTTAAAGATCCTGTCTCCAAATACAGTCCCATTGGTGTTAGGGCTTTAACTTATGAATCAGGGGGACACAGTTCAGTCTGTAACCAGGGGCAAGGGGACACAGCCATCCACACTGAATTCCTTGTTCTTCAGCACTGTTCCTGCCCCCAATCTTGATAAATTGAGGACCCTCCCACACAAAAAAAACACCTTGAATGTCACAGAGAGACTCTTTATGCTGCATTATATTTACTAAGTGGTAGCTCCTTTTGAAAGGAATGATTCACTCTCTCTGTGGGAACACCCTAAATACACAAGGGGCAGAGCCTAAATACAAGAGGGAAACGGAGAGAACAGGCTGGTGTCAGCTTCCTCTGTATGGTGTCCAAGGCTGCCGCTCTGGCTCTGGCCAGCTCATCAGAATTGGGGCCGTAGCTTCAGAAAGATGAGACGTGACTGTCCCCACCTCTGTGCTGGCCCCAGAGTCCTCAGGATCAAGCCTGCCAGCTGTTGCTCTGCCCCAGCAGAACCACGCAAAAGGGCATTGTCCACATGCTCACCATACACAGAGGATGTGGGGGTGCTGAGGGTGAGGCACGACTAGGAAAGTCATGCCCTCAGATGATACTGAGTCATGAGACCTCGATGGGACCCAGGGCACCTGTCAGAGGCTGATGCCCTGAGAGAGGAAGCAGCGTACCCACGGGAACAGGGCCAAAGTGCTAAGGCTTGGACTCACTAGTCAGGCCCCTCTCACAAGGGGAAAAGAAGACCCATAACAGGGCAGTGTAGAGCAGCAATGTTATTTCTAAAAGAATAAGTTCAGGCCAGGCATGGTGGCTCACACCTGTAATCCCAGCATTTTGGGAGGCTGAGATGGGAGGATCCCTTGAGGCCAGGAGTTTGAGACCTGCCTCAACCACATAGCAAGACCTCATCTCTACAAAAAAAAAAAAAAAAAAATTAAAAAATTAGCTGGACGTGGTGGTGTGTGTCTGTGGTCCCAGCTACTCAGGAGGCTGAAGCAGGAGGATCACTTGATGTTGGGAATTGAAGGCTGCAGTGAGGATGATTGTGCCATTACACTTCAGTCTGGTTGACAGAGTGAGGCCCTGTCTCAAAAGAAATAGGAAAGCAAAGAAAAGAAAGAGTAACTTCAGGACCTTCAGAAAGCTTTCAGATTTGGTCTTATATTCAGCAACCAGATGGGCACATTGCAGTGGCATCACACAGTTTTACCATATGTGTTACTGACCTCCCTGGCCACATAGGATTATGTGAGCAGTTTTGCTGGAATACAGAAACCCAATCTCAACCTGGTAATTCAATCCTGTTAAGTGGGGCAATAAGAACAATGACAGATGGAAATTGATTCAGCAAGGATCTACTTTACAGTGAAAATGCTGGGCATGCAAAAACGCACTCGGAGGGGACCTGAGGTCAGTTTATTAACCACGGCAACACGTTTGTTACAGACCTCATGACACTGATGCTGCTCACAAAGGTAAGGGACTCGGAAAGAGCAAGGCTTGGGCAAAATGATAATAGGGAGAAAAACAGGCTTCAGAAGCTATGCCTATCCTTGACTGCAGACCTTGACAGTGTTTTCTCTAACAGGCTGACTTAGAGTAGTGTTTTATGGCAAACTGAAGTTGAATGGCAAAACAAGTCAACAAAGTGATGGGCGTCAGACCTTAAGAGGCAGCAAGTGGTAACAACACAAAACAGGCTCCCACTCTGGCACAAGACCCAGTGAACTGTCAGGGAATCCCAGGTGCCCCTGCAGGATCTGTCTCATGGCAGGCAGAGCACATCAGCGGGGCCAAGGCCCAGGTGAACTGACCAAGGGGAGGTATGGACTTTCCAGGGATAGGGACATGGTTAGGACCCATCCATTGGAAAGATAAATGATGGAAGAGCACTCGAAAGAAGTCTCTGAATTGTTCAGAGTGTAAATTTGGTGAAGGAGGGAATTTTAGATTTAAAAGCGAGGTGGGTAAATACCTTTCTATGCCATAGAAAAATGGTAAAGTTCATTATTACAGGTATAAGATAAAAGTACAGATATTCTTAAAGTGTGTTTGTGTAAAATAATGCAAGATTACTCCACAACAGATTCTCATGACAGTGTTTAGGATTTTGAAAAGTTAGGAGAAAGAAAATGTAATCAATACAGACAGTTCTTGATTTATGCTGGTTCAACTAGCAACTACATCAATAAATGACTTGAGATGTTTAACACCTTATTATAAAATAGGCTCTGTGTTACATGACTGTGCCCAACTGTATGCTAATTTAAGTGTTTTGAGCACGTCTAAGGCAAGTTAGGCTAACCCATGAAGTTCTATAGATTAGGTGTATTAAGTGCATTTTCAACTTACCATATTTTCTTTTTCTTTGTCTTTCATTTTTTTTGAAACAGAGTCTCGCTCTGTTGCCCAGGTTGGAGTGCAATGGCGCAATCTGACTGTATGCAACCCCCACCTTCTGGCTTCAAGTGATTCTCCCTCATCAGCCTCCCGAGTAGCTGGGATTACAGGCCTTCATGCCCAGCTAATTTTTGTATTTTGGTTGAGATAGGGTTTCACCATGTTGGCCAGGCTGGTCTTGAACTCCTGACCTCAGGTGATCAGCCTGCCTCGGCCTCCTAAGGTGCTGGGATTACAGGCATGAGCGAGCAAGCCCAGCCTTCAATGTACCATATTTTCAATCTGCAATGGGTTTATCAGGACATAACCCCATCATAGCTCAGGGGCATCTGTTCTGGACTAGACTACCCTTTGGTTGCCATGACATCCTGAGGCCCCCTTAGCATCACAGCAGAAAACAAACTACTTTAACTGGGCGTTATATCCAATTCTACAGTAAGATGTGGCCAAAGTGTTAGAACCAAAATGGTATGTAAATTGCATAATCCCATGTGCAAGACAGGATTCTAAGAACCAGCTTCTAATTCATCAGTGACACATATGGTAGTCACACAGATGTAGATTTATGATCAATTGGGGATTTATGAAATACTTCTTCTTCCATAATCTTTTTTCTTCTGCAGTGAGCCTCACTCTCTTCATTCATCCTTGGGTTGTACATTCCTTTTTCTCTTAAAGAAGTTCTAATATTTTCTTTGTTGTCTTCATAATACTTTTAACAGAACATGACCCCAGAGTTGAAGGCAGTAAAGAGTCGGTCAACATCTGTCCTAGGGAAGAATGACTGGATTTCCCTGTGCTAGAATTTCTATAGAAGGGGTCCACCTGGAGAACATGCTCACCCTCTCCCATGGAACCTTTGATTCTGTGGCAGTGCCCTGTGTGTATGGGCCACTCTTCACTGCCACTCCAACAAGCAGCAAGGTTTCCAGGGCAGCAGATTGCTTCTAGCAAACACCACTAACACCTTCCCAGGACTCCAACAACCAGCAGGTGAAACATCACTTGCTGCTGCTGCTGCTGTCCCCATTGTCCTTGCTGTGGTTCATCTGGGGTGAGCAGCAATCTACTTAGGAAGTTTGTTTTTGTCTCACTGTATGAAATTCTCACCAGAATCCCTTGTCTATTGTTAGCTACACACCCTGGTGGGTCCTTAGAGCACTGGTTTCTGACAATATAATAATGTGATTAAACCTATTTGACCCTCTTCTCAGAAAAAATCAATACGGATATATACACATGCAATAAAAATTTGCAGCTAATGTTAGGAAGTTTAAAATCCACTGAAGCTTGAATGATTCTAAAGATTTCTGCACTACAAAAATTTGGGAAATAAAATTTAACCCCCTACAAACACTTTTGGAAATTTTTTTCTAAGGCGTTTGTTTGGACTAACAGATTTCAATAAGCTGGTTGCTACTTATGTGTCTATCTTCACTCCCAACATTGTCTTGAGGGTGTTAGAACCACCTTCTGTTAAGAATTACATCTGTGAGCAATGCACAACTATTGAAATATTGACTATGGTTGCCGTCATACATGTTATATTGCTCACAACATTGATTTGACTTTGGAACATGTTTGTGTCCCAGGGAACAGGTCTATGCCTCCTTTGGCTTTGGCTTTCTGCAGCCAAATCTCCATGGCCATAGGGTTTTCAGGCCTCTGCTTATATCCTTAAGATAGTCTCAGGCTGAGAGCCAAAAACTTTGTGGGGGAAAGTTAGGTCATTAACTAGCAGGAGTTTTGAAAACAGTTCTCCCAACCTAAGAAAGTGTGATTATAAATACTATTCTAGAACAGTTTACATGCCTGCATCCTGATAGAGATTAGGCCTTTGTGTGTTTTTAAGACTACAGTCTCACTTAATGATATATTTGTTTTTAATAAAACTCGGTAAATATATTATCTCAGCATCTCCAGAGGATATTATTTTATAATTTGCTGCATTTGGATTCTAAATATTCTTCTTATTGTCCAGAAGAACAACAACAAAGAAAACTTTTATTAGCAGAGAGAAAATAAGACGGATAATCCTTGCCTTCCTGGAGGTTCTGTAAGTCAGACTGGCCTGCCCTGTGAGGACAGCATTCTTTCCTCTTTATCTTCTTTAATGACTGCTCTGCTAATCACACCTGACTCCTGTTATCAATCCTGTGGTTGTATCTTTTCAGGGTTTTTACTGTGGTCAGAGGTTTCCAGATACTCTATTATTATTATGAAAAAGAAGCATTGTCATTATCGGACCTAACTTGGGACACAGAACAATGAACAATTTTTCAAAAGGAAGGAATCTAGCAGATATTCAGCTCTTGTATCTTTTTACTTTGCATCCTGAGAAAAGGCATCTACCTCGGTGACAGGAATTCAAGGGAAAAAAAAAAAAACCCTGAAAAACAGACACAGAGTCTTTGGGACACTGAGAGGTTGGCCACTGTGTGTCTTCAGTCATGCTTTGCATTATGCCACACCAGGACTCTTGCGTCCTTCTGGATCCATTTGGATGTCACGTAATTATTTGCAAGGATCAAGGTTGTCACACATGGGCTATTCACTTGGAATCTTTTGAAGAGCAGAGCAATATTGCATTGTAGACTTCATGGCAAATATTTTTCAAAAGCAATGTGTAGGTTCATCTGTGCTTATATATCCGACACTTTATTCACATATGGGTTGAGAGCTTGTATACTACGTTAAATATGAATTACATGAGGGATATATTCAAGGTACTTGAGAAGCTTGCTCTGCTGCTGTCTAATAAAAGGCCACTCCTGACTTCTTATGCAGGACAGTGTAGATGTGGCTTTCTATGAAACAGCATGTAGGTATTGCCATGTCTGTGTGAATATCAGCCATTGCTACAACCAGGAAGTTCATAAGCACATGCGCTTTCTGTAGGAGATTCAGCTTTGAGCTCTTTTCTCTGCATTAATCACAACCTTCTCTGGGCTTTCACAGCACTTGACACACATACTAATACTGCAACAGTTAACAGTTTCTTAGTGATTATCACTTTTTACACAGCGACTCTCTCACCCTCCTGCTGGAATGAAAGCTACTGCAGGGCAGAAACCAACTTATTTATGTCTGCATTTTCAGAGCTCAGCACATGGCATGCCACCCCCCCCCCATTCCATGTCCTCAATAAATGTTTACGGAATGAATTAACACAGAAACGGAAAACCAAATATCACATGTTCTCATTTATATATGGGAGCTAAGCATTGAATACATAGGGCATAAATAGGGCAACAGTAGACACTGGGAACTCCAAAAGAAAGGAGGGATGGAGGGGTAAGGCTTGAAAGACTTCCTATCAGGTACTGTGCTCAGTGTATGGGGATGGGATCAATAGAAACCCAAACCCCAGCATCACAAAATACACCCTTGAAACAAACCTGCACATGGATCTCCTGAATCTAAAATAAAAATATTTTTAAATTAAATTAATATATTTTAAAAATTTATATGGCCGGGCGTGGTGTCTCAAGCCTGTAATCTCAGCACTTTGGGAGGCCCAGACAGGTGGATCACCTGAGGTCAGGAGTTTGAGATCAGCCTGGCCAACATGGTAAAACCCCGTCTCTACTAAAAATACAAAAATTAGCTGGGTGTGGTGACTGGTGCCTGTAATCCCAGCTACTCTGGAGGCTGAGGCAGGAGAATCACTGGAACCCTGGGGGTGGAGGTTGCAGTGAGCCGAGATTGCACCACTGCACTCCAGCCTGGGCGACAGAGTGAGACTCCATCTCAAAAAAATATATATTAAAAAAAAAGTATTCTAGGACGGACACAGTGGCTCATGCCTATAATCCCAGCACTTTGAGAGGCCGAGGTGGGAGGATCACTTGAGTCTAGTTTGAGATCAGCCTGGCCAACATGTTGGAACCCAGTCTCTAAAAATACAAAAATTAGCCTGATGTGGTGGTGCACCCCTGTAATCCCAGCTACTCGGGAAGCTGAGGCACTGAGCACAGGAGGTAGAGGCTGCAGTGAACCGAGATTGTGCCACTGCATGCCAGCCTTGGCAACAGAGTGAGACCCTGTCTCAAAAATAAATAAATATTCTGAAGCATAAAAATCCTAAAACATATCATTCTTGACAGAAGCAGAGAAAGTTCCCAGGAACAAAAGGTTATCATGAAAACAATTATTGGAAGAATGAACAAATAAATGAAATGTAAACTGTCTTCCTGTGGTTCAAAACCACACCTGCCCCATGTCTGTTAGTTAAGCGTGGGAGGTCGGCACATCCTCTAGGGCCACTCACTGGTGCGAGCCTCTTCTTGCAAACTGTGCCACAGATCAGGCTGGCATCCACAACAGCCCGCCTGCCCTTGGATCCTCTTCTCACCCAGTGTTGCTCTGATTTTCTGGTTGTTTATTTGAATGTTTCTGGGATGCTGTATCTCCCTCATGGTCCCTGCCCTCCCCGCCCCCACTGGCTTTGCCTCCCCCAGTCCCCGGGGTCCCGGCACAACTCTGTCTTCCAAGTTGTGATGGGGAAATCGAGTAGAGAACTCAGACTGAGCTGTGTCCTGCAGACCTGATCTTCACCCCGAGTGATTCCAGTGTTGTCTACGTGGCCGTGGGGGCTCCAGGTATTTGCCTGCCACGCAAATCATGACGGGGGCCACCTGCCTTTTGACCCTGAGTCTGCAGCTGCTGTCCCCTCTCCCCAACCTTGCTCCGAGGTCACAGTTGTTTTCCCCAGGCTCTCGGAAGGAAAGTCCCGCTGATGAAGTGAAGGGACTGTGGCTCATAGCAGAAAGAAAACCCCTAAATGACGCTTCTTGATGCAAACACGTTCCATGTGGCATGGCTCACCATGCCAGGATTCCATCCCAGAATGGTGCGTCCTCACTCGGCATCACTGTGAACTTCCCACAGGCCCAACCCAGGACCCCTGGCCCCAGCGCCTAACAGGTGCTCCCTCTGCAGATTTCTCCACCAAGAGGTGTAAACTGAAAAAATAAAATTCTAAGCTCCCCAACTGACCGGGCAGAACCCCTCTTGGCCAAGGGTACCCCAGGGAAACCTTAAAACTGACTTCCCAGCCATGTTGGCATGGAAGGTGGGACACGCCTCATTATACCTCACCCTTTTGGGGTTTAGACACAACTGACCAGGAGTAATGTCAGAACAAAGACAAGACTGATGGAGGAGACTCTGTGGCAATAAGATACCAAAATTATACACAGGGCCTAAGGCTGCACCAGGCAAGGGTTAAGACATGCACCCTACACTGTGCATGGAGTAAACTGTGTTCTAACTCTCACAAGATTTTTCTATTTCTCTGGCAGCTAAACAAGCCCTGGCCTCGAGATAAACAGTGTTGCAGCAGCAACAGCTCACCAAATAGCAGACGCGGCCTAACTGAACCCCATTCCACTAGCCACGACTACAGCTTTGATTTAGACAAGAGACTGAGTGACTTTCTCCTGATAAAAAGACCCCCAACCATGGACTGGCTCCAGCCACTTTACCAGAGGCTGTGCCCTTGAGTGCTTTGGTGTCCTGAGACCTTTTGATGTATATAGCCCAACTGTAACACATTTAAGTGTTAGGTTTCCATCCCAAAGTGAACTTGGTTTATATGTAACATGCATGTTTGTCCATCATGCATGTCCAGGACCCCATTCCTGAGTATTCATAGCTCCTCCTGTAATGCGTTGAATATGTGTGCTTGAATCCATTCAGCATGGATCCCTGTGCCACACTCCCCTCCCTCACAGTTCTGCCTAGAAGGCTCTGGGGTGGGCTACGCTTCCCAGCCTATAGGGATGGCCACCTTGCAGCCCATAAACCTTTGAGGAAAATTTCCTTTTTAAATATGTAGGTTGTGTGACTTTTAGTTAATGAAGTTCTTGAAATCTCTCTTTCATTTTTTAATAAACATGCTATTCCACGCAAGGCAGTAGAAGAAGTGAACAAGACCTCTGTCTTATTTAACATAAATTCTTTTATGTTAAACTTTAAGGAACATTCAATCCAGTGAGGGTAAACAGGCAGAGAAGCTGGCAAGTTCACAGGCAGTGCTAAGTGCTAAATAAAAGAGCCCTCCCTCGGTCAGACCCCCTGTAATGCACAGGGCCAATGGACAGCTGGGGCCAGGCACTACCCAGTGCATCTGGCTTCCTGGAAAGTGGGCTTTATGCCTTGGCAAGCTACAAGGATCCTGTGCACAACCAGCTACCTGGGGCCCCTTCCCTCCAAAAGAATCAACTATTCTGGTTGATTAAGGATGTCTTATTCACGTCTATGCTTTCAACCCCAAACAAGCCACCGGGCACACAGTAAGTGCTTGTTATTATTTATTTATTTGAGATGGATTCTCACTCTTGTTGCCCAGGCTGGAGTGCAGTGGTGCGATCTCAGCTCACTGCAACTTCCGCCTCCCGGGTTCAAGTGATTCTCCTGCCTCAGCCTCCTGAGTAGCTGGGAGTACAGGTTCCTGCCACCACGCCTGGCTAATTTTTCTACTTTTAGTAGAGACGGGCTTTCACCATGTTGGCCAGGCTGGTCTTGCACTCCTGACCTCATGTGATTCACCCACCTTGGTCTCCCAAAGTGCTGGGATTACAGGTGTGAGCCCCCGTGCCTGGTCTTTATTTTGTTTTTTAAGACTTGCAAGCATCAGTTTATGATCAGATGGGACAAAACTCCAATTAATCAGTGCCTCATTAGCAGGATGGTAGCCTTGAGCTTAGGGAATGAGGCTGCAGCCATGAGTCCTGACAACTGGGGACCACTTGCCACTAGGCCCGGAGAGTTTCCAGTGGGCTCTTAGAAGGTTATAAGGGAGCCAGAAGCAGCTAGCCTCCTGGGCCAGAGTGAGCATCTTTGACTCAGTGGGTGTCCTGAAGCATAGTTGAGACCACACGCATGACTCATTCATCCTCAGCCTTCCAAAAACAAGCCCCACATATGCCTCTGTGCACTGTGATTTGCAGCCCCATTTACTTTTCTGTCTTTGCAGTTCTCTGTCTGCCTTACCTGCTGGTCCCTGCGAACTGCCCTCACCTCCCTGCCCACCTGCTAACCACTGCAACCTTAATCCCCACTCCAATCCCAGCCCAAACACACACACATGCCTGACCTTCCCTGGCTGCAGTGGGGATCCTGCAGCCACACTGGGCAGGCTAGGCCCGCATGTGTGTTTGTGCTTCACTTTGCCCCTTGACATTGATGCAGGCGACTGTCTATTCTGTGTGTTTGCTGCCTGCATGTCTGTGAGAAAGTTGCCCCAGTTTCTACTAGAACTAAACCCAGCCAATTTCCCATCAGGCTGGGAGAGGCCTCCAGGTTCAGGAGGAGCTAAGGGGGTACAGAAAAGCTGTGGGAACTGGCTTGATACCCACCCCACATCTGCCTGCATCTCTGTGGTCTCTCTGCTGCTGCTTCAAGGCCAAGCCATGCTTCTCCAGCCTGGTACAGCTGTACGTGAGGGCTGCCATCACAAAGCACCACAGACAGGAGGTTTAAACTGCAGAAATGTCTTTCTCACAGTCCTGGAGGCTGCAAGTCTGAGATCACGGTGTGGGAAGGGCTGGTTCTGTGTCCAGAATTGGTGGGTTCTTGGTCTCACTGACTTCAAGAATGAAGCTGTGGACCCTCGCAGTGTGTGTCACAGTTTTTAAAGGCGGCATGTCCGGAGTTTGTTCCTTCTGATGCTCAGATGTGTTCGGAGTTTCTTCCTTCTGGTGGGTTCGTGGTCTTGCTGGCTTCAGGAGCGAAGCTGTAGACCTTCGCGGTGAGTGTTACAGCTCTTAAAGCAGCCCGTCTGGAGTTATTCGTTCCTCCTGGTAGGTTCGTGGTCTCGCTGGCTTCCGGAGTGAAGCTGCGGACCTTTGCGGTGAGGGTTACAGCTCATAAAGGCAGTGTGGACCCAAAGAGTGAGCAGCAGCAAGATTTATTGCAAAGACCAAAAGAACAATGCTTCCACAGTGTGGAAGGAGGCCCCAGCGGGTTGCCACCGCTGGTGCAGGGAGCCTGCTTTTATTCTTTTATCTGGCCCCACCCACATCCTGCTGATTGGTCCATTTTACAGAGAGCCGATTGGTCCATTTTACAGAGAATTGATTGGTCCATTTTACAGAGAGCTGATTGGTCCGTATTGACAGGGTGCTGATTCGTGCGTTTACAATCCCTGAGCTAGACACAAAAGTTCTCAACGTCCCCCCTGGATTAGCTATATACAGGGTGTCGACACAAAGGTTCTCCAAGTCCCCACCAGAGTAGCTAGATACAGAGTGTCCATTGGTGCATTCGTAAACCCTGAGCTAGACACAGGGTGCTGATTGGTGTGTTTACAAACCTTGAGCTAGATACAGAGTGCCAATTGGTGTATTTACAATCCCTTAGCTAGACATAAAGGTTCTCCAAGTCCCCACCAGAGTAGCTAGATACAGAGTGTCGATGGGTGTATTCACAATCCCTTAGCTAGACATAAAGGATCTCCAAGTCCCCACCAGACTCAGAAGCCCAGCTGGCTTCACCCAGTGGATCCCGCACGGGGGCCACAGGTGGAGCTGCCTGCCAGTCCTGCACCATGCGCCCACACTCCTCAGCCCTTGGGTGGTCGATGGCACTGGGCACCTTGGAGCAGGGGGCAGCGCTCGTTGGGGAGGCTCGGGCTGTGCAGGAGCCCATGCAGCGGGGAGGCTCAGGCATGGCAGGCTGCAGTTTCCAAGTCCTGCCCCGTGGTGAGGCAGCTAAGGCCCAACGAGAAGTCCAGCACAGCAGCTTCTGGCCCAGGTGCTAAGCCCCTCACGCCCTGGGGCCAGCAGGGCCGGCTGGCTGCTCCAAGTGCAGAGCCTGCTGAGCCCACGCCCACCCAGAACTCGTGCTGGCCACAAACACCATGCGCAGCCCTGGTTCCCACCCGTGCCTCTCCCTCCACACCTCCCCGCAAGCTGAGGGAGCCAGCTGCAGCCTTGGCCAGCCCAGAAAGGGGCTCCCACAGTGCAGTGTCAGGCTGAAGGGCTCCTCAAGCATGGCTAGAGTGGGCGCCAAGGCCGAGGAGGCACCGAGAGTGAGCGAGGGCTGCCAGCATGCTCTCACCTCTCAGTTCCTCCTGAGGCCTATCCCTGTGGCTTGACACGGCATCTTCTCCCTGCGTCTTCACAGGATTGGCCCTGTGTATGTCTGTGTCTGAATCTCCTCTTCTTATCAGTATATCAGCCCTATGGATTAGGGACCAGCCAGATGGCGTCATTTTACACTAATTATCTTTTTAAAGACCGTATCTCCAAATACAATCATAATCTGAGGTCCCAGGAGTTAGGGCTTCAAAGTAGGATTTCCTGGGAAACACAATTCAGCTGTCAAATGATCCTTCAGTGTTGCCTTTGACATGGACTAAATGTTTGCATCCCCCCAAAATTCATGTCAAAGCCTAAACCCCTAATGTGATGGTATTTAGAGGAGGGGCCTTGGGGAGAAAATGAGGGTTAGATGAGGCTAACCTCATAAGGTGGGGCCTCATGGTGGGATCACTGCTCTAAAAGGAAGAGGAAGGGGGTAGAGCCCTGACTCATACTCTCTGTCCCTCTCTCTCCCACCTCCCTCACTGTCTCTCTTACTCTCTCCCCTTGCCACTCTCCCTCTTTTTCTGTCCCTCTCTCCCTTGAACTCTCTCCCCCCTCCCCCTCGAACTCTCTCCCCCCTCCCCCTCACTCTCCCTTCGACACTGTCTCTCTCCCCTCACAACCCCCTCTCTCTCCCTCCTCTCTCTCTCCCCCTCTGACACTCTCTCTCCCCCAACCCCCCTCTCTCTTCCTCTCCCTCTGCCATGAGAGGACACAGTGTGCCATGAGGGCACACTGAGGAGGTGCCCTCTCTAAACTGGGAAGGGGCCCTCATCAGGAACCTAATCTGCCAGTGCCTTGACCTTGGACCTCAGCCTCCAGAACTGTGAGAAATCCACATTGTTGTTGAAGTCACTCAGTCTTTGGTATTTTGTCATGGTAGCCCGAGCTGACCAAACCAGCCAAGCACCTCTTAAGTAATGATTTCCACACAGAAAATGAGCCCTTCTCAGAGCCCCAATTAGCCCTAACATGATTCACCTGAAACATTGGTGATTCCAAACCCAAATAATGAGAATCAACTGAGCTTCAGATTGTGTTTAATTGCCAAAGAACAAACAAGAAAATGAAATATTCAAAAAGAAATTAATGTTTGAATTATTTTAATAACTCATGTATATCCAATTAGCTAGATTTTTACATTTTCAAATAAATGTTTACTGCATATGCACCCAATGGAACTATATTCCTAATATTTGGGGAGTTGTATACAAGACAATTTTAAAAGATCTCTTTAACAACACCTCATTTTAGAGAATGTGTCACATAATTAAACAATATCACTGTGCTGGGGGCAGTGTGGTTTGCCAGTGTCACAATGACATGAGAACAAGTTCATCCTTATTTTTTAATTTTTAGTGTTTTTGAGAGTGAGTCTCACTCTGTTGCTCAGGTCAGAGTGCAGTGGTGCGATTTCAGCTCACTGCAACCTCCATGTCCCAGGTTCAAGTGATTTTCCTGCCTCTGCCTCCAAGTATCTGGGATTACAGGCGCGTTCCACCATGCCTGGCTAATTTTTTTTTTTTTTTTTTGAGACGGAGTCTCACTCTGTTTCCCAGGCTGGAGTGCAGTGGCGTGATCTTGGCTCACTGCAACCTCTGCCTCCTGGGTTCAAGCGATTCTCCTGCTTCACCCTCCTGAGTAGCTGGGACTACAGGTGCGAGCCACCATGCCTGGGTAATTTTTGTATTTTTAGTAGAGATGGGGTTTCACCATGCTGGCCAGGCTGGTCTTGAACTCCTGACCTCGTGATCCACCCACGTCGGCCTCATCTAGCCTAATTTTTGTATTTTTAGTAGACACAGAGCTTTGCCATGTTGGCCAGGCTGGTCTTGAACCCCTGACCTCAAGTGATCCACCTGCCTTGGCTTCCTGAAGTGCTGGGTTTACAGGTGTGAGCCACCATGCCCAGCTGAGAGCTAGCTAATTCTGAAAGCCATTTTATAAGCTTGTTTTTACCAGTGCCACCAAAGCACTGATCCCTGTCCTTGATAAGCCTTGTTAGTCACTATGACTCAACCCTAAGAAATCCACAAACAGAAGAATATCTCTTGGCTGGGTGCAGTGGCTCATGGCTGTAAGCCCCGCACTTTAGGAGGCCAAGGTGGGTGGATTGCCTGAGCTCAGGAGTTCGCAATCAACCTGGGCAACATGGTGAAACCCCATCTCTAATAAAATAATAAAAAAAAATTAGCCAGGCATGGTGGTATGCGCCTGTAGTCCCAGCTACTCAGGAGGCTGAGGCAGGAGAATCGCTTGAACCCGGGAGGTGGAGGTTGCAGTGAGCCAAGATTGTGCTACTGTACTCCAGTATGGTTGACAGAGCGAGACTCCATCTCAAAAAAAAAAAAAAAGAAATTTAGGCAGATAATGAAGGTAAGGAAGTCCTCAGTAAGGTTTTCCTTTTAATAAAAAGCAGCCCCAAAATAATTCCTTTTCTAACAAACAGCACCCTGTAAAATCACGCTATAGACACAGATAAGCTTACACAGGTGAATGCCAGCAGCTGTGCCAATAGGAAAAGGCTACCTGGTAGCCAGGCATGTTCAACACGGCCAATGAATGTTCAACACAGTGGTTCCATCTTCCCTTTTCTTTGTCAACCACAGGTACAGTAAGGAACGAACAATATGGTGCCAGTCAGGCAAAGACCTCATCTGCATAATACAAGATTGGGGTGGGATGGCCAGCTTCTTTGCATGCTATGCGAACATCACACCTGGTCCAATCAATCTCTCCAGCTCTGTGTAAGTTAGACACCACCTCCTCGAGTTCTTCTATAAAACCCTGTGCATGTCACCGTGAAACTGGAAGACACACTCGGGTGCCCCTCTCTCTCTGGAGGACAGAGAGCTATTCTCTTTTCTTTCTTTTGCCTATTAATCCTCCACTCAAACTCACTTCTTGTGTGTCCACATCCCTGATTTCCCTGGTGTGAGAGGATGAACCTCTGTTGGGTATTACCCCAGAAGAATGATGCCGCTTCAACATTCTTTCAAATTTCAATCCAACTTCATTGTTTCAAGAAAAATTGTTCAGGGATCAGCAAACTACAGCCTCCAGTCAAAATCTGGCCCACCACTTGTTTTTGTAAATGAAGTTTATTGGAGCATAGCTCCACTCATTCATTGACACATTGTTTATTGCTGCTGTCTTGGTATGACTTCAGAGTTCAGTTGTCAGAGACCACATGCTGAGCAAACCTGAAAATAGTTACTATTTCACCCTTTACGGGAGAAGTTTTCTGACCTCTGAATTTGACTGTAATTTTCCTGTATATAAAATAAAAGATTTATTTTTGTTCTAAAACAAACTATTAAATGCATCCTTAAACTATCATATATTGAAAAGGACCATACATTTTATAATAAACATACAGGGAATGAGGCAAGCTAATGTGAGTTTATAACAAGATTGCTTTACATATAATTAAATAAGAAGAACATTTGTTACAATCTAAGGTAAGAATTATAATTTTTAAAATTTACATGGGATGCTGGTAGAGTAGGATTATTTACAGAAGGACACATGAGTAGACTGAGTCTTTGTAAACATATAAAGTGCTCAAAGGCTTTAGTGGTAACTAGCGCCAGCAATGCATTATGTTCTGTTTCACTCTAAATGATAACCTTGTTTCCCAATTGACAATTAAGAGGTTGTTATTTTGCAATTAATTTAACCATAGTTGGAAAATATTACCTACTTTTGTTTTTAATTTCTAGACCTTTTCTACTTATCACAGTGTTGGGTTTGATAATAGCAATATTGTGTAATTCTTCCAGAAAAAAAATTAAAGAATGTCGTTTTCTTGCCACAAAGTCTGGATAATGAAGAATATGAAAATTACCAATGTAAATTCCTAACTAACAGTGAATTGTTGCCCACTGATAGCTGTGTATCTTATTATGGCATTTCAATGCCAAAGAGTTTCTACTTAGAATGAAACTGCAGTTCCCATATTTGCATGCAGCAGAAACATTCACAAGTGTTTTTAATCAAAAGGCAACAAAAATTGAGTAGGTAGGCACTGGTGGTTTGAATGCAATTCCAATGCATAAGAATTGCACGTATGATCCAACCAGCACAGTATCACCAGTGAGTGAAGTTTCAACTAAGAATCATGCAAGTAAACATTACTGACAGATTTATCATCTATGAATGTATTCACATTCTTATAATGAACATTTAGTGCAAGATAACTCATTTGGGTGTAGCTGTTTCCCTCTGCCCCCTCCAGAGTATGAACACATACAACCCTCAGCTTCAAACAGATAATCTAGTGAAGGAATGAAATTGTTAACTGCAAAGTAAACCAAGAGTATGGGTCATCAAGAAATTATCTTCACAAACTTTTGGAAAATGATAAAGGATGAAATAGGAAGCCACTGTCTGGATTAGTCACAGGAGACAGGAGTCCACTGTTCTGAGTAACCTCTGAAGGACTCCAGGCCCAGAACCAAATGTAAGCAAGTGATGAAAAGAGGGTGCTTTTTAACAGCTGAGCCTTGAAAGACACAAATCATCATTTATCTGAACAATTCCTCATTGATAAACATTGATGTTTTTACCAATGTTTCGCTGCAACAAACGATGCTGTGATGACCACCACGTACAGAAAACCCTTGCCTTACTTTAAAGTAAATGTACTTATGAATACTTTCATAAGGTTCTTCTCCACCGTCTTCTGAATCTGAGTCTACTAATGAAATTTCAGGATACTATGAAAAAGGAATGCAATGCAAGGAGAACACAGTTGTGTTTTAATATAATAGTGAAGGGGTTTGTAGAAATTTTAGATGTAAATATTTATAACTGAAGAAATAGACAATAAAGTGGAAGGGTACCTGCATTTATTGTATCTAACATCACTGTCCTTTTATTTTAGTCAACTTGCTCACACAGAATTCTTTCCAAAGTTAACTTTCATAAACCTTCTGTAGCTTGCTTAATCTTTGTTTTCTTTCAAATAAAATAATTCTTAAACTTTCTAAATCAGATGAAACTTGGTTTTATAAAAAAACATATTCCCATGCCTTTTAAAAATTAAAAAACACAAATTTTTCTTTCCAGTTTAAGAAGGTTTAATTATGTACCAGGTGCAGAGTCTAGGATACAAGACAGAACTGCAGATAAAGTCTGACTCTTTCTTGCATAGCTAGGACACATGGCTAACTCCACCTGTCCCCAAGCCTTACCTAGAAATCAAATGGCTCTAAACCAGGTAAACTGAAAAATCGTCCAAAGTCAAAGCAGTTTATGACATTAAAGCACTAAGCAAATTTAAGCTGACTTAATTTAGACCAAACGTCTAAATTTTGAAGACTTTTTTATTTTACCAATGATTTTGAAACTGTCTTCATTTCCCAAAGATTATTAAAGTCATGTGAAATAAAAGGCATTAGAGTTTCTATTGTTTTTTCATAATACTTAAGAGCTTTCATTTTCTTTCAAGCCAATTAATTAGAGCTCCTTTGTACAAACATCACACACACAACACTTCTAGACAGGAGAACATCTAGCAGTTGTAAGATTTTCTTTCCCATCACACCTTTCAAAGACCAACTATGACAAACTTGCACTTTCTGACTTCTTCTATGTTCCCCTCTTTGCTAGTCATTCTACTTCAGGAAAAGAATTTGCCACACAAGATCCTCTCTCATATAAAATTTATTTTCTTCATAACTTTTCTTACCATAAATACATGTTCAAATCCATAATTTTCTTTGTATCTCTCTTCCCTACTAATTTCTGATGCTCACCCAAATCAAAAAGGTCAGCTAACACAAGAGCCTTAGATTTTGAGAGGGACCTGTCTGCTTACAGTTCTTGGGGTTCCATGAGGAAAATAGGCTTCTCCTAAAATGGGGTTTGTGACACCTTTGATTTCTCCTAACCTGTCCCAGGCTGTCAGAAATTACCTCAGGTCCTCTCATGTGGGCATCAAGAGGGGCAACAAGACAGACTAGGGAAATAATTCAGTCAACTGAGAAGAAAAAGAAAAACTTAGTACTATTTCCATTGGAACGATGGATAAACTAAGGCACCAATGCAGTTTAAAAATTTATGTTCTCATAGAGTTAGGCTCCACAGCTCCCTGTCTTAAAAATCCTGTAATTCTGCCAAATTTATGCCCGCCACTGATATACTTGTGTGGTAGCTCATGGACCCCTTAGAGTTTGGAACCTGGGTTTCATTTCCTGCTCTACAGCTATATAATTTAACAATTTTCCTCTGGGTTTATTGGATTATAACTCTATATACCTCAAATTTTATTAATATTACTGAATCTTAAAGGGGGCTGTGATGTTATTAGTCTTTAGAAATATTAAACAACCTATAAACAAAGAACTATACGAGGTTAAACAATATTCAAATTTCTATATGCTTTAAAATATTGAGACAATGTATTGAGAAACACACCTAAGAAACAGCAACCAATCTACTCTGGACAAAAATCTAGACAGTATCTCTTCAATATAAGCTATCTAGTGGTATTTATACATATTTTTACATATATCGACAGTATTTTACAGGCTCACAGCCTTAAAAATAATTAAAAAGTGTCTAAATTATAGGCCTATGCATTTCTGTGGGCTTGAAAAGTGATACAATACGGATTGTTTCTTTAGTCAATAAAATGCATAAACTTCTACAGTAATCACTAAAAAATGTTCATACCAAAGGTAATAATACTAGGAATAAAAGAGGGCTCAACACTGCAGGCTCTTAAAGGCAAAAGTTAATAAAGCCTTGTTTTTGGTTGTGAATGTTGGCCTTAAAACATTATACACATGATCCTCCCCTTCCTTTTCCTGTTGCAAAGATGCGATGATGAACCAGGTTCACCATACAGATGACAATACTCTTGAAAATGGTGGCAGAAAAATAAAATGAAGGGATTATGGTTCACTTAATGATCTCAAAAATTGGAACTTAATACTTCCATGACTCTTGGATATCTCCAGACTACTATGTGAGAGAAATGAAATGGCTGTTTGCTACCAATATTTGATTTGATGGTTCCTTGTTTCCTTGAATAACTACTTACAACACATTACAGGATCATGAAAGCATAGCTATCCAAATAACTAAATAACTATGGAACTATTTTTTTCTCATCTCTAAAAACATAGTAATGGGCCAATTATTTTAAAAATACAGCACACAGGTAGTTTATTTTTAACTCAATTTTGGTTTGTTGTTTTGTTAAGGCCACCGCTCGGGATAAAGAAAACAAGAGGAGGAGGAGAAACAAGAATAGAAACAAGAAATAGAAGCAGCAGCATAAGAAAATGAAGAGGAAGAAGAAGATGATGATGATGATGATAAGAAAAAAGAGATGGGAAGAAAGGAAAAAACAGGTGAGGAAATTAGAAGGTCTATTAAAGTGACTGGGTGTGGTGGCTTATGCCTGTAATCCCAGCATTTTGGGAGGCCAAGGTGGGTGGATAACCTGAGGTCAGAAGTTCAAGACCAGCCTGGCCAACATGGAGAAACCCCATCTCTACTAAAAATACAAAAATTAGCCAGGTGTGGTGGCAGGTGCCTGTAATCCCAGCTACTCAGGAGGCTAAAGTAGGAGAATAGCTTGAACCTGGGAGGGAGAGGTTGCAGTGAGCTGAGATTACACCACTGCACTCCAGCGTGGGTGACAGAGTGAAGACTCTATCTTAAAAAATAAAAGCCTATTATGATATTTTCTCCTCCCCAATTCATGAAATTTGAAAAAATCCAGGACTATCACAACCAAAACAAGTAGAAAATACACAAATAGTCACCCCCTAAATTTTGTTAAGAATGAGACAATGCTACCACTCTCACATGGCTCAGGCACCAGCAGGAGGAAGAGACACTCCAGATTCTGCAGGAGAAGGGGGAGGGCTTCTTGCCGTGACTGCACCTTCACCACTGCCACCAAGGCCCACAGTACAGCACCTGCAACTTCCTCCCCAATCCAGGCTGGACCAGGCCCCACAGTGCTCCTATTCCCCCTTCCCAGCCCCCAGACTTGCTGTTGCTGCCACCACTAGCACTGACGCCAATACAACCACTGCTGCTGTTACCCTCAATGCACCAGCCCACCCTGTAAGGCTCCTACCACCTGGCCACCACTGGCCCCCTCCTACCGCTCCAGTCGAGTTGCATTCTCTGTCACGGCCACCAACCACAGTGAGGCGAGCCACAGAGCCATGCCATCTGCAGGCTCCAGCCTCCAGCATGCATCTGGTGCTTCCTGCTTCTCCTCCTCTAGCTGGGTATGGAGCAGCTGGACAGGCAAAGCCAGAAAAGCCTAGAACAGGATGCAGGGAGTGGTAGCATTAGAGCCTCACCTTGTCATGCTGGCCACTGGGTGGCAGGGGCCAGTTTCAGCGAAGGCACTCACACCCACCCTCCAAAGTTCAGCCTCTCCTTTTGGCCCAAGTTGGTCAGGAACTGGGGCCTGGGGTGGGTGTGAGTGTCTTCACTGAAACCGAGTCCTGGCCAGGTCCAGCTAGACAGGAACCCCCGGGCCCACTGGGGCTGCACACCTTGGGGAACAGGAGTAGCAGAAACTCAGACCCAGCCACCCCCACACCCAAGTGCTAGTTCCTGTTCCTGACCCCTGAACCCACAGGGCCCGCCCTGACTCTCCCCTGACCCCCAGTGCCAGTGTGGGGGGGGTCCCAGGCGGTTCCTGCAACACAACAAGAGGGTGTAGGCCTGGGGACCATGGTGGGTATGGGGGCCCTGCCTTACTCAGGATTCCTGCAGAAACGTTGTTCATCTCCAGTGCTCCAGAACGAGCAGAACAGGTCACCCTCTAGAATACAGAGTCTAGGAAGAGGAGAACGTACCCTTCCTTAGAGACCACCGCTGTCGCTGCCACCTCTGCCTCCTGCCTCCAGCAGTGCAGGCCCTAGATAGTGCCCCCAACATCCCCCCACCCCTGGCAGGCAGTGTAACCCTTACAGCACCCCCAAACTGCCCCCTGCCACCAGCAGTGTAGTACCCATATTGCTCACAACCCATCACAGCCACAGGCGTTGCAAGACCGGATAGGGCCCCCACTGCAGGCAGTGCAGCACTGGATAGAACCCCCAAAATGCCCCACTGCCCCCAGCAGTGCAGCCTGGGATAGCACCTTCAACCAGCCCTCCGCCAGGGGAAGTGATGCCCTGGATAGTGCATCCAACGAGCCCATGGCTGTCTGGGGTTGCATCCCCAATCTGCCCCACACCATGGGCAACACAGCCCTGGATAGCTCCCCCCAAGAACCCCACTGCTGCCAGCAGTGCAGCCCGGGATAGTGCACCCAAACAGTGCCCCCCCCACCCCACAGGCAGTGCCATCTAGGATAGTGCCCTCAACCAGCCTCCTGCCAGGGGAAGTGATGCCCTGGATAGCACACCCAAGCAGACCCTGTCCATCCAGGATCATGCCCCCAATCCCCCCCAACACTGTGGGCAACACAGCCCTGGATAGCTCCCCTCAAGTGCCCCACTGCCGCCAGCAGTGCAGCCCGGGATAGTGCACCCAACCAGTCCCTGCCATGGGCAGTGCAGCCCAGGATAGGCCCCGAAACTGCCCCATGCTGTGGGAAGAGATGCCTTGGTTAACACACTTGCCACCATTCTACCACTTTGGCCACACCACAGTCTCCGTCATCCTGTTGGCAGTGAGGTGAGCTGAGGTGCCACAGGCTCCAGCCTCCAGCCTCCAGCGTGCAGCAGGTGTCTCCCTCTTCTTGTCCGCTAAGTCTGGGAGGAAAGAGCTGGGTGGGCAGATACAACAGAGCCTGGAATGGCCTGACTCACTGCAGCATGCTTTATATAATGAGCTTAGGCAATGGGGGTTCCTGGACTACATGTTCTGATTGGATAAGATGAACCTCTAGGCTTACTCTGACTGGACTTTATTTTCATGCTGTGACTGGTTGTCCTAAGACTTGCTCTCATACAATCAGAACATGATAACAAAGTCCAGTCAGAGTAGACCTAGAGGTTTTTCTCTCATCCAATTAGAACATGTAGTCTAGGAACCTCATTTGCATAACCTTAGTATATAAAGCATGCTGAGGTGAGGAGTCAGGCTGCTCCAGGCTTTTGTGTGTCTGCCCGCCCAGCTGTTCCGTGCTATCTTAGAGAATGAGTAGGGCCCATGTGGTGGCTCACACCTGTAATTCCAGCACTTTGAGAGGCTGAGGCAGGTGGATCACGAGGTCAGGAGATGGAGACCATCCTGGCTAACAGGTGAAACCTCCTCTCTACTGAAAAATACAAAAAATTAGCTGGGTGTGGTGTCGGGCACCTGTAGTCCCAGCTCACCCAGCTACTCCGCAGGCTGAGGCAGGAGAATAGCGTGAACCCGGGAGGCGGAGCTTGCAGTGAGCCGAGATAGCGCCACTGCACTCCAGCTTGGGCGACAGAGCCAGACTCCGTCTCAAAAAAAAAAAAAAAAAAAAAAAAAAAAAAAAAAAAAAAAAAAAATCAATCGGGAGAAGGGAAGCCACCTGCTGCAGCCTGGAGGCTGGAGCCTGCGGCACTGCGACTCGCCTCGCCGCGCTACAGTTGGTGGTGGCGACAGAGACTGCAGTGTCGCGGAAGCGGTAGGAGGGCCACCCACAGCGGGAGCTGCTCCTGTCCGGCTAGACGACGAGAAAGGGGAGCCATCTGCGGCACGTTGGAAGCTGGGGCCTGTGACATCGCACCTCGCCTGGCTGCGGTTGGTGGCGGAGAAGGAGACTGCTGCGCAGCTGGAGTGGTAGGAGAGAAGAAAATAGTTTTGGGGTACATGGAGGGATAAAGAGGGTGGTGAGTGCCAAAGGGAAAAAAGGATGGAGAGCAGGAGAAGGCGTTGCAAGAAGAGGGTGGGGGGAAAATAAGTTTTTGGGTAGATGGAGTTTGAAAAGACAGTGGTGAGCAGCAGGAGTGGGGAGAAGGCTTTGGCAAAAGACGGGGCAAAATGTTTTCGGGTAGATGGAGGAGAACAAGAGGGTGATGAGAGCGTGAGAGGGGAAAAGAGGGTGGCCAAGGAGAAGGGGAAAAGTTGGTGGGGAAAAGGGTTGTGAGCAGCAGAGAGGGCTTTGTGAAAAGACGTTGGGGGAAAATGGTGGGGAAAAAGTTTTGGGCTAGATGGAGAAAAAAAGGGTGGCGAGAGGGAGGGGGCTGAAGGCAGTTGGGAAAAGAAGTTGGGGAAATAATGGTGGGGGACAAAGTTTTGGGGAGATCTTTTTCTGATTTTTAAATTAGATTATTTTCATTTTTGCTTTTGAGTAGTTTTGCTTTATATATCTTGTGTATTAACTGCTTGCCTGAGGTAAAGTTTGCAAATACTTTCTTTCAGTCTCTGGATTGTTTCTTCTTTCTACTGATTGCTTCCTCTGCTTTGCAGAAGCTTTTAAGTTTAATGTAATTCCATTTGTCTATTTTTGCTTTTATTGCTTGTGCTTTTGATGTCTATTTGAAAATTCCTTGTCCTAACCAGTTTCATTAAGCATTTATCCTATGTTTTCTTCTCTAGTAGTTTCGTAGTTTCAGGTCCTACATTTAAATCTTCATTTTGAGTTGATTTTTGTATATGATAAGATAACGGTCTAGATTTATTCTTCTACATTTGGGTGTTGGGTTTTCCTAGCAAAGTTTATTGAAGAGATTGTCCTTCAGGAAGATGTGTTCTTGGTGCCTTTGTTAAAAATGTGTTGACTGTAAATATGTTAATTTATTTCTGAGTTCTCTATTCTGTTTCATTTGTTTATGTCTGTCATTTGTCTGTCTCTGTCTCTCCCTTGCCCCTTTTTTTGAAGTACCATGCTGTTTTGATACTATACTATAGATTTGAAGTTACTATAGAATTATAATATATTTTGTAGTGTATTTTGAAATCAGGTAGTGTGATGCCTCCAGCTTTTCTTTTTATTCAAGATTCTTTTGTTTATCTGAGGTATTTTGCATTTCCATGTGAATTTTAGTATAGTTTTTTTTCTATTTCTATGAAGAATGTCTTTTGTAATTTAACATGGATTGCATTGATTCTGTAGATCACATTGAGTGATATAGATATTTTAACAATAGTCTTCTGGTGCATGCAGATGGGATATCTTTCCATTTACTTGTATCTGCTTTAATATCTTTCATCTATGTTTTATAGTTTTCATTGTAGGGTCTTTGACGTTTTTGGTTAAGTCTATCCTTAGGTAGCAATTTTTTTTGTGGGGTGGTGGGCAGCTACTGTAATGAAATAGCTTTCTTGATTTCTTTCTTATGTGTTTCACTATTGGTGCATGGGCCTGGTACTCATTTTTGTATATTGATATTGTATTTTGCAACTTTACTAAATTTATTATGTCTAGTAGGTTTTTTTTGTGGAATCCTTAGGGTTCTCTCTCTATGTATATATGATCATGTCACCTGCAAACAGAGATAGTTTGACTTCCTTTTTTTCCAATTTGGATGCCTTTCATTGCATTCTCCTGTCTAATTGCTCTAGCTAGCACTTCCTGTACCATGATGAATAAAAGTGGTAAAAGCAGCCACACTTGTTTAAGATCTTAGAGGAAGAGCTTTTATCTTTTCCCCCATTGATTACGTTAGCTGTGGGTTTGTCATATATGGCCTTTATTGTGCTGAAATATGTTCCTTCTGTACTCATTTTTAGTTTTTATCATGGAAGAATGTTGAATTTTATTGTTTTCAGCATCTACTGAAATGATTATATGGTTTTTGTTCTTGATTCATTGAATGTGATGTATGGCATTTATTTATTTTTGTTTATTGAATCATTCTCATATTCCTCCAACGTATCCCACTTGATCATGGCAGATGATCTTCTTATTGTGTTGTCAAGTGCAATTTTCTCCAAGTATTTTGTTGAGGATTTTTTGCATCTATGTTCATCAGGGATATTTGCCTGTGGTTTTCTTTTTGTGCTGTGTCCTGGTCTGGTTTTTGTAGCAGGGTAATGCTGGCCTCATAGAACAAGTTTGGAAGTATTTCTTCCTTTTTATTTTTTGGGGAGTAAAATTAGTATTACTTCTTTTAAAAATGTTTAGTAGAATTCAGCAGTGAAGCCATAATTCTTCTGTTTTTCTTTGATAGGATATTTTTATTACTGCTTTAATTTCATTACTTATTATTAGTCTGTTCAGAATTTTTATTTCTTTATTATTCTATCTTGAGAATTTTTTATGTTGCCAGAAATTTATTCATTTCTCCTAGATTTTTCAGTTTGTTTCTATATAGGTGTTTTTAGTAATCTCTTACGATCCTTTGTATTTCTGTGTTATCAATTGTAATGTCTCCTTTTTCATCTATGATTTTATTGCAGTTTTCTTTTTCTTTTTCCTAGTCTCTTCATAGCTTGTCAATTTTGATTTTTTTTTTCTAAACAACCCCAGCTCTTTGTTCCTTTGACTTTTTGTAATTTTTTTAGTTTCTATTTTTAAAATTTCTTCCCTAATATTTATGTTTTATTTTTTTCTACTAATTTTAGCATTTGATTTTTCTTGTTTTCCTCATTACTTGAACTGTACTGTCAGGTTGGCTATTTGAGATCTTTCTACTTTTTGGATGAAGGCATTTATAGCTACGCACTTTTTCTCTTACAATTGCTTTTGCTGCATCCCACAGGTTTTGTTACATTGTGTTTCTATTCTTGTTTCAATGAATTTTTAATTTCCCTTATTTGTTTCAATGAATTTTAAATTTTTTCATTTATCAGTTGTTCATAAGCATGTATTTCAATTTTCATATATTTGTACAGTTTTTTTTGTTGTTTTTTTGAGACAAAGTCTCGCTCTTGTCCCCCAGGCTGGAGTGCAGTGGCGCGATCTTGGCTCACTGCAACCTCCGCTTCCTGGGTTCAAGCAATTCTCCTGTCTCAGCCTCCCAAGTAGCTGGATTACAGGCGTCTGCCACCATGCCTTGTTAATTTTTGTATTTTTAGTAGAGACGGGGTTTCACCATGTTGGCCAGGCTGGTCTTGAACTCCTGACCTCAGGTGATCCACCTGCCTCAGCCTCCCAAAGTGCTAGGATTACAGGTGTGAGCCACCATGCCCGGCTTATTTTTTTTTGTCAATGTTGACCAGGTTGGCCTCGAAAGTGTAGCCTTGCCTCCCTGAGCACCAGGACAACTGGCCTGAGCCACTGTGGCTATTGGTAAAGTTTTTAAATTTCCTGCTGTTATTGATTTCTAGTAGTGCTCCACTGTGGTAAGAAAAGATACTTGATATGATTTCAGTTTTTAAAAATGTGTTGTTACTTAATCTTTGGCCTAACACATAGTGTATCCTAGAGAATAATCCATGTGCTGCTGAGTAGAATGTGCATTGTGCAGTTGTGGATGGAAAGCTGTGTAAATTTCTATTAGGTTAATTTGGTATAGAGTACAGCTTAACTCATACTTTTTTGTTATCTGGATGATTTGTCCATTGACGATAGTGGAGTGTTGATTATAATAGAGTGTTGAGGTACTCTATTGTTTTTTTTTTTTTTTTTGAGAAGGAGTGTCTCTCTTGTTGCCCAGGCAGGAGTGCAATGGCACTATCTCAGCTGACTGCAATCTCCATGTCCTGGGTTCAAGTGATTCTCCTGCCTCAGCCTCCCAAGTAGCTGGGATTACTGGGATGTGTCACTACACCCTGCCAATTTTTTGTATTTTTAGTAGAGATGGGGTTTCTCCATGTTGATCAGGCTGGTCTCGAACTCCCGACCTCAGGTGATCCACCCACCTTGGCCTCTGAAAGTGCTGGAATTGCAGGTGTGAGCCACTGTGCCTGGCCAGAATCTTAAAAATTTCATACATGGAAGCAGGGTAGAATGGTGGTTACCAGGGACAGGGCGGTAGGAGAAAAGGGAATCTGTTGGTCCAAGAGTACAAAGTTGCAGTTATGTGATTATAGTTAATAATATTGCATACTGGAAATTTGCAAAGAGAATATATTTCAGTTGCTGTCATCTAATTATATGAGAAGATAGATATGTTAATTTGACTGTAGTAATCATTTAACTGTGTATACATATGTATATATACAAACACATACATAGATATTCATATATGAATCAAAACAGGCTGTACACTTAAATATATATAATTTTATTTTAAAAAATAAAAATTTGAAACAAAGAAAAAAGTATGCATATAGTCTTAAACTCAAGTACCAATATAAATAAGTGCACTGCTAATCAGCACAGTGAATTAAATATCAGTTTTATGTGTTTACTCATATTGTAACCTTTCCTTTTATTTATGTTTTCTATTTATAATTATGCAAATATTTAATGAGTTCACAATGCAATTATATATTAAATATCCTCAACATATTTTAGAAGTGATGAATGTTACAAGTTTTAGGTCATAGTCACTGTAAGAATGTTCCCTTGGGAAGTGTTACTTTCTGTTGGTTTTAATTTTAAAACATTCACCACTACAAAGAGATAGCCTGGGTTTTTCTAATCTTTGCCCACCATAAATAATCTTATTTATGAGGAAGGGTGCTTGCTTGGGGAGGCCTGGTGGCAGTAGCATGGCCCTGTGAGCTCCTGGGGGTGGCGGTGGCTGGGGCCTGACTCAGGTCTATGCTGAGCGAGCAAAATGCCCAGGTAATGCTGCCAGACTGGCTGCAGAGCGAGACCTTCATTGGATTTGGGAGTGCCTCTGCCAGCCCAGGCCTGGGTGTCTGCTATTGAATTAGTCAGCCAAACAGAACATGAAGGAGCTGTTCCCCTAGTTGAACTTGATGGATCTCTTAGTCCAATGCAGATGCCAGATGCAACATAGCTACCAAACTCTGCTTTGGGGTGGGCCAGGAGCTGCCCCTCCCCAGGATGCCTCTGCAGCTGCAGGACTGGGAGCCGGGAGCTGGACTTGGGTCGGGGCTGCAGAGGGCTAGAGGGCAGGCTCTGCCACAGCAGGATAGGGAGGAGATGTGGAGGTGGGGCATGGGCCGAGCAGTGTCCCTGACTAACAGGGGTGAAGGCTCCTTGTGTGTGTAGTTGTCCCTCATTTAATTTCAGTGACTGAGCACACCTCCCAATGTGCCTTCAGACCCTGATGATATCTTCAGAAGGATGGGCTCCCTCCCCACAGGAGCCTGGCTCTGGAGCCCCTCTCTGCCTCCTTCTCACTGGGCCCCCACCCCACCTGTCTCAAGCACAATCAAGGTGAAGGCCCAGGTGGGAAGCAGAGGCTGGATGGAGGTCCCTGCCTCTAGGCCAGAGCCAAGGGGCTCTCAAGTAGGGTCGTGGGGCCACCACCCAAAGGTTGACAACTCCCTTTGTCCAGGAATCCTGCTGAGCACTGGGAGGAAGCCACTCTGAGGATCTCACCTGCTTGCAGAATGAGTGGTCACCCATGGTCAATGCCTGGGTGAGGCTTGTCTTTCCTTCCACAGGGAGAAAGGGGGGCTCAGCAGGGTGCTGGGTGGGGAGCCCCTCAGTATCTCTCCGCATCCTTCTCATCTCATCCCCTTCAGGAGACCGCGGGTCTCCTGTGCAATCCAGCAAATGCTGACCTAGACAGAAGGGACATGTCTAGGGGTGCTGGGGGCACACCCTACCTGGTGAGAAAATGGAAGTCCACACCCCTAACCCCCAAGTCCATTCCAGAGCAATTGAGTTCCAGTGTTAACAAAGAAACCATAAGATGCTGAGTGGAGGGTGGAAAAGCCTTTCTAATCAGGAAAGCACAGTGAAAGCAAACAAGCACGGGAGGCATCAACTCCCTTCAAAATTAAAAAGCAAAGCAAAGCAACGCACAGGCACAGCTCACAGGCAAAGTTCAAGGGCAAATAATGCCTCCCTTGTGGAACCACTGCCACACACACTATAACCAGAGGACCACTGTCGTTCCCGTACAAAGAGCTCTTATAAATCATGAAAGAGCAGGAGAACAGGGAGACACGTGGGAAGACAACCTGTGACCCCAGGAGACTGGCTGTACAGCAAGGTGATTTCTGAGTTGCTGAATGCATGTTGTTTTCTGTTTTGCCCTCTTTGGAAGTGAGAAGAGCCCAGAGGCAGCCACTCCCTTAAAAGCCCAATGCCCTAAATGGAGGATGCTTGTGTCCCGGGGTGGCCAGGAAGAACATCTGAGATGCAGAGGGGGCTGGGGCCTTGCAGAGCCTGGGAGGGCTGCCAGGGGCTGGGGCTCCACCTGTGACTTCAGGCAGTGGGCACTGCAGTTGGGGGTGGGAGGGCCTTATGACCAAGGAGGAAATGGGAGCAACAAAGACTGCAAACATGAAGGGCCCATTTTTAGTTTCTGGTCTGCCGACCAGAGCCGCATGGTCTCAGAGGTAGCCAGGGCCAGTGGTCACTGAGGCTAGAAAGTATCCATAAAAGATGCCAGACCACAAAAAAGGTCCAAGAAAGGGATGGGGGCTTAGAATTTTCCATAAAGAGAGAAATAACATTGTTCTTTACACCTGTGATTGGACATTGAGGGTCACACTTGCTTTACTAGCATGGAATGCAAGTTAAAACAATAAAATATAAGATTTCATCCACAATAAATGCAAATACAATATTTAAAAAATAATTGAACACTCCACATAAAGGAAGGTAGGGCATACTTCCAGGTGGAGTGGATTTGGGGACAAATTTTCTAGGCAGTAATCTTAAAAATGATCACAGTCTTTGACACAAAAATTCCCTTTCTAGGAATCTGTCTTAAGGAAAAAAATCAGAGACATGCCCAAAGATGTGTGAATTTGTTCACAAAATTCAACTCATAATGACAAAAATTAAAGCTTAAATATAAATCAGCTGTAGAATTATGGCATATCCACATATGTTAAAATCATATTTTAGAAAAATATTTGATAACACAAAGATATGATTAAGATACCATTAAGTGAAGTGAGATAATATTAGAAGATAACATTGGAAAAACCCCTGTAGACATTGGCTTAGGCAAGGATTTCATGACCAAGAACCCAAAAGCAAATGCAATAAAAACAAAGATAAATAGCTGGGACTTAATTAACCTAAAGAGCTTTTGTATGGCAAAAGGAACAGTCAGCAGAGGAACAGACAACCCACAGAGTGGGAGAAAATCTTCACAATCTATACCTCTGACAAAGGACTAATATCCAGAATCTACAATGAACTCAAACAAATCAGTAAGAAAAAAAACAAACAATCCCATCAAAAAGTGGGCTAAGGACATGAATAGACAGTTCTCAAAAGAAGATATACAAATGGCCAACAAACATATGAAAAAATGCTCAACATCACCAGTGATCAGGGAAATGCAAATCAAAACCACAATGTGATACCAACTTACTCCTGCAAGAATGGCCATAACCAAAAAATCAAAAAACAGTAGATGTTCACATGGATGCAGTGATCAGGGAACACTCCTACACTGCTGATGGGAATGTAAACTAGTACAGCCACTATGGGAAACGGTGTGGAGATTCCTTAAAGAACTAAAAGTAGGATATTGGGGGAGCCAGCCCCCAGTATTTCAACATAAGTTCTTTTCTATTTTTTCTAAGTGTCAGCTGGTCTGAGAAACAAAGAGAAAGAGTACAAAGAGAGAAATTTTACAGCTGGGCCTCTGGGGGTGTCATCACATATTGGTAGGACCATGATGGTGACTTCGAGACACAAAACCAGCAAGTTTTTATTAGGGATTTTAGAAGGGGGGCGGTGTATGAACAGGGAATAAGCCACAAAGACCACATGCTTCAATGCGCAATAAAGATCACAAGGCAAGGCAAAATTAGAATTACTGATGAGGTTCTATGTCCCACTGTGCAAGCATTGTCTTGATACACATCTTAACAGGAAACAGGGTTTGAAAGCAGACAACTGGTCTGACTAGAATTTACCAGGCTGGAATTTCCTAATCCTAGTAAGCCTGAGGGCACTGCAGGAGACCAAGGCGTATTTCAGTCCTTATCTCAACCGCATAAGACACACACTCCCAGAGTGGCTGTCTATAGACCTACCCCCAGGAATGCATTCCTTCCCTAGGCTATTCCTTGCTGGGAAAATAATTCAGCGATATTTCTCCTACATGCACATCCATCTATACGCTCTCTGCAAGAAGAAAAATATGGCTCTATTCTGTCCAAACCCGCAGGCAGTCAGACCTCATGGTTATCTGTCCTTGTTCCCTGAAAATCGCTATTATTCTGTTCTTTTTCAGGGTGCACTGATTTCATATTGTTCAAACACACATGTTTTACAAACAATTTGTACAGTTAACGCAATCATCACAGGGTCCTGAGTTGACATACATCCTCAGCTTATGAAGATAATGGGGTTAAGAGATTAAAGTAAAGACAGGCATAGGAAATTATAAGAGTATTGACTAGGGAAGTGAAAAATGTCCATGAAATCTTCACAATTTGTTTTCAGAGATTGCAGTAAAGACAGGCATAAGAAATTATAAAAGTATTAATTTGGGGAACTGATAAATGTCCATGAAATCTTCACAATATATGTTCTTCTGCCATGGCTTCAGCTGGTCCCTCTGTTCCGGGTCCCTGACTTCCTGCAACAGTAGAATTACCATTTGACCCAGCAATCCCACTACTGGTTATCTACCCAGAGGAAAAGAAGTCATTATTCAAAAAAGATACTTGCACAGGCATGTTTATAGCAGCACAATTTACAATAGCAAAGTTGTGGAACAAATTCAAATGCCCATCAATCAATTGGTGGATAAAGAAACTGTGATTATATATATATATATATGTGTGTGTGTGTGTGTGTGTGTGTGTGTGTGTGTATATATATTTATAGCTTTACATTCCTATATATATATATACATATATGATGGAATACTACTCTACTATTCAGCCTTACAAAGGAATGGATTAACAGCATTCGCAGTGACCTGGATGAGATTGGATAATATTATTCTAAGTGAAGTAACTCAGGAATGGAAAACCAAACATCGTATGTTCTCACTGATATGTGGGAGCTAAGCTATGAGGATGCAAAGGCGTAAGAATGATACAATGGACTTTGGGAACTTGAGGGGAAGAGTAGGAGGGGGCCGAGGGATAAAAGACTCCAAATATGGTGCAGTGTATACTGCTTGGGTGATGGGTGCACCAAAATCTCACAAATCACCACTAAAGAACTTACCCATGTAACAAAATACCACCTGTACCTCAATAACTTATGGAAAAAAAAATTCACGTCAGGAAGTCAAGAGGGTGCCCGCCTAAGTGAGCAGAGGTCTGGGCCAGGTGGAGTGGCAAGGTTTGTAGATAGGTTGTTTTCTCAATAGCTTTTTGTGTTTTCCAAATTTTCTCCAATGAAAATGTATCTATTTTGTAATCATGTAAAATAAATGTTATTTTAAAGTTAATCACAGAATCAAACTGCCAGAGAAGGAAAGAAAGGAGTGGAGAGGAAAGGCTGTTTGCTGAGGGTCTGCTCCAAGCAGCAGTCTTAGTCTTCCCAGAAACCCACAGCCTTGTGCACGACAGCCGGGTTCTGGATGAGGAATCCCTGAGAGTTGAAATAACTAACCCAGGGAGCAGGCTGAAAGGCGGCAGAGCCCATTGTCAAGCACGCCTGTCTTCTCTATTCCATGTGCCTATGCAAACCTTCTACTTTCAAATGAAAAAAGCCTGAAATAGAATTTTACAGCACTGAAAGCTTACATTAGAAAAGAGGAAAAGTCTCAGATCAATCATTGAAATTACTACCCCAAGAAACGTGAGAAAGAAAAGCAAAATAAACCCAGAGCAAGGCAGAGCAAAGGAAATAATAAAGAGCAGCAGTCAATGAAATTGACAACAGGAAAACAATAGAGAAAAACAAGGAAACAAAAATCTAGTTCTTCAAAAAATAAACCTCTGGCAAGAGTCACAAAGATAAAACAAGAGAAGACTCAAATCACCAGTATCAGGAATAAAACAGAGATATTACAGATCTTGCAGCCATTTTGAAAACAGCAAAGGAATGCTATAAACAGTTTTACCCTCATAAATTCATCAGTGTGGAAGAAATGAGCCAATTCCTCAAAAACCGAAAGTGGCCAAAACTCAACCAATATGAAACATGCAACTTGAATAGTCTTATAACAATTATAAATTGAATGTGAAATTTAAAAGAAGTCTTTAGGCCCAGATGGTTTCATTGGAGAATTCTACCACATATTTATGAAGAATTAACACATATTTTACAAAATCTGTCTTAAAAATATAGAAGAGGAAAGAACACTTGCCAACTAATTTTATGAGACTAGGCCTGATACAAAAACCAGACAAAGACAACACATGAAAATAAAAGTACAGACCAACATTTCTCATGAACTTTAGCACAAGGATTGTTGACAAAATATCAGCAAATCAAATTCAGCAACATTTAAAAGGAATTATACACCATGAACAGTTGGGATTTATCCCAGGTATGCAGGGTTGGTTCGGTATTACAAGATCAACCAATGTAATACACCTACCAACAGGCAACAGAGGAAAAGTCATGTGATTCTATCAGTTGACACAGAAACAGTATTTGACAAAATCCCAACACCTAGTCATGATAAAAACTCTCAGCAAACTTGGAGGAAAGGAGAATTTCCTTAACTTCATGAAGAGCATCTGTAAAAACCTACAGCTAACATACTTAATGGTAAAAGACTGAATACTTTCTTTCTATAACTTGGTACAAGGAAAAGTGTCCATTCTCACCTCTCTTATGCAGTAGGCTACTGGAAGTTCTACCAACTACAATATGTCAAGAAAAATAAATAAAAGACATGCAGATTGGAATGAAAGAATTTAACTGTCTGTATTTGCAGATGACATGATAGTCTCTCTAGAAAATCCCAAGGAATCTGCAAAAGAACTAATAACTGAGTTTAGCAAGTTGCAGTATGTAAGATCAACACACAAAAATCAATCCATTTCTATAGACTAACAAAGAAGGCATGAAAAAAATTAAAAATACAATATCATTTACATTCATTCCAAAAATAATGAAATACTTCATTATAAACTTAACAAAACATGTGCAGGGGTCAATATATAAGGATGTCAATTCTTCCAAAATTCTATAGGTTTAATGTAGTTATTGTCAAAATTTTAGCAAGAATTTTTGTGGATATAGACAAGCTTATTTTTCCATAAAATTTATGTGGAAACACACAGGACCTAGAACAGCAAAAACCATCTTGAGAAGGAAGAATAAATGGGAGGAATCACTGTTTGAAATTAAAGCTTACTAATCAAGACAGTGGGGTACTGGCAGAGGGATGGACACACATAGATCAATGGGACTCAGAAACCTACTCACACAAATATGCCCAGCTAATCTTCCACAAAGGTACCAAAGCCATTCATCAGAGGATGGACAGCCTTTCCAAAAAATGATGCAGGAGTAACTGGTCATCGTAGCAAAAATAATGAATTCACACCTTATACAAAAACTAACTCAAAATGGATCATGGATGTAAATGTAAAGCTATAAAACTTTTTTTTTAATAGCAGAAAATTTTGGGGATCTAGAACTAGCCAGGTTATTAGAATTGACATGAAAAATAATTGGACTTTCTTAAAATTAGAAGCTTTTGTTTTGTGAAAGAGCCTGTTAAGTGAATGAAAAGACAAGCTGGGAGAAAATATTTACAAACTACTTACCTGATGAAGGCTTTTAAGGTCTAGAATTAATAGCTCTCAAAATACAGTAGTAAACAAACAGACAAGCAAATTAGGAAACAGGCAAAAGATATGAAGAGTTATTCCATACAAGAGCATACACAGATGGCAAATAAACCCATGAAAACATGTTCATCATCATTACTCATTAGGGAAATACAAGTTAAAATTGCATGGAGATACAATTATGTACACATCAACATAGCTAAAATAAAAAACAGTGACAACCTCACATGCTGGTAAGGATGTGGAGAAACTGCATCACATATATGTTGTTGGTGGGAATGTAAAATGTTGAAGCCACTCCAGAAAACAGTTTGTTAGTTTCTTATAAAAACTAAACATGCAATTGATATGTGACCCAGCAACTGCACTCCCAGGCATTTATCTCAGAGAAATGAAGACTTGTAGTCATGCAAAAATCTGTACACAAAAGCTTATATTAGGTTTGTTCATAGTAACCCCAAACCAGGAGCTCTCCAGAGAGCCTTCAATGGGTGAATGGTCCAGGTGTAGCAGATCCACTCCATGGAATCTTACTCAACATTAGAAAGAAATCAACTGCTGGACAACTTGGATGGATCTACAGGGATCTGGGCCGAGTGAAAAAAGCCAATGCCAGGAGGTTATATAATGCAGTGATTCCACTTATATAACATTCTTGAAATGACAAAACTGTAAATAGAGAAGTGGTGAGTGGCTGCCAGGGGTTAAGAGGGGCTGGGGAGGGAGGGAAGTGGGTGTGGCTGTGGAAGGCTCCTGGTGGTAAGCGAATACTCTGTAATTTGACTCTATGGATGTCAGTATCATGGTTGTGATACTGTACTGTAGTTTTGCAAGATGTTATCACTGAAGGAAACTGGGTAAAGGGTATGTGAGACCTCTCTGTATCATTTCTTATAAGTGCATGCATGAATTGTATGCACGTTCTACAATTCTCTCAAAATAATAATATTTTTTTAAAAAGGCCCAGACAGGTGACATGACTAGGGGCCCATGGTCTGCAAACCAGTGGGGTGGGGCTCAGAGTCACTTATGGGGGTGGCATAGCCCTCCTGGGAGTTCCACAACAGCCCTGAGGCACCTTCCTCCTCATCCACCTGTGGCCAATGCATTATGGAGACCCTATGATCCCATCAGAAGGCACGTCCTGAGTCCCTCTGCCCCTGTCCAGCCCAATGCCAACCCCACAGCTGACTTCTGTCCTTTCTAGTTGGATGGCTGCCCCAGCTTCCAAGGTGCTGCCCCAGGCTGGGCCGTGGACTCCTCTTGTCTCTACAGTTCCTGGCATCTCTTCCTCTGGTCAGCTCTGGGAGCCACCCCCAGCCTGCTTGCTTTCAGGTGGGCAGGTGTGCCTGAGATCTTCTGGTGGGTGGAGGGGCCGGTGTCTGCCTGACACCAGTGGTCAGTGCCAGCCAAGGCCCCCTTCAGGCCATATCACTGAGGGACCCAGGTTTTTCTCTCCCTTGCCCTGAGGCCCCAGTCCCATGCTGGCACAGGTTCTTGGGAGGTGGCCACTGTACTGCCAGACAGCGAGGAAGGGAGCACAGAGGGGGAGGGAGTGCTCCCCTCCTGGCAGGGGTGGGTCCAGGCCTCTAGTGAGAGATGACTGGCTAGTGATGCAGCCCAGGTCACAGCAGGCCCCTTGCCAGCAGGCTCCCTTGGCAGGCCACAGTGGCACAACATCACCGCTCCCCAGCCTCAGAGCCTGTGAGCCAGTACACCGGCCCCCAGCCTCAGCTGCTGTCCCCAGGAAACCTCTGCTCCCCCTCCATGTGCTTTTGTACATGGAGCCTGTAGCTGGGGCAAGACAAGGACACTGCATGTTTCAAGCATTAGGACTGGGACTCCCTGCTGTGCCCTGGACTCAACCTCGGGGACTCTTGGCCCCTCCTGATGCAGCAGCTGTGGCTGCAGTGCCCCTCCCACCCTCTGAGGCCAGGCCTGTCCCAGGAGGAAGGATGCAGAGGCCCTGACAAAGAGTGGGATCTGCCACATGGAAAGCCATGCCTGCCAGGAGCACAGGAGGCCAAGGGTGAGCAGGCTGGGACAATGGTTCAGGCTGCAGGAGATGCTCTGGTCCCAGTCATACCACTGGGGCTGACAGAAAGCAGTCATGCTCCCACCCAAGTGGAGAGTGGGCTCTGGATTCAGGCACTTAGGCTGATCCTGCACTGATCAGGAAATCAGGCCAGCAGAGGATGGGTTCACGGTGCGGAGGACTCGCCTGAACTGGCTTCCTTCATCCCAGCTCCTGCGGGCTGGGGTGAGAGCCTGCAGCCAGGCCCACGGTGGAGGCCGAGCCAAGGTGCAGCCTTCATGGAAGGGCCGGTGGTGGTATGTCTAACCCCTGAGGGTCCCAGGGAGCTGGAGAACTCGCTCCTCTCCCAGGCACATGGAGGTTTGGGGAAATCCTAGGAATGATGATCTGGCATAAACGATCATTATTATGAGCTCGGGGGATCATTTCCTCCCATCCCAGACAAGAAAATGGAGGCCCAGAGAGCATCAGCTGGAGCAGGCTGGACTCACGTAGGGACCTCCGTGACTCTGGGCCCAGGGTCCCCAGGCTGTGTCCTGTTCTTCTCAAGGTGGGGCTGCATGGGGCCTGTGTCAGGACTGCTCTGAGGTGCCCAGGTAGCAGCTCTGCTAGCATCACCCTCAGAGCACAGACCTTCTCTGAGTAAGTCCAGTTTGGGAGAATGCTGTATCATCATCAAGTGAATATTCTATAAGCAGAAAGGCATGCTGGAAGGAGGCTTAGGGGACCTCAGGACAGAAGCCCTGTGCTGTAGAGCTGAGCCTGTGCACTGTGGGCCTTGTCCCTTCTATGTGTGGGGCTGGCTGAGTTCCCAAGGACAGCTGAGTGTGCTTTGGAGACAGCCAGCAACTTCTATTAGCCCTGATAAAATTCTAGCAGTTTTTTCTGGGAGTGTCTTCTGCAGGAGGGGCCGGTGGGCAAGTGGTCAAGGGTGGCTGTTTTCCCAGCAGTGAGGCACTGGTGGGACAGGATGAGGTGCTGAAGCCCCACTGGCTTGTCCTGGGCTGCAGTCCCCTACCTGGTCCTGTCTGCTCCTCTGGCACCTGCAGGCACTGCCCAAGCACATGTGGCTGCTTTTGCTCCCAGTTCCCTGTCCCTATCTCTGGGGTCCCAAAGATAGAAGGCCCCCGAGTGATCTCATCAAGGCCAAGAGGGCCTCGCAGGGCAGAGAGGAGGCCCCCACTTGAACAGCTGTGGCCTGCAGTCCCCTCCGCGCCTGCTGGACTGGGTGCCAGGCATGACTGCCTGCACTGGCAAGAGAGGCCCTGGCCTGAGAAGCTCCTATCCTGGCAAAAAGCATGCCTGAGCTGGGAAGGACCCAGGCGCTGACCTGACCATCTCACCACTGCTAAGGACAATGTTCTGGATAGCTTGCAGGTCCAGATGTCTGCCAGAGACCTCACTACTTGGTCAGTCTCTGCTAAGGCTCAGAGGAGACTGGGAGGAGATGGGGACCAGGGTTGGACCACTTCTGACTCTGCATCAGTAGCCCTTAGTCATGCCCTTGGTATGTGACACAGGCACAGCGGGTTCGCAGCAGAGCAACCACAGCTGAGCAGGCTGGCCTGTGCTAGCTGCTGCTGCCTTCTGTCCTGCCATCAGCAAATGCAGGGAAGTGCTGTAGAGAGGGGTAGGGGAGTCTTAGAATTAGGGGATCCTACAGCAGGGATCCACAGGCCTTCTGAAGGTGTATCCAACAGAAACTTTGTCTGCTGTGTGTGGTCTGTACGTCCTTGTCTAGCTTTCATCAGAATTCGTTTTGTTTTGTTTTGGAGACAGAATCTCACTCTGTCACCTAGGCTGGAATGCAGTGGTGCAGTCACGGCTCACTGCAGCCTCAACCTCCTGGGCTCAAGTGATCCTCCTACCTCAGCCTCCTGAGTAGCTGGGATTACAGGCACATGCCACCATACCTGGCTAATTTAAAACATTTGTTTTTGTAGAGACAGGGTCTCCCTATGTTTGCCCAGGCTGGTCTTGAACTCCTGGGCTCAAGTGATCCTCCCACCTCAGCCTCCCAAAGTGCTGGAGTTATAGGTATGAGCCACTGCAGCTGGCCTCATCAGATTCTTAAAGAGGCTCATGACCCAAATAAAGTCAAAACTGGGGTGTGGGACACAGAGGGCTCCAGGACTCCCTGCCCCTGCACAGGCCATTGTGGAAGTGAAGTGAACCCTACTCTGGCACCAGCAGGTCACACGTTATGTATGTTAAAGTACATGCTACTAGTGGAGTCAGGTAACAGGGACAGGAGTAGGAAAGAAGGGACATCAGTTACCTCTGGGGATAAGACAGATCTCTCAGATCTTCCAAAACCCTAAAGACAAAACACACTTCATAATTTTAAAATTATGCAATTTGGAAACTTAAACATTGGGTTGTACTGGACACTTTTTGATAACATGGTGAGCTAGGTACCTGGATCAGCTCTTGCACTGAAAACAACTGAAAACCTGGACAAAATTTTATAAATAATCCTTTTAACATGTATTAAGGATTTAGCCAAAAAGCAAGAACTTCTCAAATCCAAACATTTAGCGACTACAGCCACCCAAAAGGCAAGCCAAGGCCTGACACCAGTGCGTGGCCTGAGGGAATTTGCCAGCAACGGGAAGTTGAACTTCCAGTTTCATGACTTCCTGGTGGGCAGAGGGCAGAAGTCGAAACCCATGGCAGGCCCAGATTTCTACAGGAAATCCCCACAGAGCTGAGACCCCAATCAGCTATCTGTTCAAAGTGAGGGGCAACTGGAAATAAATCTGCCTCTCCCAAGGGTATAACAGAAAACCAGCCATTTGAACCTCAGTGCTGAGAGGAGAGAGGTGAAAAACCCTGCTGAGAATTTATCAACGGAAGCCGGTGGTCTCCATGTAGATTTTCAGCCTGAATTCATAAGATCTAGGTGGTCTGAAAACCTCAAGATGGAAGTTCAATTTTCAATGAGACAGAGTGGTGGTGGTCCCAGGTACCTGAAAGATGGAAGACAAATCCCTGCAGGAACCCACAAATAATACTCCAAGGTAAAATGAAATGCTTACAGAAAAAAATAACCACACATGTAAACCAAGGAATAGAATTCATAGCCCAGAAACAATCCTCATAATCTATATACCACATGTGTGCATGATCAGTGAGGAACAGGCTGAGTTTTCTAATCAGTGGTCCTTAGAAGACTGCAAATCCATGTGGAAAAAACTAAAATTATATGCCCACTTCATACCATTTACAAACATCAATTCCAAGTGGATGAAGTATCTACATGTAAAAGAAATATAAAGCTTTTAGAAGAGACTATGTACAATTATCTTTAGGACCAACAAGTGCCTCAGAAACAAAAAGCATAAACAATTTTGATAATGTCCTGGGGCATGAATTTCTCTAGTCTGATAAAATTAGTTTTAGACAGGGATAATATTTGGATTTTTTTCTAGTCCCAGTAGGGCTCTTTTCTTGGTTCTTCCTGGTAAACTTGCTGGCCTAATGTTGACTTGTTGCTTACAGAGTGATCAGCCTCCTCTTTGCCTGCTAAAATCTCCGTTGTTTTTGAGATAGCCCTTAGACATGAATTTGCCCACACTATTTCAAATAACCTCCGTCTTCAGGGGAGAACTTTGGAGTTTGGAACTCTGTGTTCTCATGAGTAGCCTTTACTCCTGAGAAAAACAGCTACACACTCCTCTTGCCACTGGATGGGAGTGGAAGCCTCTGATCTTTTCCACTTGACTTGACTGGAGTGCAACCTATACCCTGTGAGTGAGCTGGGTGAGAGTAGTCAGAGCCTCCATATTCTCAGCCCACTGAACCTGGGGTAGAGCCTCCACCCATGATTCAGGAAGTAGAAAAAAAGAGCCCCTACTTCTCAGCAGCACTCTCTGTCTGGACTTTACCACACAGAGTTGGAGGGGATGATGAGTCTTGGTGGCCTGCCCCTCCCAGGGAGATACAATGCATTCGTTTCCATGGCTAGTGTAAGAAAGAATCACACACTTGGGGTCTTAAAACAGAAATCTATCTTGCCATAGTTCTGGAGGCCAGAAGTCTGCAATCAACACTACAGGACTGAAATTGAGGTGCTGGCAGGGCTGCAGTCCCCCTGGTTGCTCTGGGGCAGGATCCATTCCTTGCCTCTTCTGCCTTCTGGCAGCTGCCAACCTTCCTCTGCTTGTGGCAGCTGCACCCAATCTTTGCCTCTGTGGTCACACTGACTCGTCTTCTTCTGTTCTGTGTTAAATCTCCCTCTGCCTCTTTCTTATAAGGGCATCTGTGATGGCATTTAAGGCCCACTCAGATAATCCAAGATGAGCTCTTCATCTTAAGGTTCTTGACTTAACCACACCTGCAAAGACCCTTTATCCTTACAAGGTAATGTTTACAAGTTCCAGGGATTAGGACCTGATATGTTTGGGGGACCATTGTTCTGTCTGCCATGTACCGTATCTTTTGACTAGGAATTGAAGGGTAAGGGAGCCTCATTTTCTTGGCCACTACCAAGAGGGATGTTTCCAGCAGATGGAGCTGGAGACAGGGTATGGAGTGAGGGAGCAGGCTGTGGCTCAAATGCTACAGATTCTCATGGTCTTGCCAAGTTTCAGTATATTTTCTTGAATAAGTGTTTCTTCATCTGCTATATGCCTCAGGATAATTTTAAGAGGCTTTGAGCTTTAAATTTTTGGATTTTAAAAAATGATTTTTATCTGTCATGTTTATTTTGCTGGGAGTGCATCAATAGAGCTCCTCCTGGGGCTGTTCCCAGTGCAGAATAATGTCTGGTTTTCGTGTTCTTTTTCCTCTTTTTCTGTCTTCTTTTTGCATTAATCAAGTATTTGTGATTACATTTTAGCATTTATTTTGATTCGTTAGCTATAACTCTTTGTTTTGTTATTTTAGTGTTTGCTTTAAGTGCTATAGTGTGGGTCTTTAACTGATCACAGTCCCTTCAAGCAATCTTGGCATCACAGGACTTTAGCAGAGCCTGAGATTTTTATAGTGAGATACTTCCTCCACTCTTCTCCCTGCGTTTATGCTATTGTTGCCAATGCTATTGTCACACTTCACTTTTACCTATCACAGACCCCAATATACATTGTTACTGTTTTTCAAAAGAATCAATTTTCTTTTAAAGAGACCTAAATAATAAATTTACCTATGTAGTTCCCACCCGTAGTGATTTTCATTCCTGTTTGTACATCTAGATCTCCATCCAGTATCACTTTACCTGATGGACTTCTTTTAACATTTCTTGCAGACAAGATCTGCTGGTGATGATTTCAGCTTCCATATGTCTGAAGAAGCCTCAATTTCATCTTCATATTTGAAATGTATTTTTGCTGGGTGTGCAATCCTCTGATGACAGTTTTGTCCAGTCAGTGCTTAAATGATGTCTCTCCACTGACTTCTCGCCTGCATTGTTTCTGGTGAAAAATCTCTTATCTTCATGATCTTTGGTCCTCTTGATGAAATGTTTCCTTGTTTTTCTGGCTGCTTTGAAGATGTTTCTTTGTTGCTGGTTTTAAGCAATTTGATCATGATTGCACCTTGGTTTTCTTCCTGCTTCTTGTGCTTGTGCTTGTGGTTGGCTGTGCTTGCACTAGAGTTTAAAGTGTTCATCCAGTTTGGACACTCTTCAACCACTATTTCTTCAAATATTTTTTTCTGTTCCCACACTCCTTTGGTCACTACAATTCCAACATATATTAGGCTACTTGAAGATTTTCCCTCAATTTGCTGATGCCCTTTTCATTCATTTGTATTCCTAATTCCTTGTGTAGTTCATTTTGGGTAGTCCTTATGGCAATGTCTCTAGTCCACCAAGCTCCTTTGTAATGTCTAATGTGCCGGTCATGCCATCAAGTGTACTATTTATCTCAGACATTGTAATGTTCATCTCTAGAAGTACAATTCAGGCACTTTCATCTTTCTCCTTACCTTATTTTTAATTTTGTGTTTTGAAATAATAGATTCACAGAAAGTTGCTGAAAAAAAAAACATGCAGGAAAGTAGAACTAGGGTTAATGACTAGAAGCCAAGGGAAGCCCAGTGTAGCTCAAAATAAGGATGTGGTTCCTGTCAGAGAAGCCTCCAGAAGAAATGGGCTGCCTGGCATGTGATGAGTTCCCTTTCAACAGGGACCTAGCAGAGCATGGATGCCTGATTGGCAGAAAGGCTGCGGTAAGATTTGTGTATTTAACGCAGAACCAGCTTGGAAGGTACCCTCAGTGAGTTATAGATCTGCTCCAGGGAACGACACCTACACATTATTTATCAGAGATGGAAAAGTGGGGTTGCAGGGAAGGGAGAGCCTCTCCCCTTCTCTGACCCTCAGATTTTGCCCCTCCCCAGATCACAAGGATGAAGTTCCCTCCTGTGGCAAACATTCTCCCAACCTCTTCTTGCCCTCAGCACCTGCTTTAGTTTGGGGTTGCAATGTGCTCCACTTCAGAGGCTGCAATTCTGTTTGGTCCAGTCCAGTTATAGCAGCTGGGCTCTCCTTTGTCAGACACTAGCTTCACTAGACACTCTAGCAGTTAAGAGTGGCCACGTGACCACAGTGGTCACAGTTCAGTCAAGATGAGGAGAAGCTATTGGCAAGAAGGCTTTGGCTTTCTGAAAAATGAGGGAGGTGGAAGAAGACATTTTGCTGGTGCCATCTCTTCCCTTTGTGATACATGTGATGCTTGGGGCTGCAGCAGCCATCTTTGAAGCATGAAGGAAGGTGAGGGGACTGTAGAGACAGGAGCCAGGCCTCACAGGGGTTTAACTGTAACAGGCACCTGGAGCCACCCACCTCTTCATTCTCTGGATATTAGATTGTTAATGCCTTTATTATTTAAGCTTGGGGTTAACAAATTTTGGCCCCAGGTGGGTTTGCCCTCTGCAAGCCACACTCAGTCCAAATCCCTGCCACACCACCCTGGGCCTGAGATTCAGGGCTGAGGGGAGCTGCAGGGAGCCCCCACCTGCTCCATCCATGCACCTGGGCTGGCTTAGGAGAAGGCAGTGCCTATCTCAGCTGCACCCCCACTTCTCTGTGTCATCCAGAGAGACCACCCTCTCTGGGCCTGAGCCACCCACCTGGGACCAGAGAGAAGGGCCTGGAAATGTGCTCCAGGGCTCCATTGGGCCAGCAGGGAGTGGAGGCACCAAGCGTTCATCATCTACCCCAGAGATGGGATAGAAGGTGCACAGACAGGCCAGGTGGACAGGGTCCTCTCCTGAAACCAAGGCAGAGCCTCTGAAGCAGGAGATGGTGGCCCCCATTTAAGGACATCATAAGGGAAGAGGAGAAGGGCAAGATGGTAAGTTCTTGACCCCTGTGACTAACCCACCCAGGCAGAACTGTGTGCCAGAGTAGGGTGGTTGCTTTTGCGTGCAAAAGCCTGGAAGACACAGGTGCTCCATGTCCCTGCTCATGTCTGTCCCACCAGCCACAAGACATGCAGTCAGCCAGCCAAGCCCTACACAAGGATGACACCAGGTACCCGGACCTCAGCCACAGCAATGCTCAGCTTAGAGGCTCTAGAGCAGGGCCAGCATCTTCCTCCAGCCTCCATTGCTCCCCTGAACAGGTCAGCAGGGAGTTCTGCCTGTGCAGGGTCCCACTCAGGTCAGCACTGGTCCTTTGTGGGCCTTCCCTGATGGCTCACCAGGGTGAGGAAGCCCTTTCCAGGACCTCACCCCACGAGGTCTGTGCCTCCCCTGTGGCCCTGCCCCAGTCTCCCTGAAGTCAGGCTGGCATGCATCCTGTGTGCATGCGGGAACCTCCCAGGCAGCCCCAGCAGCCTCTGACCTACTGTGGGCATTGGGAGCCTGTGGGAACTGGCAATGCCAGGGACAGGCTTGGTGCCCAACTCACTCTGCCCTGGCAGGAAGCAGTGCCTGGCCAGCCCTCTGCCGCTGCATTCGAGACTCTCCAAGAAACTGAGTTACAGCTAGTGGTGGCTTGGGGTGGTCCAAGGAGGAGGCTTCTCTGGGCAACTGTGGAGGAGATATTTTTAGGTTCTGCTGTGTTTTTCATAAGAAAATATTTTTAGACCAAATTCATCCTGAGCAACAACATGCGGCTTCTAGCTAATTATGGAATTAATCATCAGGGCTGTGATGGTGTGGGCAAGCAGATGAGGAGCATGCCAGTGCCATTCCACCAACAGGTACACATGCAGGAAGGCCACAGCCACTGAGACCACAGAGCACACTGAGTCTGGGGCACCTGCCACCTCCCTCCCTCAGACTAGCTTGGCCCTGATCCTGCAGGAAACCCGAGCAGTCTAGCAAGGGCTTGGGGGCTTCCCCACAGCTGCAGATCCTCCCAGGGAAAAAGAAAGGTGCAGTTGCCAAGGGCCACCCCTCTCCTGGGAGGTGGGAAGCCCAGCAAAAGTTTGGGGCCTCCTGTGTCTTTTCTCTGGGGCCACTGGCACTGTGCTCCTGGCCATGTTGCAGTCACAAGGCTGGGAGCCAGTGCTTGCTTGGTAACCCCATGGGGCCCAAAGGTCCAGGGGCACAGCACGCAGGTATGTGGGTCATGCCCTGTGAGAGGGGGGCTGTGATCCCTCCAGGGACCAGCCCCAGGCCTGGACTCTGGTGTACCCTGACTCAGGGTCACCGTCTCTTTCCAATTCATACAAAAGCTCATTGAGGGCACTGACAGTTCAAGATGGTTCAGGGGTGCAGGCTCTTCACCAAGAATTCTCCCCGAGGACCCCCTGGCACACCTGAAATCAACCAGGTCTTCCTCCTGCATTAACCCCCATGGGGCACTCCAGAAAAGGCAGTGAGGAGACAAAGCTCCTGGCCTAGCTTCAGGCTGCTTTGGCCACAGCAGAGAAATTCCCCTGAAATTCAGAGACAGATCCTCACCTCAGGCCTTCATAGCCCCTACAGGAATCAGGTGCTGGAGCCCGGCCCAGGTCGGTACCCCTTGCGGCCCTTCTCTCTAATTTCTCTTTCTTCCATTAGACTCAGAAAGCTCAAGTCTCCACTGCCAAAGCCCCTCACAGCACCCTCTACAGCTTGCCCCATCCCTGATGGCCTCACCATCCTCCCTTTTGTGCCCCCAGAAACCCTCAAGTCATCTTTGACTCTTCCTTGTCCTAGACCCACAGGCCTCACCAACCTTCCTCGCTGACCTGCCCACACACAGCATCCTCTCTCCATCCCTGTGCCTACAGTCTGCTGCCACTCAGGCCCTCCCGAGGCCTCCTGCCCAGGTTCCCTCCTCCAGTTTGTTGAATCAGTCGGCACTCTCAGGATGTCCTCAGCGTGGAGGACCCTTCCCAGGGAAGTGACAGCCCTCCCTGGGCTTGGCAGTAAGCAAGATCAGGGGTTCCAGGCATGACAGCTGGGGGCTGACTCCCATGCTCAGTCCTGATGATTGGCTGCAGGGCCATGCCATGGGACCCTCAGTACCTCATTGTCCCTTGATTGTGACAGAGGGACAGCAGAACCTTGCTGAAAGCGGTGCTTGAGCTTTAGGGGAGGGAACAGGAATATTCACCCACCTTCTAGCTAATTATGCAATTAATCATCAGGGCTGGGATGGTGTGGGCAAGCAGGGCAGCTGTGCTCAGCCTGGCCAAGCATGGCAGGAGCTTAACAGAGCTGCAGACCAGCACCGCAACGGGTCCTGAGGGGTCTGTGGAAATGGCAGAGCAAGCTTCAGCCTGAGTATGTGCTGTGGGCCAAGTGTGTATCTCCCTGAAATCCACAGGTTGAAACCTTCCCTCACATGGTGATGGCATTAAGACATGGGGCATTTGGGAGGTGGTGAGGCCACAAGGGCAGTGCTCTGGTGAATGGGATTGGTGTCCTTACACAAGGACCTCAGAGAGCTGCTTTGCCCACCACATGAGGACACAGGAGAAGGCACCAGGGATGAGCCAGAAGGGGAGGGCTCACCATACAGTGGATCTGCCAGCACCTTGCCGTGGCCCTCCAGCCTTCAGAATTGTGAGATGTGTTTGTTGTTTCAGCCCCCAGTCTATGGTACTTTTTAATAGCAGCCCCAGGACTAGGACAGTTGGGGACTTTCTGCCTATAGAGAGTCTTCCTCCTTGTTCAAAGGGAAAAAAAAAAACAAAAAAAAAACCACGGGTAAACAAGACCAGAGTCTATTCTGAGTTTTAAGGGGATACACATGTTGGAACAAAATGACCCATGAGTCAAAAAGTACCTGGCGGTGCCCGGCCGACTGCAGTTCCTGGCGACTGAGCTGTGGAGCGGGCCTTCCCTCCACCGGGGTTCCCACTGGGAGGCGCCTCTCTGGCCTGGGAAGGGCAGCAGGCTCTGAGAGTAGGCCTGGCTGAGGACAGGGAGGAGGGGGATGCCTGCAGCTGGGCCTGCCCCACCTGTGGGCCCACATGACTTTGCTCATTTCTGCAGTCCGGAAGGAGACTGGAATGGATCACTGGAGTTGATTCTATTTTTCCCTTTTGCTCCCAGCACCAAAGAAGAGGGCATTTAGACTTTTTTCAAAAGGTCTCTGTTCAGAGTGCTTCATTCAGCCACAAGGGTGGAGGTTGCTGAGGCAGAGAGGGTAGAACTGGCCAAGAGAAGGGGTCAGCCTCCTGGGATGAGGCACAAGGCACCGCTGTTAGGGTTCCACAGAGTGGGGGAAATCTCCAGCTTGCAAGATGCGGGCCAGCGGGAGCCAGGGAAATCGGAACTCCCTGGCCTGCTGCCCCGTGCCTGACTGGTGGCCTCTTCCTGGCCCAGCCACTGTGTCCCAGGTGAGCCTCCCCGCTCCCTAAATAGTCCCAGCGCCTCCTGACTTTGCTCGTGCCTCTGCCCAGTGCCACTCAGCCTGGAAGGCCCGGGCCACTGACCCCTCCTGGTGAAGCGCTCCCCAGATTCCAGCCCGCCCTGAGACGCTGCCCTCTGCTGTGCACAGTTCCTCCGCCCCTCTGTCCTTCGCTCTGAGAGACACCTGTCCCCTCCCCGGCCTGAGCCCGCTGAAGCCCATGTTATCTGGGACCTGATTTCCTGCTCAGGAGAGTGCTCCCTCGTCCCAGGGGTCCCCATGCATCCCAGAGGCTAGCGGACCCTGGCGCAGCCTGAGTCGGCCCGGCCTGGAGCTGTGCCCCGCCCAGCGTGGGGAGGTGGAAACCGCCACTCACGCCCACCTGCTGACACAGCAGTCCTCGCAGCCTGACCCAAAATAGCCTGGGCTGAGAAACCAGAGTGGTGACAAGGACAAGGCGGCCCAGCTGTTGGGAAAGCAGCATCCTCACCTCCTCCCTGCGTGTTCAAATCCAGCTGGAGCCTCATTTCCCCGGGGAGGTCCCTGTGCGGCCTCCTCCCTCCACGTGGGCTCCCCAGTGTTTGTGCCTGTGAGGCAGAGGGTGGGGGGAGGATGGGGGTGACGCTGCGGGAAGAACAGGAACAGATGAGAGGTAGTGGTTTCAGAGTGGAAACAGCTGAACTTTAGTTGCGGCCGAGGGGTGGTGCCAGCGTCAATAAGAGAAGCAAGTGATGTCCCTCAGCAGTGGGGCTCCGGGTGTCAAGAGGGGACTCAGCTGGCGTCCCTCCACCCATGTCAGCCCCTTCACGTGGGCCTCGGGACAGCGAGCGCATTCCCAGGACTTTGGGCTTCTGCCGTCCTTCTTGGATGAGCTCTTCCTCTAGGAGCCCGCAAGTCCCCTCTTCTCCCCTCAAGCCCTGGCAAGGTCTCCTCCTCAGGCCTCCCTAGGGCACCCCTGCTCATGGCACCCCATCCATGGCACCCCGTCTAGGGCTCCTCCTTGGTGCTTATCTCCGGAAAAAATATGCCAGAACTTGTTTCTTACTGGGCTCCCAATCCTCAAAAGTGGAAGCTTCTCCAGGACAGGACCCATTTGCTTTTACAGTGCTGTGTCCCTGGCACCTGCAACAGTGCCTGACTCACACTGGGTGCCAATAAGCATTTATTGCATGAACGGACGGATGGCTAGAAAAGGGTGGGACTCAGCTGCGAAGGGTATTTACTTAGCCATGTGTTAAAAATAAAACATTAATTTGACCCAATATCATGATCTAACTCCACTGGAAGGAAGGGAAGATGGAAGGATGTGTGTGTGGGGTGGGGGCAGTGGGAGGGGATGTAAGGGAACAGGACTGTCATTCACCCTGGGAAGAAGTCCATCATTCGGTTAACACCTAAAATGGAAAAACCAAGAACCGGCCGTGTAAGCATTTTACTTGGAATCATACAATAAAATGTGAGAAGGAACAGCCAACAGACTCACATGGAATGCTTCTAGGGATGGGGATTAGGGCAGGGGACTGCCCTTTTTCTTTACAAAGCTTGTGATATGTTGAAATGTTTTAGGCAATGGCTATATATTGCTTGGATGAAGTCTAGCAATTAAGTAATAAAGTTGGATGCTTTATAACATGTCATTAAATTCACAGATTGGTTTAATTTTGTTAAATCTTCTAGGCAACTTTTTTTAGTGATTTCTTTTTTATTCAATTAAACTTTATTTTGAAATAATTGTAGATTCACATACAGTTCTAAGAAATAAAACAGAGAGGTCTTGTGTACTCTTTACCTAGTTTCCTCCAGAGGTAACATCTTATAAAACTATACTACAATGTCACAACCAGGATGCTAACATTGATACTGTGGAGAGACAGAACATCCCCTCCCCACCAGGATCCCTCACGTTTCTCTTTTATAGCCACACCCACTTCCCACCTAGCTCCCTCAAGGAGAGGAATTCCCTGCCCCTAACCCCACACTGCCCTTAACCCCTGGGAACCACTACACTAACCCAGTCTGCATTTCTATTAAACCTTAGTTACTTTTGCACCATTTTCATATAAAAGTTGTCATTTCAAGAATATTATATAAATGGAATCATACCGTGTGTAACGTTTTGTCACTGGCTATTTCACAGAGCATGCTTCTCTGCAGGTTCACCCAGGTTGATGCCTATAACAAGAGTTTGGTCCTTTATCCCACTGAGCAGTATTCCATGGTATGGATAAACCATAGTTTAAACCATTTACCCAATAAAGGACATCTAGGGTGTTCCCAGTTTTCAACTACTACCCAAAAAGCTGCTCTAAACATTCATGTACAGATTTTTGTGTAAGCACAAGTCTTCATTTCTCTGATACAGTGCCCAGGAATGCAGTTACTGGATCATACGGTAGTGGCATATTTGTTTTTATTTAATTTTTTTAAAATTTTTTTGAGACAGAGTCTCGTTGTGTCACCCAGGCTGGAGTGCAGTGGCGCAATCTCGGCCCACTGAAGCCTCCACCTCCCGGGCTCAAGCAATTCTTGTCCTCAGCCTCCTGAGCAGCTGGGACCACAGGCATGTACCACAACGTCTGTATCTTCAGCAGAGACGGGGCTTTCACCATGCTGCTCAGGCTGGTCCTTAACCTCTGGCCTCAGATGACCCACCTGCCTCGGCCTCCCAAAGTACTGAGATTACAGGGGTAAGCCATCATGCCCGGCCTCTTTCTTGATAAATTTAAATGAAGGCTGCTGCTTTACTAAGGGACTGTTCACAAACTAAAATGTTTGTTGAACCCTGTGAGGTAATAAATTACTCTGATGTGAAGTCTGCTACTCAAGTCTAAGTCTTTTTTTTTAATGCTTCAAGTTCTAGGGTACATGTGCACAACGTGCAGGTTTGTTACATAGGTATACATGTACCATGTTGGTGTGCTGCACCCATTAACTCCTCATTTACATTAGGTATATCTCCTAATGCTATCCTGCCCCCCTCCCCCCACCCCACGACAGACCCTGGTGTATGATGTTCCCCACCCTGTGTCCAAGTGTTCTCATTGTTCAACTCCCACCTGTGAGTGAGAACATGCAGTGTTTGGTTTTCTGTCCTTGCTATAGTTTGCTCAGAATTATGGTTTCCAGCTTCATCCATGTCCCTACAAAGGACATGAACTCATCCTTTTTTATGGCTGCATAGTATTCCATGGTGTATATGTGCCACATTTTCTTAATCCAGTCTATCATTGATGGACATTTGGGTTGGTTCCAAGTCTTCGCTATTGTGAATAGTGCCACAATAAACATACATGTGCGTGTGTCTTTATAGCAGCATGATTTATAATCCTTTGGGTATATACCCAGTAATGGGATGGCTGAGTCAAATGGTATTTCTAGTTCTAGATCCCTGAGGAATTGCCACACGGTCTTCCACAATGGTTGAATTAGTTTACACGCCCACCAACAGTGTAAAAGCGTTCCTATTTCTCCACATCCTCTCCAGCACCTGTTGTTTCCTGACTTGTTAATGATCACCATTCTAACTGGTGTGAGATGGTATCTCATTGTGGTTTTGATGTGCATTTCTCTGATGGCCAGCGATGATGAGCATTTTTTCATGTGTTTTTTTTGGCTGCATAAATGTCTTCTTTTGAGAAGAGTCTGTTCATATCCTTCGCCCACTTTTTGATGGGGTTGTTTCATTTTTTCTTGTAAATTTGTTTAAGTTCTTTGTAGATTCTGGATATTAGCCCTTTGATAGATGGGTAGATTGTAAAAATTTTCTCCCATTCTTTACGCTGCCTGTTCACTCTGATGGTAGTTTCTTTTGCTGTGCAGAAGCTCTTTAGTTTAATTAGATCCCATTTGTCAATTTTGGCTTTTGTTGCCATTGCTTTTGGTGTTTTAGTCATGAAGTCCTTGCCCATGCCCATGTCCTGAATGGTATTGCCTCGGTTTTCTTCTAGGATTTTTATGGTTTTAGGTCTAATATTTAAGTTTTTAATCCATCTTGAATTAATTTTTGTATAAGGTGTAAGGAAGGGATCATTTCAGCTTTCTACATATGGCTAGCCAGTTTTCCCAGCACCATTTATTAAATAGGAAATCCTTTCCCCATTTCTTGTTTTTGTCAGGTTTGTCAAAGATCAGATGGTAGTAGATCTGTGGTATTATTTCTGAGGGCACTGTTCTGTTCCATTGGTCTATATCTCTGTTTTGGTACCAGCACCATGCTGTTTTGGTTACTATAGGCTTGTAGTATGGTTTGAAGTCAGGTAGCATGATCCCTCCAGCTTTGCTCCTTTGGCTTAGGATTGTGTTGGCAATGCAGGCTCTTTTTTGGTTCCATATGAACTTAAAAGTAGTTTTTTCCAATTCTGTGAAGAAAGTCATTGGTAGCTTGATGGGGCTGGCATTGAATCTATAAATTACCTTGGGCAGTATGGCCATTTTCACGATATTGATTCTTCCTATCCATGAGCATGGAATGTTCTTCCATTTGTTTGTGTCCTCTTTTATTTCATTGAGCAGTGGTTTGTAGTTCTCCTTGAAGAGGTCCTTCACAACCCTTGTAAGTTGGATTCCTAGGTATTTTATTCTCTTTGAAGCAATTGTGAATGGGAGTTCACTCATGATTTGGCTCTCTGTCTTTTATTGGTGTATAGGAATGCTTGTGATTTTTGCACATTGATTTTGTATCTTGAGACTTTGCTGAGGTTGCTTATCAGCTTAAGGAGATTTTGGGCTGAGAAGATGTGGTTTTCTAAATATACAATCATGTCATCTGCAAACAGGGACAATTTGACTTCCTCTTTTCCTAATTGAATACCCTTTATTTCTTTCTCCTGCCTGATCGCCCTGGCCAGAACTTCCAACACTATGTTGAACACGAGTGGGGAGAGAGGGCATCCCTGTCTTGTGCCAGTTTTCAAAGGGAATGCTTCCAGTTTTTGCCCATTCAGTATGATATTGGCTGTGGGTTTGTTAGAAATAGCTCTTATTATTTTGAGATACGTCCCATCAATACCTAGTTTATTGAGAGTTTTTAGCATGAAGTGCTGTTGAATTTTGTCAAAGGCCTTTTCTGCATCTATTGAGATAATCGTGTGTTTTTTGTCTTTGGTTCTGTTTATATGATGGATTATGTTTATTGATTTGCATATGTTGAACCAGTCTTGCATCCCAGGGATGAAGCCAACTTGATCGTGGTGGATAAGCTTTTTGATGTGCTGCTGGATTTGGTTTGCCTGCATTTTATTGAGGATTTTTGCATCAATGTTCTTCAGGGATATTGGTCTAAAATTCTCTTTTTTTTGTTGTGTCTCTGCCATGCTTTGGTATCAGGATGATGCTGGCCTCATAAAATGAGTTAGGGAGGATTCCCTCTTTTTCTATTGATTGGAATAGTTTCAGAAGGAATGGTGCCATCTCCTCTTTGTATCTCTGGTAGAATTCTGTTGTTAATCTGTCTGGTCCTGGACTTTTTTTGGTTGGTAGGCTATTAATTATTGCCTCAATTTCAGAGCCTGTTATTGGTCTATTCAGGGATTCAACTTCTTCCTGGTTTAGTCTTGCGAGAGTGTATGTGTCCAGGAATTTATCCATTTCTTCTAGATTTTCTAGTTTATTTGCATAGAGGTGTTGGTACAGTATTCTCTGATGGTAGTTTGTATTTCTGTGGGATCAGTGGTGATATCCCTTTTATCATTTTTTATTGCATCTCTTTGATTCTTCTCTGTTTTCTTCTTTATTAGTCTTGCTAGTGGTCTATCAATTTTGTTGACCTATTCAAAAAACCAGCTCCTGGATTCATTGATTTTTGGAGGGTTTTTTGTGTTGCTATCTCCTTCAGTTCCGCTCTGATCTTACTTCTTGCCTTCTGCTAGCATTTCAATATGTTTGCTGTTGCTTCTCTAGTTCTTTTAATCGTGATGTTAGGGTGTCAATTTTAGATCTTTCCTGCTTTCTCTTGTGGGCATTTAGTGCTATAAATTTTCCTCTGCACACTGCTTTAAATGTGTCCCAGAGATTCTGGTATGTTGTGTCTTTGTTCTCACTGATTTCAAAGAACATCTTTATTTCTGCCTTCATTTTGTTATGTACCCAGTAGTCATTCACGAGCAGGTTGTTCAGTTTCAATGTCGTTGAGTGGTTTTGAGTGAGTTTCTTAATCCCAAGTTCTAGTTTGATTGCCCTGTGGTCTAAGAGACAGTTTGTTATAATTGCTGTTCTTTTACATTTGTTGAGGAGTGCTTTACTTCCAACTATGTGGTCAATTTTGGAATAAGTGCGATGTGGTGCTGAGAAGAATGTATATTCTGTTGATTTGGGGTGGAGAGTTCTGTAGATGTCTGCTAGGTCTGCTTGGTGCAGAGCTGAGTTCAAATTCCTGGATACCCTTGTTAACATTCTGTCTCATTGATCTATCTAATGTTGACAGTGGGGTGTTAAAGTCTCCCATTATTAATGTGTGGGAGTTTAAGTCTCTTTGTAGGTCTCTAAGGCTTGCTTTATGAATCTGGGTGCTCCTGTATTGGTGCATATATAGTTAGAATAGTTAGCTCTTCTTGTTGAATTGCTCCCTTTACCATTCTGTAATGGCCTTTGTCTCTTTTGATCTTTGTTGGTTTAAAGCCTGTTTTATCAGAGGCTAAGATTGCAACCCCTGCTTTTTTTTTGTTTTCCATTTGCTTGGTAGATCTTCCTCCATCCCTTTATTTTGAGCCTATGTGTGTCTCTGCACATGAGATGGGTCTCCTGAATACAGCACACTGATGGGTCTTGACTCTTTATCCAATTTGCCAGTCTGTGTCTTTTAATTGGAGCATTTAGCCCATTTACATTTAAGGTTAATATTGTTATGTGTGAATTTGATCCTGTCATTATGATGTTAGCTGGTTATTTTGCTCATTAGTTGATGCAGTTTCTTCCTAGGCTCAATGGTCTTTACAATTTGGCATGTTTTTGCAGTGGCTGGTACCAGTTGTTCCTTTGCATGTTTAGTGCTTCCTTCAGGATCTCTTGTAAGGCAGGCCTGGTGGTGAGAAAATCACTCAGCATTTGCTTTTCTGTAAAGTATTTTATTTCTCCTTCACTTATGAAGTTTAGTTTGGCTGGATATGAAATTCTGGGTTGAAAATTCTTTTCTTTAAGAATGTTGAATATTGGCCCCAACTCTTCTGGCTTGTAGAGTTTCTGCCGAGAGATCAGCTGTTAGTCTGATGGGCTTCCTTTTGTGGGTAACCCAACCTTTCTTTCTAGCTGCCCTTAACATTTTTTCCTTCATTTCAACTTTGGTGAATCTGACAATTATGTGTTTTGGGGTTGCTCTTCTCGAGGAGTATCTTTGTGGTGTTCTCTGTATTTCCTGAACTTGAATGTTGGCCTGCCTTGCTAGGTTGGGGAAGTTCTCCTGGATATTATCCTGCAGAGGGTTTTACAACTTGGTTCCATTCTCCCCGTCACTTTCAGGTACACTAACCAGACGTAGATTTGGTCTTTTCACATAGTCCCATATTTCTTGGAGGCTTTGTTCATTTCTTTTTACTCTTTTTACTCTAAACTTCTCTTCTTGCTTCATTTCATTTATTTAATCTTCAGTCACTGATACCCTTTCTTCCACTTGATCACATTGGCTACTGAAGCTTGTGCATGCATCACGTAGTTCTCCTGCCGTGGTTTTCAGCTCCATCAGGTCATTTAAGGTCTTCTCTACACTGTTTATTCTAGTTAACCATCTGTCTAGTCTTTTTTCAAGGTTTTTAGCTTCTTCGCGATGGATTCGAACATCCTCCTTTAGCTCAGATAAGTTTGGTATTACCTATCATCTGAAGCCTTCTTCTCTCAACTCGTCAAAGTCATTCTCCATCCAGCTTTGTTCCATTGCTGGCAAGGAGCTGCATTCCTTTGGAGGAGAAGAGGCAGTCTGATTTTTAGAATTTTCAGCTTTTCTGCTCTGGTTTCTCCCCATCTTTGTGGTTTTATCTACCTTTGGTCTTTGATGATGGTGACGTACAGATGGGATTTTGGTGTGGATGTCCTTTCTGTTTGTTAGTTTTCCTTCTAACAGTCAGGACCCTCAGCTGCAGGTCTGTTGGAGTTTGCTGGAGGTCCACTCCAGACTCTGTTTGCCTAGGTATCACCAGCAGAGGCTGCAGAACAGCAAATATTGCAGAATGGCAAATGTTACTGCCTGTTCCTTCCTCTGGAAGCTTCGTCTCAGAGGGGCACCCAGCTGTATGAGGTGTCAGTCAGCCCATACTGGGAGGTGTCTCCCAGTTAGGCTACTCAGGGGTCAGAGACCCACTTGAGGAGGCCGTCTGTCCGTTCTCAGGTCACAAACTCCGTGCTGGGAGAGCCACTACTCTCTTCAAAGCTGTCAGAAGGGATGTTTCAGCATATTTAGTTTTTAAAGAAACTGACAGACTGTTTTCCAGAGTGTCTTTATCATTTTACATTCTCAATAGCAATGAATGAGTGATCCACTATGTCTGTATCCTTGCCAGCATTTGCTGGTGTTGCTATTTTTTAATTTTTATTTTAGCCATTCTGATAAGTGTGTAGTGGTTTTAATTTACACATCACTGACAGTCAGTTTTATGTGCTTATTTGCCATCTCTTTGGTGAAAGATCTCTTTACTTCTGCCTGTTTGCTAATTGGAGTTTTGTTGTGTTCTGAGAATTCTTTGTATATTTTAGACTATTTTTTGTCAGATATGTGGTTTGCAAATACTTTCTCCTAGTCTGTAGATTGTCTTTTTATCCTTTTTTTTTTCTTTGAGACAGAGTCTCGCACTGTCACTAGGGCAGGAGTGCAATAGCATGATCTCAGCTCACTGCAACCTCCACCTACCGGGTTCAAGTGATTCTCCTCCCTCAGCCTCCTGAGTAGCTAGGATTACAGGTGCCTGCCACCACGCCTGGCTAATTTTTTGTATTTTTAGTAGAGACAGGGTTTCACTATGTTGGCCAGGCTGGTCTCGAACTACTGACCTCATGATCTGCCTACGTCTGCCTTCCAGAGTGATCTTTTGCAGAGGAAAATTTGTTCATTCTGATGAATCCAACGTATCAATTTTTCTTTTTATGAATTTTGTGTCTTGCATCAAATTTAAGAACACTTTGCCTAGCCCTAAATCCTGAAAAGTTTCTATTATTTTTTGCTAAAAGTTTTATAGTTCTAAATTTTACATTTAAATCTATTATCCTTTTTAAGTTAATTTTTAAAAATCAGATGTGAGATTTGGGTCAAGGTTCAGGTTTCTGTTTGGTTGGTTTTTGCCTATGAATGTCTGATTTCTCTGGCACCATCTTTGCTCCATTTAATTATTTTTGCACCTTTGTCAAAAATCAGCTGGACATATTGCTGTGGGTTTATTTCTGGGTTCTCTACTCTGTTCCATTAATCTATGTAATTAACTCTCTACCAATGCTTCACAGTCTTGATAACTGTAGCTAAATAATATCTTAAAATCACATAGATGGATTCCTCCTACTCTATTCTTTTTCAAAATTGTTTTAGCTATCCCAGTTCCTTTGCATTTCCATGTAAATTTTAGAATAACGTCTATATCTTCAAAAAGTCTTGCTGAAATTTTGATAGAAATTGTGTTAAACCTGAAAATCAACTTAAAGAGAATTGATATCTTCCCATGTTGAGACTTCCAATCCATGAACACAGTATGTCTCTCCATTTATTTAGATTTTTAAAAAATTTCTTTCATCAGCATTTTGTAGTTTTTGGCATACAAGTCCTGAACATGTTTTGTTAGATTTACACCTAAGTATTTCATTAGTTTTAGTTACTGTAATTTTTAATTCCAGTGTCCCTGTGTTCATGCTAGTGTGTAGAAACTCACCAGTTTCTTTGTATGTTTACCTCATAACCTGAGACTTTCCTTAACTCACTTATTTGTGGTGGTTTTGTTTTGGTTTTGGTTTTTTGCTTTTTTTTTTTTTTTTGGCTTTTTTGGGTAAATTTCTTAGAATTTCCTATATAGACAATCATGTCATTAGCAAACATGGGAAGTTTTATTTCTTCCTCCCTAGTTTGAATGTCTTTTATTTCTTTTTTCTTGCTTTATTGCACTATCTGGAAACTCTAGGATACTGCTGAACCAAAGTGGCAAGAGAAGTACCCTTGCCTTTCTCCTGATCTTTGGGGAAATTATCCAGTCTTTCACCAGTAGGTATAATGTTAAATGTTAGGTTTTTGTCAATATTCTTTATTAAGTTGAGGACATTCCCCTCTGTTCTTATTTTTATGAGTTTCTTTATGAATAGCTATTGAATTTAAATTTTTATTTTCATAAAATACACATAACTTAAAATTTACCATTCTAAGCAGTATAAACTGTGCATTCAGTGACATTTAGGACATTTACAATGTTGTGCAACTATCACCACTATCTAGCTCCAGAATATTTTCACCATCCCAGAGGGTGCTGAATTTTGTCAAATACATTTTCTTCCTCAATTAATATGATTATGTGATTTTTCTTCTTTAGCCTGTTTATCAAGTGGATTACACTGATTGATTTTCACATATTGAAACTACCTTTGCATCCCTGGAATAAACCCCACTTGGTCATGGCATATTATTATTTTTATAGATTGCTGAGTTTTATTTGCCAATATTTTGTTAGGAATATTTATATCTATATTTACGAGGAATATTGGTCTATGGTTTTCTATTTTAATACTCTCTTAGTCTGTTACAGACGAATCATGTCATTAGCAACAGGGGCAGTTTTATTACTTCCTTCCCAGTCTGAATGCCTTTTATTTCTTATTTGGTTACAGACTAAGACAGACTTAGTTTTGTATCACGGTAATACTAGCAATAGTATTGGGAAGCATTTGCTTCTGTTCTATTTTCTGGAAAAGGGTGTGCTGAATTGGTGTTAATTCTTCTTTAAACATTTGGTAGAATTTTGCAGTGATACCATCTGGACATGAAGATTTCTTTCTGGGGAGGTTTTAAATTATGAATTAAATTTTACTAATGGCTATAGGCTATTTGATGTATCTATTTTACATTCAGTGAGGTATAGTTGGTTTTGGAGGGACTCATCCATTTTATGTAAGCTGTCAAATTTACATGTGTAAAGTTGTTCATAATATTCCCTTGATTTCCTTCAGTCTTCAGGGTCTGCAGTGATATCCTGTTTCATTCACGATACTGATGATTTGTGTTTTCTCTTTCTTCTTCATCCGTCTTGCTAAAGGTTTGTCAATTTTATCAATCTTTTAAAAGAATCTTTTTGTTTCATTTATTTTATCTATAGTTTTTCTGTTTTAAATTTCATTGATGTCTGCCTTTATTTTTATTATTCCCTCCTACTTGTTTTGGATTTATTTTGCTCTTCTCTTCTAGATTCTTGAGATATAGACATAGATTAACGACTTAAGATATTTCCTCTTCTGTGATATAGGCATTTAGTGCTATCCACCATCCTGTCAGCACTATTTTAGCTGTGTCCTACAATTTTGGTATATTGCATTTTCATTTTCATTTAGTCCAATATATGTTTATATATCCCTTGAGGTTTCCCCTTTGAGTTGTGGATTATTTAGACATGTGTTTTTTTGTTTTAAACTCTTTAGAGATTTTCCTATTATCTTTCCATCATTGATTTCTAGTTGAATTCCATTGCAGTCAGAGAACACGCTCTACATAACTTCAATTATTTTTAAATTTTTGAGGTTTATTTTAAGGCCTACATACAGTCTCTTTTGGAATGTGTTCCATGGGCATTTGAAAAGAATGTGTATTCTACTGTTACCATATGTGGCTTTCTCCATCTGTTGAATAGACACTGTTCTTTGATGGTGTTGTTGAGTTCTTCTATATCTTTGCTAATTTTCTGTTAGTAGTTCTATGAATTGTTGAAAGTAATTCTGTGTTGAAATAGTAGTTCTATGATTTTTGAAAGAGGTGTGGGTTTATATATTTCTCATTTTTAGTTTTATCAGATTTTGCTTCACATATTTTTCAGCTCTGTTGTTTGGTGCATACATGTTTAGAATTGCTATGTCTTCTTGGTGGATGACCCATTCATCCTTATATAATGTCCCTTTCTGTCTCCAGTAACTTTATTTGCTCTAAAATGTACTTTATCTAATATTAATACACTTTTTCCTGCTTTCTTTCTTTTGATTGATGTTTGCCTGAGATATCTTTTTCCATTATTTTACTTCCAGCCTACCCATATCATTATATTTGAAGTGAGTTTCTTATAATAAGACAGCATATAGATGGGTCATATTTTTAATTTATTCTGCCCATCTCTGTCTTTTAATTGGTATGTTTAGACCATTTGTATTTTTATGTAATTATTGACATGTTAGGGCTTAAGTTGTCCATTTTATTTTTTGTTTTGATTTTCTGTTTGTTCTCACTATTTTTAGTTTATCTGAGCTTCTTTCCCCTTCCAGTGGGTTATTTAAAGTTTTTTAGAATTCCATCTTGATTTGTCTGTAGTGTGTTTTGAGTGTATCTTTTTGTATAGCTTTTAAAATGGCTATTTGATGTATTACATTATATATACATAATTTAGTGTACTGATGTTAATATTTTACTAGTTTAAGTAAAGTATAGAAAACTCATGCCCTTTCAAGCTACTTTATCCTCCTGTATTTATAATACAATTGTCTTAAATATTTTCTCAATATGCATACAGAAATACATCAGAGAGTATAATTTTTGTGACAACTGCAAACATAATTTAGAAAAACTGAAAATGAGGAGGAAATGTTTACCAATATTTTTTACTCTTACTGTTTTTCTGTTCCTTTCTGATGCTTCGAGATCCCTTATTTTAATATTTTCTTTCTGTTTAGAGAACTTATTTTAATCATTCTAGGCTAGGTCAGCTATTGTCAAATTCTGTTATTTTTCCTTCATTTGAGACTATCTTAATTTCCTTTGTTCCCGAAGAATATTTTACTGGAAATAGAATTCTGAGTTGATAGTTATTTTCTTTCAGCACTTGAAAAATGTGCCACTTTTGACCTCTGTGCTTTCTAATGAGAAATATGTTGTCATTCTTATTTTTTTTTCCCTTATAGGTAGGACGGGGTCTTTTCTTTCCCAATTGCTTTTAAGATTTTTTCTTTGTTTTTATTTTTCAGGAGTTTAACCATGATGTGTCGTGGTGTGGATTTTTTTTTTTTTTTTTGGTTTATCCTATTTGAGTAACTCAGCTTCTTGAATTCGTATGTGTATGTCTTTTGCCAGATTTAGGGAGTTTCAACCATTGTATCTTTGAGTCCTTTTTAAGGCCCACCTCCTTCTCCTCTCCTTCTGAGACTCAGTAACATGAATTAGATCCTTCGCTACAGTCTCACAGGTTCCTGAGGGATTGTTCTTTTTATTTTCATTTTCAATCTATTGCAGCTTTGTTGTTCAGATTAAATAATTTATATTGTTTCTCTTGGAGTTCACGGATATGTTCCTTTGTCCCCCCATGCTGCTGCTGAGCTCCTTTATTGTGTTATTTGTGCAGTATGTTATAAGATTCTGAATCTGAGTTTAAATCTTCTCGTTTAGCTGACGGCTTCTGACACCATTCTGGCAGGCACAGTGTGGAAGGTGGGCATAGGTGTCTGGGTTCCCCCGAGGGCTCTAGCTCCCTGTGCAGCCTCTACTGACACCATGGGGTGGAAGGGGCTGGTTACTGCCTGGTGGGGATAAAGGTCCTGGACCCTCACTGAGCCCTCTTTGATACCGCTCAACAGGAAGACAGGGAGATTGGGCACCTCATTATAGCCTGGCCAAGGTGGAAGTCCAGGCTCCCCCCTCGGTCTTTGATGGTGTGAATGGGAACAAGCCACCACTTTTTGCATGGTGTTTGGCTGGAGTAGCTGGTTATTGTCTAAAATTTCATCTCTATTTTACAGAGACGAAAACAGAATTTGAGAAGGTGACCCTGTCCCAAGTCTCACAGTTGGGAGGAGTGGTGCTGTCTTGATGGTGCCCAGCACCTGCACAGCTCCTGGAGAAGGGGCTAGCTCCCACAGCTGGAGAGTGACCTGCCAGCTCCCTGCTGAAAAGCCTCTTTGGGCTTCCTTTCTCCTCCAGAAGGAAGTTCCACCTCCTCAGCCCGGCATCCAGGGCCCTTCTCAGACTGACTCTTCTGAAAGTATCAACCATGCCAACCCTTGCTTCAAATCCCTGTTTCCTGCACTGGGAATGGAACCCATGCCCCAGGCTGCGTGCTTCTCTGGCCTTTGCACTTTCCTGGTTCACTTGGCTCCATCACACTGGTCTTTCTCCTGCCTCGAACACTCCAAGCCCATTCCTGCCACAGGGCCTTTGCTCTGCTGCTCTCCACCCTAGACAGCTGTCAGCACATCTGGCTTCTCCTTGTTGGCTACCTTGACAGAGAGGCTTCCCCACCATCCCACTACATTTGCATGATGTCCCCACCCCACCAGCCCTGCTTTATATTCTTCATAGCCTTCATCCAGGGTGGGTCATCTTGTCTCTGCCCAGGCTCAGTAAGTAATTGCCGCAAGAACAAATGGATGTGTGCTCAGGTCTAGGTGGCTCCAGCCACTTGGATACTTCTGCTGGCCTGTCTGGAGCAGCTCAGGCTGGCCAGCCATGGACTCTACCCTGGGAGAGTGTCCACATGGGGTCAGGGGCAATGCTTGTTGGCAGAAAGGCCCAGTGAAGCCCAAGAACTAAGGAAGCGCTAAAACCCTCTGCTGAGTAGATGCCATTTGTCCCTCCCTGACAGTGTTTGACCACCTGCCCCTTCAGGGAAGAACCACCCTGGGCCCTCCATGCACAGATGAGTCCCATCCCTGGCCCACGGACTCCTTGTCTGGAATAGGTGGGCCTGGGTCTCCTAGTGCAGGGTGGGAGCAAGGCCCCATTCCTCATCCTGCCCCTGTGCATCCCTGGCCATGTGTCTTGCCCTCTGTGGCCTCCATTTGCTGCCTTGTAAAGTGAGGCATGAAGCCCCAATGTTCTTACAGTTCTCCAGGCACATGCCTCACCTGCCAGCTGGATTCAGGCTCCCCAGAGGTTGCATCCTGGGCAAAGCTGACCCATAGCAGCCAAAAAAGGACAGCAGCTGCTCATTAAAATGGAGCTGCATGTTTTGGGTGCCCCGTACTGGGGGAGAATTGAGGACATTTGAGCTCTTCTGCCGGGGGTCTTTGTACCAGGCCAGGACAGCCCCTTCTGGGCCCCCAGGTGCAACTCTGTGGAGCTCAGTGAGTTTGCGGGTCAGTTCCCTCAGACGCTGGGCAATCGCAGGGTCAGAAACTGGCTTGGGAGGTGCTTTGTGAGTGCCCCTCCCTCACTCTATCTCCCCAGGAGACGGGAGCCCCAAGAGTGACGCCCTGCCTGCATCCTCCAAAGCAGGAGCGGAGCCTGCCAGTGGTGCATGTGTGAACACTTGTCAGTCATGCATCAAGGTGGATAGAGCAACAGATGGGTACAGACATGCTGGTGTGGGGCTCCTGGTGATTACCTCAGTGTTTATTGAGGATCATTTAAGAGTTGATTGATTATTGGAAGTTGCATATCTGCAGCCATCTTGCTGTCACACACATGCTTGGGAGAGGCAGAGTACAAGAGTGCAGCACTCTCAAAGAGTGGGTGCAGCCTGAAGCCCCTGCATTGTGGAGGGACCCAGAGGGTGATCGATAATGCAGACGGCACTTATGAGAGCAAATGAGAGAGTGAGAGCACTGGGCACAGCCAGAGCCCAGCAAAGGCTGCACGCCTCGCCACTGCCCCTGGGCCCAGCCCTGGATGCACACAGCCTGAGGCTGCCTACATCCTGTGCCTCCAGCTTGAGCTTCCTGGGCCAAGGGAAAGGTGGAGTGGGAAAATGTCACTTCTCATTTCCTTTGACCAGCTCAAGAAGAAACAGAGCTCGCTTTTCTGAGAGGCTCTTAATTAAATGATAAAAATGTGTTCCTTCACAGTGACTGCCAACTCCTGTCCACCTCTCCCTGGCCTGGCTCCTGGCTCCAGGCAGAGCCTGGAGGATGCAGAATGACAGGTCGGCTCCAAGGGCAAGCAGCGTGCCTCCAGAGCAATGAGATTGCACACCCTCATTTTGGGAAGATTTATGGCTGGCTCCCAGGAGATTCTGCTGGGGACCAGACTCAACACCACCTGTAGGGTACCCAAAGTCCGGTGGCAATGAAGGAATGAGAAGAGACAGGTTAAAAGTGCATACAGAGTAGGGGCTAGGGGGTCAATTGCAAAATGGAGGTTGCAAAAGACTCAGAGCTCTGGTCTCCACACTATTTATTGAGTACAATCACTGAGATCTAAGAAGCAGATGTTCAGGGCGAAATAGTGAAAGGGAGGCAGTGCGTCATACATGTAATCTATAGCAGTGGCAGTTTAAATGGATCTCCTTTGTGCTCAGTGTATCTTCAACTTATTGGAGGGTAGCTAGTGGGAGCGGGCTTAACTAGGAGCCTGCACGTCTGGCCAGATTCCAGTGCTTTAAAGGAGTGTCTTTTTCCTTGAACACAGTGTTTATGGATAAGACAGCAAGTCACACTCAGAGCGTGGGAACATAATGGCGATAAGAAGGCTTTCCTCCTCAGAGGCCTCTTGTGGCTTTCCACAACTTATTGTCCCATATTTTTATAGCCAGTTTATACAGGCACCCCATAAGCCTTTTTCCTAACAGATTCTAGCCTAGATTCGTCTGCTGGGGAAGTTCTTGGAAGTAGAGACTTCATACAAATTCCAATTACAGTCAGACGAGAGCCCATTCATAAGGGCTGCCCTTCGACAGGCTGCTCTCTTGCCACCTTGGCCTGGCCTTGAGCCGCCAATGCTGCCGCCAGCCTCTGAGCAGCGTGCAGTCAGACAGGGCCCCTGGGCACCTGTCTTACCTCAGTGAGGAGCACGGTGCACCTTGAGGGGCAGTGGTTAGCAAAAGCTGCCATAGGAGGCAGCCTCAGGGCCGGCTCCAGTGGGGAGAACAGAGTGAAGGATGCATGCCAGCCTTGAGGTTGATGAAAGGTCAGAGAAAGGCCACAAGGGAGCAGAGGGCCTGGGAGCTGGGCTGACAGCAAGGGCAGGTAGTGAAGTAGGGGCTAGGGAGGGCCTGGAAGGCAGAGAGTGGGTTTGTCTTGATTCCAAGAGCAATGGGTCTGGTGTGCACGGAACATTTTCACTGACCTTGGAGATCACCCTGTGTCTACCTCACTGGAGATGTTGTCCACCTCATTGCAGCATTGTATTCCATGGCATGGGCGTACACACATGGATGAACACACACAAACGCGCACATGCACACACATAGACACATAGTTTCCTTTTGCCAGTTTCTTACAAATGGTATTTTCAATTCTTTCCAGACCTTTCAGTTTTCAGTCATAGGCAGTGCTGCTGGGCTTCTGTTTACCTGCCCGCATATATATTGGGGGAATCTTGGGGGAGTCTGAGGATGGAAGTGCCAGCTCCCAGGTGCATGGGTGGCATGTCAGTAAGCACTGCCTGGAGGCCCCAGGGCAGCTCTGCCCCTTTACAATCCCTGGCAATGCAGAAGACACCTGCTCCCCACTCCCGCACCCTTCCTGTGTGTTATGAACTCAAAACATTTGCCAGCTGATGGAAACTCAATGCCAACCTGGGCATGGCTCAGACTCCCTCAGTGGCCATGGCTGTGGCCGTGGTGAGCTTGCCCACCTCCCACCTTGCATTTGCACTTGCCCTTGTTCTCCTTGGCCTGTGCCTCACGCTGCATTGTTAGTCTTTTCCTGTTGGTTTGCAGGACTTGTTTATATTTTCTGGCCACTTGTACACATAGCAGATTCTTTCTCCATTTGGTAGAAAGACTTTCAAGCTTGTCTGTGGAATCTTTTATCATATGGAAAATTTTCATTTTAGTGAAGTCAAGTTTATCACTATTTTCATTTATTGCTTTTCGTGTGCTAATTGAGAAGATTTTTAACCTAAGTTTACAAACTTATCCTCCTGTTTTTGACCCTAAGACTTAGATAAAGGCAACTGTGGATTTTGCATGTAGGAAATAGTCCACCCAAAATGTATTTCGTGAAGGGTATAAGATAGAGATGCAACTGAATGTTTTCCGGGGAGATGGACAGTTGGCGATGCTTGTGGGTTAGGAAGCCAGTGTGGAGCTGGTGGTTTCTGCAGGGGTGGGTTGATGGGGCTCTCCGAGCCCAGCAGGAGGAAGTCCAGGTTCCAGGCAGGGGCTTGAGTAACAGCCCTAATAGCACCACTTACTAGGTATGGTCAATTATGTCCTCTCTGCGGGACACAGTTTTTCCATCTATAAAATGGGAATGATTCCTGTCCCTATCCCTGAGTATACACAGGGCTGGTGTGAGCAGCAGGGGGTGATATAAGTGTGCTCTGCCAATGGGGCCAATGGCTGTGATGGTGCATCCTGCCCCCACCACGGGCCTGGGGGGCAGCAACGGCAGCCTTACCAGCACCTGCTTCCCTATGTTGTCCCAGGGTGCAGGTCGGGTGGAATTGCGGAAAACCCAGCATCTCCTCCAGGTTTCTATAGTCCTTCAGGGGCACATATTCTCCTGGTCACTTGTGATCTGAAGCTCCTATTGACGCCAGCTGAGTTCATGGAGCCGTTTCACCATGGGCATCTCTGTGTTCCTCAGATCCCATGGGGGAGCACCAAGGCCTAATGCGAGGCAGCCTTCAGGGAGGGGTTCATGTTGCACGTTGGCAAACACCTGAAGGTGCTCAGTGGACAGTGGCCTCCTGCCCCTGCTCAGGCTGCCACTGTGTGCCATTCCTTCCCCCACCTTCCTGCAGTGTTCCAAGAGATGCCTGATGTTCCCATACTTTATTCCAGAGCAGGTCCACTCTTTCTAGCCCCGCTCTTGCCTCAGCTTCCAACCTACCACTGCATGTCCAACTCATCAAGCTTCTTGCCCAGGAAAAGCAGCAGGGTGTGTCCAGGCCTGGAGACCCTGAGGAGACCCCACAGGCCTCTTAGTCCAATAGTTGGTTTGGTCATCGGGGCCAAGGGGGAAAGGAAGTGTAGGAGGGAGGAGTGACAGGGACCAAGAGAAGCCTCTCTGCTCTCGGCCTGGCCACCACTGGGAGCTCCGACTGAACTACCTGGGTGACCTCCACAAGGGAAGGGCAACCCCACACCTGGTGGGGCCTGATCTGTCTGAGGGGACTCAAAACATGTTGGTGGAGTGAAAAAAAGGTAGAGCTGGCCAGCCTCTAGTTCCTGCTACTCTCCTCTGTGTGTGTGTCTCTCCCATGTATGTGTGTTTGCATGTTGCCTGTGAGTGTGTCTCCTGTGTGCAGAAGTAGAGCATGACAAAAACAGCAGGAGGACAATCTGACATCCTCACAGGTGGCTTTCTTGGACATCTTGTTAAAAAATAGGTAATGACAGTGCTAGATCATCATTAAATATTATGTGGTCTGGATGTGTTCTCAGCTGACATAGCTGATTAGGGACTATCGAAAAACATGGCCAAGAGTTACCATTTTTTTCTTCCTGGGACATGAATTGGGGTGCTGGGGATCACGTGGGGCCCTAAATCTCCCTACCACTTCCTCCTCCCCCCTGCTTTTGCTCTTGCCTGTCACAGGCCAGGACCCAAGTCATATTCCTCCGGTCCTACCACCTAAACAGGCCTAGTGTACACAACAGGTGCTCAATGAATGCTTATCAAAGACTGGAATGAAATCAAGGAGAGCAAACACCCACCAGCCAGGACCCCAGCACTGCCCTGGGGGCGTTGGTAGAGTCTGTTTTAGAGGCGTGGGTGGGGCTGAGGAGACTGGAAAGGACAGGGAACTGTGACCTCTTTGAGCCCTGACTGGGTAACAGCAGGTGTGGCTGTCGCCCTGGAGACGGCCCTGGCAGGAGCCAGGAGCAGGGTTTGGTAGAGCAGGCCACCCCCACGGCAGCCCAGCCGGGGCGGGACCTGGGAAAAGAGCTACTCCCAGGTGGCTCTGCGCCCTTGTCCGAACCCAGTGGGAGCTGAGGCCAGAAAGCCTGCAGGGGGACAGAGGTGTGTGCAGTGTGGCCACCATCCTCCTTGGAGCGAGCCACAGCACGCAGCGGGAGAGCAGGCTGGGCCCCTGACCTTCTCCCAGCCGTGGACCCTACTGGGTTTGAGGGCCTGGCTCAGAGCTCCTCCTGGCCCTCTGAGGCTTGGTAACATCAGGATCTACAGACTCCCCATTCGATCTCCTTGGGGTCTGGTGGGCAGCCCCACGGAGACAGCAGTAGGGGGTGGGTGCATACCTGGGCATTTGGCCAGGTGCCAGGAGGGGGAAACAGAAACCTGCTCCTGTTTGTCTACAGCTGGTGACGTCAGCCGGTGACATCGGGGCCCTGCAGGTGGATGAGAAGTTCAAATAGCTCAAGGGGTGGCGGGGGAGTGAAAGGAGTCAGCAGTGGGGTCTGCGCCAGGAGCGCTGATGCTGAACTCTGGAAGGCCGCTGAAAGGGCCCGGGGAGGACAAGTCTTACGCAGCTGTCGGAGGCTGTGACCCCAGCGCTGCGCTCAAGGTGGATTCGGCTGCAGCTGGGCTGCCCCTGCTTGTGTTGGGGAGGAGATGCCTACGCCGGGCGTGCGGGGTGCGGAAAAGCCGCAGGTGCAGGGCCGCGTCCTCCGCAGGCGCTCCTTTCAGTAAGGCTGAGGCCCTTCCCTTTCTTAGCTAAGGAGGACCCGGTTCCAGTCGTCCAGTCCCCTAGCCGCGCTGCTCCTCCTCGCCTGTTTCCAGCCTCTCCCCGCTAGGTCGTCCTCCACGCAGGGATCTCCGAACAAATGTCCAGGCGGATCACCCCACTCAGACAGTCCTGGCTCCCGGGGCCTGGGAAAGCCGGGGAAGCCAGGAGCAGGCGGTCGCCTGTGCCCTGCCGCGTCTCTTGAGACACACAGGAGGGGACGGAGGAGCGTGGTCTCCATAGCCCCGCGCACCGCCCCGCGGGGCCTGCCGTCGGCTCATTCTGCCCTCTTGCAGGGCTGGGCTCCCCTGCCTGCCCCAGCTCCCCCTTGCAGCCCCGGCCTCCCCTGCTTTCCCGAGACCCCATTACTCTGAGATGTCCCTGGCCCCCGACTTCCCTTTGCCTCAGGTGTCCACAGGTGTCTGTCCCAGGCCAGACTGGACAGAGAGTCAGAGAGGCTCCAGCGCTTCGGGCCTTAGGGTGCCCGCTTCTTAGTGGAAAGGCCCACATGCAAACGGCGGTGGCAAATGGGACGACCGCAGCGGGGACACCAAGACCGAGCCACACCGGGAGACCAGGGCCCTGGGGCAGCGTGTGGGCACGGATGGCAACTGTGCAGGACGCACAGTGACCAGGAGCAAAGACGGGAGGAACGCAGGCAGGGCGTGCTGCCAGCCAGGGGCAGCATTCCCCAGGGTGCTGGACTAAGCGGGGACCTGCTGAGACGGGGACACGGGAGCACAGGACTGGGGAGTAGGAGGAACTGGCTTTCCTCAGCAGTGCCCTCAGGCCGCGCCCCGCCCACAGGTCCCGCCCCCGCACTCAGGCCACGCCCTTCGTAGGAGGCCCTGCCCTCTCCACCGAAGCCCCGCTGAGGCCCCACGCACGCACTCTTCGCAAACGCAGTTCTTCAGCCTTCGCTGATAGAGAGTTGGCAGACTGCGGAGGGCGTTAGACAGCCCCAAATCCTGGGCTGCCGGGAGGCAATAAGAGCAGAAGATGAAGGGCTTGGAGCCAGGGATGAGCCTGAGGTCTTAGGGGAGGATAGAGAACCAGAGAATGAAAGCCGAGCAGGCTCCTTTAGCTTCTTGGAGAGAAGTGGGTTGAGATTAGGATGGAGCTGGCGGGGGCCTTTCTTCTTTAGGTTCAGGGGTTTGCCCAGGAGACCAGGGCTAGGGGTCAAAAAGAGCCAACGCCCAGCAGGCTGCCCTGAGTGCCACGGGGTCAGTCAGGCCCCTGGAAGGAATGATCCCGCTATGGCCAAGGTAGGACAATCTGCTGCTTCTTCTCCCTCCCAGGAAAGGACAGGGATGCCCAGAAAGAAAGGACAGGGCCACAGTGAGGCCTCAGCCATGTTCACTGGGACAGTGCTGTGCAAAGCCCTGGATGAGCGCAGGTCCCACCCACAGCTTATGGCCTCCAGGCCTCCTTGTTCTGCCTTACTTCAGTGTGCCCTGGCCCGCCCTGATCACGGTGACCACGCAGGGCCCACGCTTCACCCCAGGGAGAACTCTGTCCTGACCACTGGCCACACGCCTCCCATATCCCCACGGCCACTGCCCTGGGTCCCACCTCAATGACTATCTCTCCTCCAGGCCCTTCCAGGCCACCCTTCAGCTGTCCTTGAGTGATGTCCCTGGGGCAGAGTTTACAGGAGAGGGGTCAATGGATCAATGACCCACAAAGTCGTTTCCTTGTGTCGCCTCCCAGCTCCCTTTACTCACTGCCAACTTTTCCTCTCAGTTCTGACGAAGATGAACAGAGAGGCTCTGAGAGGCTGTCCAGCAGATGAACACATTTAACTGCGGGTGAGCAGCACTTCCTAGCCTATTTGAACCCAGACCTTTTCCCATCTAACACATTGTGAGGAACACTAACTAAAGTCCAGAGCCCACCATTTATTCCTTCAGCACTTGAGTGCCTCCTTGGGCCTTTCTTGGTCTCCAGTCCGATGACTCACTCCTGCTGGGCATTGCTCCTTCATTACCCGCTCCCTACCTCTTGCCAGGGACTCCAAAGATTAGCCCTTGGGAGAGTGCTGGGCCTCCTTGGCTGTGTGTATCCCTCCCCACTCCCACCCTTCCACATAGCATTTCTATCAATAGCCATCAAGAGATACTGGTGAAGCCACTTTTCCTGCTCCTCCCACTTGCTCTGAGAAGTACCCCAGGAGGCCAGGGAGAACACGCAGTGGGGGTTTCCTTCTTGGGAACTCCCAGGATTATTGCAACCATGTGTACACTCTGCCAGAGGTGGCTGAATGTGGTCGCCCCTGATCCAGTCTGGGGGCACCTTAGAAGCAGGAATTTAATGGAGTAGGGAGTTCAGCCCTGAGATAGGACCACTCATCTGAGGAATGAATGAGGCTGGAGGAAGGTCAGCAGAGCCCCCAGCATTGAGAGCTGGCACAGCGTCCTCCGTGAGAAACAGAGACAGGAAGGAAAGAAAAGACTGAAATAAATGCATCCAGGGAGGAGAGAGGAGTGACTGAGGACTCTTGATGTGTTTTTCAGACATTTTTGGAACGTATAGGAAAGCATGTAGAACAATTCAGCTTGAGCCTCACCAGGTCTTCCCATGGTGCAGGCTCCACATGCTCTGCCCTGGCCAGGTCTGCAGGGTAATGGCTGCTCTGAGAAGGGTAAGTGCAGTGGGAGGACCCTGGAGTGGGCAGCTAGGACAAGGTGGCAGGTTCTCATAGCAGGCTGATCCCTAGGCTGACAGGGGCCACGTGGGAGACACCATGGGAGACACCGTGGAAACAGGTGCCAACTACAGGGTGGGGTGACAAAGGTGAAGGAGGAGAGGGCAAGGTAGGTGGGATGTTTGCTGTCACCCATGCCTTCCCCTATGCTCCCCACTATAAGCACTGGTTGCAGGGCCCAGCTTGTCCCAAAAACAAGATAGGCTGGCCAGTAGAGTTAAAAGCTGCAGCAAGGTTGAGCCACCTAAACAGCAGCCCCACAGAGACTGGCCTGTATGGACACCCAGAACAATCTGAATGAATCTCAAATGCACTGTGCTTGTGAGAGTATTGGTCTCCAAAGTATATACTGGATGATTCTATTAGCATGGAATTGCCTAAAACACAAAACTGCAGTAGGGGAGAACAGAATGCAAGGGAGATCAGTGGGGGATGGGGCTGGGACAGGGGGAGGGTGTCAACAGCACACGAGATTTTCTTGTTTGGGGGATTTCTTTTTAGATCATAGAACAGCTGTGTACCGCGATGATGGCAGTAGTCACATGAACGTATATATGTTATAATTCATGGACTTTACCCTAGTAAAAAATGTCAATTTTACTGTATAATTATTTAAAAATGAATACATTTAGTCATTTAAAGAAAAATAAACTGAAAGAAAGCATAAATAAAGCATTAACAAAGAAAATATAAATTAGTGATTATGGGAAAAAAAACAGCACAATTGAGAAATAAATACAAAAGTTCATGGTTGGGGGATGGGGTGGAGTGGAATGTGTAAACCACTAAATAATGTAAAATAGCTTTTTAAACACCACAAAGAACAAACAATGAGGGAGAAATAACCAGAAACAAAAGTTAATTATTTACTTTTGTTGAGAAAAAAGAAACAGAAAATTAATAAAATCATAAACATTAACTTGGTCCATATTATTCAGATATATTTGAAAACATTTAAGAAATGGATAATTTCCTAGAAAAATATAACTTATCACAACGAACTCCATAAAAGTTAGGAAGTTTAAATAGAGTGATTTGTGAGAAGAAATGGATAAGGTTGTTGTTCTGGGTTGAATTGTATGCCCCAGAACTCCTGTGTTGAAGTCCTAAGCCCCAGTCCCTCAGATTGTGACCTCGTTTGGAAACAGGGTCATTGCAGATGTTAGTTAAGTTAGAATGAGGTCACATTGGAGCCGGGTGGGCTGTCATTCAACACAGCTGGTGTCCTTTTAAAAAAGGCGAAGTCTGGACACAGACCCAGGCACACAGGGAGGATGCCACGTGCTGACTGGAGTGATGCTGCCACACACCAAGGAACCACCAGAAGTGGAGGGAGGCCTGGACAGATCCTTCCGCAGAGCACAGCCCTGCTGACATTTTGATCTCAACTTCTGGCCTTCAGAACTGTGAGACAATAAATTTCTGTTGTTTAAGCCATTTAGTTTGTGATATTTTGTTATGGCAACCCCAGCAGACTAATATAGTTGTCAATAAGCTATTCTCTAGAATAGCCTTTGATAATGTTATAAGGGACTTTACATAGTCTTTAATAAATAACAGGCATTTTCAGTGTTTTTTAAACTGCTACAAAACATTGAAAAATGAAAAAAACTTCCAAATGTTTTCTATGACGTAAATGTAACATTGAAATTTGGCAGGGAGTATAGTCACAAAAAAGGAAGCTATACACCAATTTTACTTATTAATTCCAATTTAAAAATCTTAAATAAAACATTAGGAAACAGAATATAACAATGCCTTAGAATGAGAATATATTCCTTATGAATATGCAGAATTTATTCTAGTAATAAGAGGATGACTGAATATCAGGAAATTAATATAATTCACAAAATCTTTGGTTCTAAAGAGATAAATCATATTATCAGTTCCATAGACCATGGAAAATTTAAATCTAGTCTGATTTTAATATTTTAAACCAATAATAGGTTAATACTTCATAACATTATCAATATAAATCTATTCCAGCCCCGAAATTCACGTCATTAGAAGGATTCCTGAGAGTGTCAGAAACAAAACAAGAATGTCTCCTGTAACCATTGTTATTTGACATTGCATGACAAGAGAAACAGCAGGAATGAGGAGCTAGCCTATTTTCAGATCACATGATTACATGCCTGAAAAATCCAACATAATGAAAAAGTACAACAAATAATAAGAAAATTTAGTAAAGTAGCAGTGAATAAAATTAATATTGAGTCCCACAGCTTTTCAAGCATAAAAAAGCAACAATTAAGTAGAAAATACGAATTAACAACCCAATAATAAAATGACAACTTAATTTTTTTAATGGGCAAAGGACTGGAATTGAAATCACCAAAGAAGGTATGCAGATGGTCAATAAACACATGAAACAATGTTCAACACAATTTGTCATTAGGTAAATGTAAAAAAAAAAAAAAACAATAGATACCACTTCATACTCTGTAGGATGGCTATAATAAAAAAGACAGACAGTAGCAAGTATTGGTGAGGTTATGGAGAAATTGAAACTCTCACGAACTACTGATGGCAATGCAAAATGTTGCAGCCACTAAGAAAACAGTTTGGAAGTTTCTATAAAAGTTAAACATAGTTACCTTATGATCCAGCAGCTTCAATTTTAGGTATATATGCAAGAAAATTAAAAACATATGTTCACACAAAAACTTGTAAACAAATGTTTGTAGTTTCATTATTTATAATAGTCCGAAAGTGGAAATGACCTAAATGTTTATCAACTGATAAATGGATAAAGTGTGGTATATCCATATAGTGAAATGTTGTCAATAAAAATGTGAAATGCTGATGCAAGCAAAAACATGAATGAACCTTGAAAACACTGTGCTACGTGAAAGAAGCCAGTCAAAAGGACCACATATTCTAGGATTCATTTATGTAAAATGTTCAGAATAGGCAAATCCACAGAGACAAAAAGTAGATTCATGGTTGGCTGGAACCGGGGCAAGGTGGGGCAGCGGGAGGAGTGGGAATTGGAATGACTGTTAATGTGTGTGTGATTTCTTTCTGGAGTTTTGAAGATGTTTTAAAATTAGATTTGCAAAACTCTGTAAATATTACAGTATGTGAAGTATATATCAATAAAGCTCTGAAAAGAAAAAGAATGTATGAATTAAGAAAATACCCTTCCAGGCATGGTAGCTTATACCTGTAATCTCACAACTTTGGGAGGCTGAGGTGGGAGGATCACTTGAGGCCACCAGTTTGAGACCAGCCTGGGCAATATAGCGAGATCTCGATCTTTAAAAAAAATTAAAAAGAAACAGATCAGCCAGATGTTGTATCATGCACCTGAAGTCCTAGCTACTTGGGAGACTGAGACAGGAGGATCACTTGAGCCCAGGAGTTAGAAGCTGCAGTGAGCTATGATCGCAGCACTGCACTCCAACCTGGGAGACAGAACAAGACTCCGTCTTAAGAAAAAATAAAAGTAAAAGACTCAAATTCAGTACAGCATTATTAAGTTAAAATACTTAGAGATAAACTCAAGAAATATGCAAGACTTGTATGTTAAACTTAAATGAAGAAAACTTTAAGGTAGTCAAATAGCACTGACGAAACAAAAAAGAAGTCTTGAACAAATGGGAAGACATACCATGATATTAGACATGAAAAGTAAATAACAAAAATGGGAATTTTCTCTAACTTGCTTCATAATTTAATATGAATCCAGTGAAAGTATCATTAGACCTTTTTAAAATTGGACAAACATTCTTTATACATTGGAAAGTTAAAGAGCCAAGAATGTCTGGTAAAACTCAGAGGAAGAAAAGTAATGGTGATAGAGCAACACTGCTGGTTATTAAAATGCTTTATAAAGCCTTGATAAATAGAATAGTGTGGCACTGATTTTATAGACAGACCAATAGGAGAGATTTAAAAACCAAGTAATATATTCAAACATATAGGGTAAATTAGTGTGCAATAAAGGTGGCATTTCAAACAGTAGAGGAAAGATGGTTTTCTCTTTTTTTTTTTTTTTTTTGAGACAGAGTCTCACCCTGTCCCCCAGGCTGGAGTGTGGTGGCTGCGATCTGGGCTCACTGCAAGCTCTGCCTCCCAGGTTCATGCCATTCTCCTGCCTCAGCCTCCCAAGTAGCTGGGACTACAGGTGCCGCCACCGCGCCCTGCTAATTTTTTGTATTTTTAGTAGAGATGGGGTTTCACTGCTTTAGCCAGGATGGTCTTGATCTCCTGACCTCGTGATCCACCCACCTCGGCCCCCCAAAGTGCTGGGATTCCAGGCGTGAGACACCGCGCCCAGAGAAAGATGGTTTTTTTGATAAATGATCTGGCAACAACTTGATAGCCATCTTAAAAAAATAGTACACCTATACCCGACCCTTTAAATCAGGAGAAATTCCAAATACATCACAGGTTACAATATTAAAAACTGAACATAAAAAGTTCTAAAAGTTCTAAAAGAAAGCATAAGATTATTTTTCAGACTTTGAAGTAGGGAAAGCCTTTTTTTTAAAAAACATGCTCAAAATATAAAATCCATGAAAGAAAAGACTGATGAACGTGACTATAATGAAAGTTTAGAAAATCTGCTTTGCAAAAAATAAAAAAAAAACTATAAGCAATATCAGAAAATGAAAGAGAATCTGCGGGAAACATTGTGTCTCATATTAGACAAAGAGTAAACTCCCTAACATAAAAAGGGCTCCTAGAAATTGTCATAAATAAGGCCAGAATTCAATTTTTAAAAAATACCTAAAGATGTTGAATTGATCCGACTAAATCACCCTGCTTCTGATTTATCTGAATCCCCTACCCACCCGACCCCACCACTCCACTCCTATTTATTCAGCATCACACTACCCAGGAAATACACTAGCAAATTGTGCAAATTGAATAAAATCCACACTTTTCTTTAGATTCTTGCAACTGTATCATATGTAATAGTATCACTTTTTCTACATTTTGGTCAAACAAATTTTTACATAAACTACAAGAAAGATGTTGAATTGAAAGTTCATTGAAAATATAAAGAACTCTGAAAAGATGTTCAACCTTGCTCATATTGAAAGAAATAAAAATTAAAACTAGCTTAAGAATTATTTTTAACTACCAGATTGACAAAATCTCATTAAAATTTGAGATTTTAAGCAGGTACTCTTACACATCACTGGGTGGAGTGCAAATCGGTCCACCACTATGGAGAAAAATTTAACTATCAGAAATTAGAAATTCAGATGTCCTTTGACTCACAATTCAAATTTTGGGCATTTATCCCTTGGAGATCCTTTCACATGTGCGGGTTATTCACTACAGTGCTATGTGTGATGGTAAAAGTTAGAAAACCACCAACAGGTCTATTAGCATGGGCCTTCTAGAGTGGCAGCCAGAGCTGAGGAGCAGGTTAGAGAATTGAGAGTGAAGGCTGATAACACTTCAGAAGGCAGGAAAGAATAAAGAGATTAAACTGTGAAACATGATAAAAGATATGGAAGATAGATATAGAAGTGCCAATATCCAAAGGGTAGGGGTAAATCGAGTCCCAAAAGAAAAAGAGAAAGAGGGAGAAAAAGAAATATTTGAAGGAAAGCAAAGATGAATTTCCCAGACATAAAGACAAATGGAAAAGGCTCATAAAGTACCAAACAGAAAACAAAAGAAAAAGACACACCCAGATACATTACAGTGAACTTAAAATATTTAGGAGACAGAGAAAATTCTAAATGCTTGCAGAGAGCACTTACAAAGGAATAAGAATCAAATTGGCATCAAACTTCTCAAACACAACATTGGAAGCAATAGAAAAACTGAGAAATATTTTAAAGTATTGAAAATAAAAAATTTTGAAACAAATTTTTATCTCCAATTTTTCATTAAACCTAAGTATGTATTTAAAATATGTTCAGGCATTTAGAGTATCAGGCTTGCCACACAAAGATCAACAAAGACTCCCACTGAAAATACTTTCAGAGAAAGTACATAAAAAAGAAGAGCTGCAGATTCAGAAGGATGATACAGGAGAAATAGGCAAAAAGCATCCTCAAATGAATCAGCAAGTGTTATCCTTGCCTTAGGAAGGAAGAAAAGTGCAAATACACTCACTCTAAGACCAAAGAAAAGCAAACAAAAACACATATATGGCAACCAAGAACTAAAATTTTAAATAATATCAACATGACAGGGATTAGGAGAGCAGGAAATGGAGACCAATGGTAACACGAACATCAAAATTACTTTTATTTTTAAGGGAAAATGTATATATTAATATGCTTAAGAAAATAAAAGAGGCAAATAAACATATATTTGGATATTAAATTAAGGCAATTGTCATAGAACATATAGTTATAACTTTTAAATCAATGAAAGAGAATATACTTAATGGGAAAAAAGTAAATTTAAATATGAAGTTGGCAGAAATAATCACTAACATAACAGTAATTACAAAATATAAATGGGTTAAATCCAACAATTAAATGGCTGGGACTCTCAGAGTTTGAAACAAAAACAGTATCCAACAATATGTGGTCTCCAGGAGAAATTTAAACTAAAGAGACAATAGAATTAAAAATAAAATTCTAGCCTGTAATCCTAGCACTTTGGGAAGTGAAGGCAGGTGGATTGCTTGAGGCCAGGGGTTCGAGACCAGCCTGGCAAACATGGTGAAACCCTGTCTCTATTAAAAATACAAAAATTAGCCAGGCATGATTGTGGGTGCCTGTACTCCCAGCTACTCAGGAGGCTGAGGTGCGAGAATTGTTTGAACCTGGAAGACAGAGGTTGCAGTGAGCCGAGGTTGTGCCACTGCACTCTAGCCTGGGTGACAGAGTGAGACTCTGTCTCAAAAAATTAAAATAAAATTAAATTACAAATTCTGGAAATAGCCCTAATACATAAAAGGAAAACAAAAACTTTTCCAAATCAGAATATAATTCTCCCGAATTACTTTTTCACTCAGAGTCAGTTATCCAAGCTTTTGAGCATACTCAAATGTCCTGTGTGATAATGATAGAATTTGTGATGAAGCACCGTTTAAGAGTGCTTCAATGTTGTCTGGGATTTTTTCTCTTTCAAGATATGGATGCCATTTGTAAGTTGATGCCAGTGCTTTAGTGATCTTACCAGAACTTGCAATCAGTGCAAGGTTTTCAGACAACAAACAGAAATCATGTTCCTTCTTCAAATAACTGTTAAATGGTTTGCTGATGGAATCTTCAAGGGGTCATACATTATGGAACAACAACCAACTTAATTCACTTCTTAGTGAACTTATTCTTTAGCTGATCAGATGCATCCAAACAAATATGCTTAGTTAGTTAGTCTCCTAGACATCCATTCCAGATTCTTTGAGTTATTCTTTTTTTTTTTTTTTTTTTTTTTTGAGACAGAGTCTCACTCTGTTGCCCTGGCTGGAATGCAATGGTGAGATCTTGGCTCACTGCAACCTCTGCCTCCTGGGTTCAAGTGATTCTGCTGCCTCAGCCTCCCAAGTAGTTGGGATTACAGGCACCCACCACCACGCCCAGCTAATTTTTATGTTATTAGTAGAGACAGGGTTTCACCATGTTGGCCAGGCTAGTCTCGAACTCCTGACCTCAGGTGATCCACCCGCCTCGGCTTCCCAAAGTGCTGCGATTACAGGCATATGCCACCACGCCCAGCCTCTTTTAGTTATTCTGTCATCAGTTTATCTGATGCCTTATTTTCCTTTTTAGTACAAGCACATTAAGATATTTGGGGAAATAGCTTACACTGTTTTTGGTTTAAAATTAAATATGGTGGCAACATTTGACCTTTGGTGATTACGCATAGCATCAGAGTGATGTAATACTTTTCTAACCTGTGTTCATAATAAGCACCGTTAGCAATGGTTCTGTAAAAACTCAGGGTTTTATTAGTATTTCATTTTTTATTTCATTCACAGCTTCATTTCCTTTCTCAATGGAATCATATGTTATTAGAAGTTAAATAGCTTCAGATTAAAGTCAGCAGCAAGTTTCTGACAAATTGATATTTGATACCTTGACTATAGTCCTGCATAACATATAAACAGGTCACACTAGCCTCTTGTAGTTAACTTTCTGCCTACGGCATAACTTTTCACTTCAATGCCAAATCATAAGCTTTTAAAGAAATTATAAACAGTAATTAAATTCAATACATCCAGTACCAAAAAATGCACATAACTCAATTGAAGTAATGCCAAAAAGAACAGTTATCATTATGTTCACATAAACACAGGCAATAACAACCAGGTCACATCTACTGCCTCCCAGACAGCAGATAAAAGAAACAACTCAATTTTATTTTAAAATTTTATTTTACTGTGAAAAGAACACTTAACACGAAATCACCATCTTAATACATGTAAACTGTACAATACAATGTTGTTGTTGTAGCTATTGTTGGTTTTTAGAGACAGGATCTTGCTCTGTGGGTCAGGCTGGAGTACAGTGGCTGGATTATGACTCAATAGGGTATAGTTAAGGATAGGTTACAATGTTGTATGGCAGACTTACTCATTTTGTTTAACGAGAACTTTATGCTCATTAATTAGCAACTTAGCAACTCAGTTTTAGAGATGCCAAAATGTTTAAAAATCTTGACTTAGAAACAATGAAATATGTTTCTAACATAATTTAGGATAAAATTTCCAGAATAATGATATTTAAACTACTTAAAAGAAATACAAAACATACATATCAACATCAGGAAATTGTGTCCCCACTATTACAGCATCAAAATATATAAGAAGACAACTGAAAATATTGTAGATATAAATAGAAGAATCAGTAATTATAGTAGGATATTTTAACATACTACTTTAGAAACTTATGGATAAAACAGACCAGAAAATTAGCATGCATATTAAGGTCTGATCACTATAATTAATAGATACAAAAAGAACTCTAAACCTCCCAAAATAGGTAATACATGTTAAATTAGGGCAATCAAGGAACATGTACAAAAATTGACCAAGCATTAGAATATAGGCAAAGCGCTCCTAAATTCCAAAGGATGAATTTCACACAAAGCATGTTTCCTAAATATAATACGACTGAAACAACAAAAGATACTTTTTTTTTTTTTGAGATGGGGTCTCACTCTGTTGCCAGGCTGGAGTGCCGTGCCACTATCTCAGCTCACTGCAACCTCTGCCTCCCGGGTTCAAGCGATTCTCCTGCCTCAGCCTCCTGAGTAGCTGGGACTACAGGTGCACGCACCACGTCCAGCTAATTTTTATATTTTTAGTAGAGACGGGGTTTCACCATGTTGGCCAAGATTGTCTTGATCTCTTGACCTCATGATCCACCCACCTGGGCCTCCAAAAGTGCTGGGATTACAGGCATAAGCCACCGTGCCTGGCCCAAAAAAGATTTTTTTAATCCAATTTTTTAAAAAATAAATAACATTTTACAAAATCACTCTTGGATTTAAAAGGAAGTTGAGGAATATTTAAAACTAAATGATAATAAAAATACAGACTGCCAATAAAGCAATTGTTAATAGGAAAATTATAGCTTTCAGAGCATTTTTCAGAAAATAAAATTTTTAAAAACAAACTAGCATTCAACTCAAGAGTTGGAATAAGAGCAACAAAGTAAAACCAAAAAAAAAAAAAACACACACACAAAAGGAGATGATAACCATCAGGGCAGGGATCAATCAAATAAAACAATGGAGAAAATTAACAAAGGCAGAAATAAAGTCATTGAAAAAATTAACGAGATAGACACGTCTCACAAGACTCACCAAGGAAAAAAGATGAGCATAAAAGTAAATTGTGAAAGGAAATACAGAACAAAAAGAGGTAATAACTGCAAATACAGTGGAGATTTTTAAGAATCATAAAGGAATATTTTACTATACATGAAAAAATTAAAGCCCTCAATTAAACGAATGAAATATTATAAAAATATAGAAAACCAAAACTGCAAAAGAAGAAAAAGAATTGGAACATGTAAACCAGGAAACAATAAAATTGTAGTAGTTCAAAGACTGCTTTCCATCAACCCCTCGAACAAACAATCCCAGGCCAAAATGGTTTTGAAGGTAAATTTTACAAAATTTTCAAATTATGTACAAATGATCAAGTAAAGCTAATTGTTCCAAAATATATCAAAAATTCATTCTATGAGGTGAACCTCATTTTGATTCCAAAACCAGTTAAGAACAACATCAGAAGCAATAATTACAGACATTTTATTTATAAACCTGAATGAAATATTAGTCAAATAACACCAATCCACAACTAATACAGTTTATTGCAAGAATGTAAGGATGGTTCTACATAATAAAATCTATTAATGTAATTTAACCCAATAAATTGAAAGAGAAATATGATGTGATTATGTTACTGAAACACCAGGGGTTCAGTTAGGTCCTGCTGCTTGCTGCACAGCCAATCACTGAGGCAGCCAAGGAAATGGGAGTTCAGTCTCAAATTCTTCTGCCCAGCCCACTAAAATTAAAGGTTTATATAGCAGGGAAGAAATGTAACAATGTATAAGAAAACAGGAACTAGAGAGGTTAAGGAAGCAATCATGATGAAAGAGGGCTCTGGCATCTCATTATGAGGATGTGGTGATTTTGTGAGTTTCAGTTCTTTGATACTTTTGTTGACAGGCTTGAGGGTCCTTTCCTGAGGAAGGAACTCAGATAAAACAAATATAAATTTGAAGCTCTAAGACCAGAAGAGTCCTGTGGTGTTGATTAGAATTTGAGGGAACAGGATAAATAGATTTAAAAAGCAAACAAATGAAAAACTCATATATTTCCTACCTCTGTTCTGAAACGGCCAGAAGCATGGTGCTCCAGGAGCAATGAGCACAGCTAGAGACTGGATCTGGGGTTCTAAATTCCATATCACCACTAGGCTAAATCAAAGACCAGGGCAGGAAAAGTACACAATGATGGCTAATTTTATGTGTCAACTTGACTGGCCTAAAGGATGCCCTGATGGCTGGTAACACATCTTTTCTGGGTGTGTCTGTGAGTTCTTCTAGAAGAGATTAGCGTTTGAAGTGGTGGACTGAGTGAAGATCTACTTTCACCAATGTGGATGAACATATTCCTGTCTGCTGAGGACCTTATAGAACAAAGAAGTGAGAAAAGGGCAAATTTTCTTCCTCTGTCCCTCCACTGGGACAACCCTTTTCTCCTGCCCTTGAACATGGGAGTGCCTGATTCTCAGGCCTTGGACCTGGGACTAAATGACACCGCCAGCTTTCCTGGTGCTCCAGCTTGTGTATGGGAGATTGTGGAACTTCTAGGCCTCCAAAATCACCAATTCCCATACAAATCTCCTACAAAGAGATTTTTCTTTTATATTTTATTTTTATTGGAGACTATATTCTATGCAAAATATGTTCTATTTTATGTTTTATATTTATCATCCATGGTTTGAAGTAAATCCATTCCTATTCAAATGACACTTGTAGGTTAAGATGTCATTTCTTCTGGCTGTTTTCACTTTTTTTTTGTCTTTAGTTTTAATAAGTTTAATGATGATGTGTCTTAGTATGGATTTCTTTGGGTTTACTTGTTTGTGATTATCACAGTTTCTTGAATCTATAGGTTTATATCTTTCATCAAAATGGGAATTATTTCTTCAAATATTCTTTCAACTCTTTCTTCTCTCCTTTTTAGACTCTGATAGTATGGAACTCAGATTTTTTTTTTTAATCTAACATGGTCCCTGAGGCTCGGTTCATTTTTTTCAGACTATTTTTTTTCTGTTATTCTTAATGATATTATTCACATGATGAGCAAGTGCTATTGATCTGTTCTCAAATTCACAGATTTTTTTTTTTTTTCTGTCGCCCAGGCTGGAGTGCAGTGACATGATCTCAGCTCACTGTAAGCTCTGCCTCCCGGGTTCATGCCATTCTCCTGCCTCAGCCTCCCGAGTAGCTGGGGCTACAGGCACCTGCCACCATGCCCAGCTAATTTTTTTGTATTTTTAGTAGAGATGGGGTTTCGCTGTGTTAGCCAGGATGGTCTCCATCTCCCGACCTGGTGATCTGCCCGCCTTGGCCTCCCAAAGTGCTGGGATTACAGGCGTGAGACACTGCTCCTGGCAAATTCACAGATTTTATCCTTTGTCATTTCCATTCTACTATTGAGCTCATCCAGCAAGTTTTTAATTTCTTTTATTGTATTTTTAGTTCTATAATTTACATTTGCTTCTTTTTTATAACTTCTACTTTTTGATGATATTTTCTATTTTTTCATTTGTAATTAATTTTTGAAGCATATTTATGATGGTTCCTGTAAAGTCCTTGTCAGAATATTTCATTACCTAATTTATCCCCATGTTGATGTTATTTGATTGTCTTTTCTCATTCCAGTTGTTGCTTTCCTGGTTCTTGGTATGTTACTGTAATCTGGACATTTTGTTTCTTCTGTTAGGAGACTGATTTCTATTTAAATTTTCTATTGTAGCAAGGCAACTACACTGTTAAGGCTTGGTATGTGGGTAATGACCTACTTTTGTGGGCCGTGGTTCCAATAACAGTTTAATTTTCAGAAACTTTGTGGTGTTATTTTTGCCTGTTTGGTTTAGCCGGTGCTGCTAGGCTCCTCATTGGTCCCTGCTGTTGCTGCCCAGGGGGCTGAAGGTATTTCCCTAGGTTTGTTGGCCTGGTGTCACTCAATGGGGTAGGGAAGGCTCAGGTTCACATACAAAAACAGAGGCTTTCCTAGCTGGGCCCTTATGGCAGGATCTCTTCTGCTTATAGGGCACAGAGAGTCTTCCAAGAGTAAGTACTTATGACAGGATGCCCTCTGCCAGTGCCTTCTCCACCTGGCCTGCTGTTTCTTGATGCGAGAGGGGAGTTTCAGGCTGTGGAGGAGGTGAGCACTTCTCTTGCCCACTTATTGATGATGGGATCCTGGTATATCTCCCTTGCAGGTGGTACAGAGCTCTACGAAAGATCCTTAGAGGAGTCTCTTGTCCAATGGTGTAAAGCTCTGTGACAAACATGGGAGACTCACAGACTCATGAGGATGTTATACCAACAGAAACACTGCCAGCTTGGAAAGAAAAGACAGACGGAATACAAAATGAAAAAGGGCTGTTAGACAGCCCCCTCCACCAAAATTCTACAGGCAAGAAATGTGATGATAAAGCTACTCAGCTGTAAACATGTGATACACTTCAAGAAAAAGGAAGGAAGACTCCAAGGCCGGAGCCACTAGCTCAGAGGGGGGGTCTGAGCCTTGAGTCACAGATAATTATTCTCAAGCCTTGAAACAAAATGGAATGTGCCTGGCTTGATTTTGAAATTGATTGGGACTGGCAACTCCTTTTTCTTCCTCTTCTCTTTTTGAATGGAAATATCTATCACTGTTATCCTACGCCTGTCTCACCTTTGTATTTTGGGAGTAGATAACTTGTTTCTCGAATTTCCCAGGTTCACTGTTATCCCATGCCGATCTCACCTTTGTATTTTGGGAGTAGATAACTTGTTTCTTGAATTTCCCAGGTTCACAGATGAAGAAGAATTGTGCCTGAGGATGGATAACTTCCAGAGCCTTGGATGATGCAATTTGGCACTTTTGAGCTAATCTAAAAGTTAGATGAGATTTTGGACTTTGAGTTGTTACTTTAATGGGTTGATAAGCCTGGGAATCTTGGGGTGGAATGTACTTTGCATATGGAATAGATGTGTATCTTTGGGTGCCAGAAGGCAGTCTGTGGTAGGCAGATTAATGCCTCCCACAAAAATGTCTACCTCTAATCCTAGACCCATGAATATGTTATGCTAATGGCAAAGGTTGCAAATAGAATTAAGGTGTTAATTAGTTGACTCTAAGATGGGGAGGTCATCTTGGATTCTGTAGTGTAATCACAAACATCCAACATCTTCACAAGGGTTCTTATAAGTGAAAGGTGAAGGCAGTAGAGAGAAAGTAAGAGATGGAAGAATGAGCAGGACTCAACCCGATGTGGCTGGCTTGGAGATGGAGGAAGGGGCCACTAGCCAAGGAGTGTGAGCAGCCTCTAAAGCTGGAAATGACAAAGACATGGATTCCCTGCTAGAGTTCCAAAGGGAATACAGCCCTGGAGACCTTGAGTTTTGCCCAGTGAGACCAGTTTGAGACCTCTGACCTCCACAACTCTAAGATAATAAATGTGTAGTTACTTAACTTACTAAGTTTGTGGTAATTTTGTTATAGCAACAACAGAAGGCAAATACACCTGGTGCTGTAGGAGGGACTCCTGTAGTTCCAGGACAGAAATAAGGCTTCCTTGGCTGCCTTCTGTCACTGTGTTCGGGATGGAAACACTGGACCTGGGTCACTGTCCTCCATCTGGTAAGGGGAAATAAGATTCCCTGCAGCTGAACTTCATCCATCCCTGAGGCCCAAACCAGTTCACCTTCCTGTTAAAACCTACGAGAGTTTTTTTGTTTGCCTCTTGCATTATTCTAGCTGTGTGTAGAAGGAAGGTGCAAGGAAAACTAGTCTAAGCCATCTTGTTCTAGCTGGAGCTTTCCAATTTACTTTTATACATTCAGAACTATTACTGTTATTATTACTAATGGATTCAGCTAAAGCTTTCTAGAAATACCATATATTTCCAGTGTTCTTCTATACCATTACTTGTTGCACCTTAGTTCTTTCTGGGTTCAATTTCCTTCTTCCTGAAATATAGTATATCTGTTAGTAGTTCTTTCAGCACATGTCTTAATGTACTAATGTATTAATGTATTAATGGTACATTCTCACTATCTTTTTTCTTTCTGTTTTGTTTTGTTTTTAATAGAGACAGGATTTTACCATGTTGCCCAGCCTGGTCTCGAACTCCTGGGCTCAAGCAATCCTCCTGCTTTGCCTTCTCCAAATGCTGGGATTGCAGGCATGAGCCACCGTGCCCAGACAATTCTCACTGTCTTGCTCTGAAATGTTTTTCTCTTTCCTTTCTTCTTAAATGATCATTTACATAATATAGAATGCTATGCTCACACTGGCTCCTCTCACTACTTTGCAAATATAATTTTCCATCTTCTGCTGCCTGTTACTGTTTTGGATAAGTCTGCTGAAGACAAACCGCATTCTTTCATAAATGGTCTGCTGTTTCTCCTTTGTCGATTTTATGATTTTCTGTTGGCAAGGAAGACAGCAGGACATCCTTGGGAGAGACTACTCATTATCCCCCAATATTGACTTCTCCTGTTTTCTTTTTAATAACAGAGCCCTCTACATTTTAGCTGGGCATGGGGCTGCCTAGCCAAGGACTGCTTTTTTCTTGGCCTACGTGGTGTGGCCACATGACTATGCTTAGGCTAGAAGAAGGTGACGTGAATCACGTGTGCAACTCTGGGTCATGCCTTCCACAGGGCCTGTCTATCTTTTCCTCTACATTCCCACTTCCTACTTTCCAGGTCATGGTCCTCCAGCTGCAACCGTGTGGACTAGAGATGCACTGACAGAATGGCACAGTGATGAGACAGGTAGGGCTCCGGAAACTTTGACCTCTGGCTCTTCTGCCAATCCAGACTTTAACAAGAGGGAGAACCAAACTTCTTTATTTTTTAAGTTACTGTTATTTTGATCTTTGCTAAAGCAGCCAAACCAATATCTTACCTTATACAGCAGCAACCTTGTCCACTACACACCAGTGGAGGAGTTAGGTGGCCATGGCCCCTTTCCCTAGAACACACACCTGCACACACACACACGTACATACACAGATTTTACATTTTAGAATGCAATCATGTAATTCATAATGTTATTCAACTTGCTTTTTTGCTCAACAATATATCTTAGTAGTTATTCCATTTAGAAAATATTAACGCTTTTCATTCCTTTTAGTAACTGCATATTTTAGAAAATGTATACATTACAATTTATGTAACCATTTTCCATTAATTAGTATTCAGGTTTTTTTAAAAAATGTTATCTCATGTAATGATAGGATGAAAATCCTTCCGTATTTATTTTTGAACTTGTATGACTATTTATATAGATTAGACATCTAGAAATGACATTATCTGGCAAAAGATATGCATTTTTAAAAAATTTAACATTTACTTTAGATAGATTACCCCCTCCAAAACAAGTGTGCTCATTGATGCTTCTCCCAAAGGCACAATGTGCCCTCCATCCTTATCAAGACTCAATACAATCAGTGTGAGTGAAAAACACTGTGACATTTCTGTTTTCATAATAACTTATGACATTTGTCTCTATCATAAATTTATAAGTCATTTGTATTTTTGTGCGCTTTTTCTGTTCAACTCCTTTGCCCATTTTTCTATTTTTCTATTCTATGGTGTTTGCCTTGTTCTTATTAATTTGTGGAAGCCTTAGAATATTAGAGTTATTAAATTTTTTTTTGAGACAGAGTCTCGCTCTGTCACCCAGGCTGGAGTGTAGTGGTGCAATCTCAGTTCACCACAACCTCCACCTCCCAGGTTCAAGCAATCCTCCACCCTCAGCCTCCTAAGTAGATGGGATTACAAGCATGCACCACCATGCCCTGTTAATTTTAGTATTTTTAGTGGACACATGGTTTCACCATGTTGGCCAGGCTGGTCTTGAACTCCTGACCTCAAGTTATTCACCTGCCTTGGCCTCCCAAAGTGCTGGTATTACAGGCATGAGCCACTGCACCCAGCCAAGAGTTATTAAATTTTTTAAATGCATATGTTGTAAGTATTTTCTCCAGTCTATCTCTATCATTTTTCTTTGAAATGTGTGGTCTCTCTCACCACACAAAACACTCACATTTTTAGGAACTGGAATAGTTTACTTCCTATTGATTTCCTCAGAATTGACAACCCTTTCTGTAAAGAGCCAGAGGGTAAATATTTCAAGCTTTGTGCCCACACGGTCTCTGTCACAACTCAACTCTGCCATTAGGAAGTGAAGCCATGAACAACAGGTTCATCAATGGGCATGGCCTTGATCAATAACATGAATAACATTCACAAACACAGGCTGTAGGAGAACTTGGCCTTAGGGCTGATCATCCACTCATTGATTGCCAACCCATGGTCCAAGCTGGGCACCATGCCCAGTGTTGTGGAAGGAAGGGGTGGTGTTGTCAGCACAAACATAGAATCCCAAAAAATATTAAGGCAGCTCTTCAGTTTCAAGGGATATAATGTCCAACCTGTGCAGAGTCCACATGGTGGGAGATGCAGGAGGCCTCCCCATGGTGCAGAGCCTTGGTCTTGGTTCTCAAGCCCCTGCAGGCACCCCTCAGGTGGTGGAGTCTACACCTCCCCTGCAGCTACTCTGTCTTTACAATCTCTTGGCTCCTCTTCTACACCCTAAGCTCCAGCCTCCTGCCTGGGCCTCTCAGGTGTACTCTGTTCCTTCAGGGCCAGCTGCTGGATAGGGTTGGGGAGGGCTCTGTTTCTTAGTGGGGGAGGAGGGGGTTCTGCCCCAGGGCGGCCTTGCCTGAGGCCTCTTGACATTCCATGTACCAATTTTCCCTGTGTTAATATTGATTTATTTATTGTACATGAATAAGTTCATTAGTGGTGATTTCTAAGATTTTGGTGCACTCATCACCCAAGTAGTGTACACTGTACCCAGTATGTAGACTTTTATCCCTCATCCACCCTCACCCTTTCCCTTGTGTCCCCAAGGTCCATCGTATCATTTTTATGCCTTTGTGTCCTCATAGCTTAGCTCCCACTTATGAGTGAGAACATATGATGTTTAGTTTTCCATTCCTGAGTTAACTTCACTTATAATAATGGTCTCTAACTCCATCCAGGTTGTTGCAAATACCATTATTTTGTTCTTTTTTATGGCTGAGTAGTATTCCATGGTACATATACATATATACAACATTTTCTTTATCCATTCATTGATTGATGGACATTTGAGCTGGTTCCATATTTTGTAATTGCAAATTGTACTGCTATAAACATGGGTGTGCAAGTATCTTTTTCATATAATGACTTATTTTCCTCTGGATGGATACCTAGGAGTGGGATTGCTGGATCAAATGTTATGTCTACTTTTAGCTCTTTAAAGGAATCTCCACGGTGTTTCCCATAGTGATTGTACTAGTTTACATTCCTACCAACAGTGTAAAAGTGGTCCCTTTTCACCATATCCACGCCAACATCTATTTTTTGATTTTTTGATTATGGTCATTCTTGCAGGAGTAAGGTGGTATCACATTGTGGTTTTAATTTGCATTTCCCTTATAATTAGTGATATTGAGCATTTTTCATATGTTTTTTGGCCATTTGTATATCTTCTTTTGAGAATTGTCTATTCATGTCATTTGCCCAATTTTGGGGGTTTTTTTTTCTCTGTTTTTTTTTGTGTTTCCTGCTGATTTGTTTGAGTTCCTCGTAGATTTTGTTTATCAGTCCTTTGTCAGAAGTATAGAGTGTGAAGATTTTCTCCCACTCTGTGGGTTGTCTGTTTATTCTGCAGGTTATTTCTTCTGCTGTGAAGAAGCTTTTTAGTTTAATTCAGTCCCATTATTTATCTTTGTTTTTGTTGCATTTGCTTTTGGGTTTTTGGTCATGAAGTCTATGCCTAAGCCAATGTCTAGAAGGGTTTTTCCAATGTTATCTTCTAGAATTTTTATGGTTTCACGTCTTGCATTTAAGCCTTTGATCCATCTTGAGTTGATTTTTGTATAAGGTGAGAGATGAGGATCCAGTTTCATTCGGCTTCATGTGGCTTGCCAATTATCCCAGCACCATTTGTTGAATAGGATGTCCTTTCCCCACTTTATGTTTTTGCTTGCTTTGTCAAAGATCAGTTGATGTAAGTATTTGGCTGTATTTCTGGGTTCTCTATTCTGTTCCATTGGTCTATGTGCCTATTTTTAAGCCAGTACCGTACTGTTTTGGTAACTATAGTTTTGTAGTATAGTTTGAAGTCAGGTAATGTGATGCCTCCAGATTTTTTTGTTTGTTTGTTTAGTCTTGCTTTGGCTCTGTGGGGTCTTTATTGGTTTCATTTGAATTATAGAATTTTTTTTCTAGTTCTGTGAAGAACGATGATGGTATTTTGGTGGGAATTGAATAGTATCTATAGATTGCTTTTGACAATATGGTTATTTTCACAATATTGATCCTACCCATTCACGAGCATCAGATGTGTTTCCATTTGTGTGTCATCTATGATTTATTTCAGCAGTGTTTTGTAGTTTTCCTTGTAGAGGTCTTTCACCTCCTTGGTTAGGTATAGCCCTAGGTTTCTTATTTTTATTTTTTTGCAGCTATTGTAAAAGGGATTGAGTTCTTGATTTGATGTTCAGCTTGTTCGCTGTTGGCATATAGCAGAGCTATTGATTTGTTTACATTAATTTTGTATCCTGAAACTTTGCTGAATTCATTTACCAGTTCTAGGAGCTTTTTGGATGAGCCCTTACGGTTTTCTAGGTATGTAATCATGTCATCAGCATATAGTGACAGTTTGACGTCCTCTTTACCAATTTGGATGCCCTTTATTCCTTTCTCTTGTCTGAATGTTCTGGGTAGTACTTCCAGTACTATGTTGAATAGATTGGTAAGAGTGGGCATCCTTGTTTTATTTCAGTTCTCAGAGGGAATGCTTCCAACTTTTTCCCATTCAGTATTATGTTTGCTGTGGGTTTGTCATAGATGGCTTTTATTACAGTGATGTATGTCTCTTGTATGTGGATTTTGCTGAGGGTTTTAATCATAAAGTGGTGCTGGATTTTGTCAAATGCTTTTTCTGTGTGTATTGAGATGATCATGTGATGTTTATTTTTAATTCTCTTTATGTGTTGTATCACATTTATTGACTTGAATATATTAAACCATCTCTGCATCCCTGGTATGCACTTGAAACCCACTTGATCACGGTGAATTATCTTTTTGATATGCTGTTGGATTCAGATAGCTAGTATTTTGTTGAGGATTTTCACATCTATATTCATCAGGGATATTGATCTGTAGATTTCTTTTTTTGTTATTTCCTTTCCTGGTTTTGGTACTAGGGTGATACTGGCTTCATAGAATGATTTAGGGAGGATTCCCTCTTTTGGAATCCTCTTTTGGATTAGTGTCAGTTTGTCAATAATCTTTTGGAATAGTCTTTTGGAATAGTCTTTTGGAATAGTGTCAGTAGGATTGGTACCAATTCTTCTTGGAATGTCTAAATTCAGCTGTGAATTCGTCTGGTCCTGGACTTTTTTTTGTTGGTAACTATTTAGATACAATTTCAATCTCACTCCTTGTTATTGGTCTGTTCAGAGTTTCTATTTCTTCCTGGTTTAATCAAGGAGGGTTGTATATTTCCAGGAATGTATTCATCTCATCTAGGTTTTCTAGTTTATGTGTGTAAATGTGTTCATAGTAGTCTTGAATGATCTTTTGTATTTCTGTGGTATCAGTGGTAATATCTGCTGTTTCATTTCTGATTGAGCTTATTTGGATCTTCTCTCTTCTTTTGTTGGTTAATCTCACTAATGGTCTATCAATTTTATTTATCTTTTGAACCAGCTTTTTGTTCCATTTATCTTGTGTATTTTTTGTCATTGTTTTAATTTCATTTAGTACTGCTCTGATCTTGGTTATTTCTTTTCTTCTGCTGGGTTGGGGTTTGGTTTGTTCTTATTTCTCTAGTTCCTTGAGGGGTGACCTTAGATTGTCTATTTGTGCCCTTTCGGACTTTTTGATGTAGGCATTTAACACTCTGAACTTTCCTCTTAGCACTGTGTTTGCTGTATCCCAGAGGGTTTGATAGATTGTGTCACTATTATTGTTCAGTTCAATGAATTTGTTAATTTCCATCTTGATTTCATTGCTGACTCAACGGTCATTCAAAAGCAGGTAAATTTTCATGTATTTGCGTGGTTTTGAGGGTTCCTTTTGTAGTTGATTTCCAATTTTATTCCACTGTGGTCTGAGAGAGTACTTGATATAATCTCTATTTTCTTAAATTTGCTGAGACTTGTTTTGTGGCTATCATATGGTCTATCTTGAAGAATATTCCACATGCTGATGCAGAGAATCTATATTCTGCAGTTGCTGGGTAGAATCTTCTGTAAATGTCTGCTAAGTCCATTTGTTCCAGGGTATAGTTTAAGTCTATTGCTTCTTTGTTGACTTTATGTTTTGATGACCTGTCTAGTGCCGTCTGTGGAGTATTGAAGTCCCCCACTATTATTGTGTTGCTGTCTATCTCATTTCTTAGGTCTAGTAGAAATTGTGTTATAAATTTGGGAGCTCCAGTGTTGGGTGCATATATATTTAGTATTGTGATATTTTCCTTTTGGACTAGTCTGTTTATCATTATATAATGTCTCTTTTTGTCTTTCTTAACTGCTGCTGCTTTAAAGTTTGTTTTGTCTGATATAAGAATAGCTACTCCTGCTTGCTTTGTTAAGTGACAAAATATAAGACTAATTGGTGTTCCTGAGGAAGAAAAGAACTATAAAAGTTTAAAAAACATATTTGAGGGAATAATCAAGGAAAACTTCCCTGGCCTTGCTAGAGACCTAGACATCCAAACACAAGAAGCTCAAAGAGCACCTGGGAAATTTGTCACAAAAAGATCATTACCTTGGCACATATTCATCAGATTATCTAGTCAAGATGAAGGAAAGAATCTTAAGAGTTATGCAGCAAAAGCATCAGGTAACCTATTGTTGCAGGAAGTCAGGGACCCCGAACGGAGGGACCGGCTGGAGCCATGGTAGAGGAACATAAATTGTGAAGATTTCATTTTAATATGGACATTTGTCAGCTCCCAAATAATACTTTTATAATTTCTTATGTGTGTCTTTACTTTAATCTCTTAATCCTGTTATCTTCATAAGCTGAGGATGTAAGTCACCTCAGGACCACTGTGATAATTGTGTTAACTGTACAAACTGATTGTAAAACATGTGTGTTTGAACAATATGAAATCAGTGCACCTTCAAAAAGAACAGAATAACAGTGATTTTTGTGGAACAAGGGAAGACAACCATAAGGTCTGACTGCCTGTGGGGTCAGGCAAAAAGAACCATATTTCTCTTCTTGCAGAGAGCCTATAAAATGGACGTGCAAGTAGGAGAGATGTCGCTAAATTCTTTTCCTAGCAAGGAATATTAATACCCAGGGAAAGGAATGCTTTCCTGGGGGGTTGGGGGGGCGGTCTATAAATGGCCACTCTGGGAATGTCTGTCTTGTGCTGTTGAGACAAGGACTGAGATATGCCCTGGTCTCCTGCAGAACCCTCAGGCTTACTAGGGTGGGGAAAAACTCCACCCTGGTAAATTTGTGGTCAGACGGGTTCTCTGCTCTTGAACCCTGTTTTCTGTTGTTTAAGATGTTTATCAAGACAATACTTGCACCGCTGAACATAGACCCTTATCAGTGGTTCTGCTTTTGCCCTTTGTCCTGTTCCCTCAGAAGCATGTGATCTTTGTTAGACCTTTATTAGTGGTTCCACTTTTTACCCTCAGAAGCATGTGATCTTTGTACCTACTCCCTGTTCTTACACCCCCTTCCCTTTTGAAACCCTTAATAAAAACTTGTTGGTCTGAGACTTAGGTGGGCATCATGGTCCTACCAATATGTGATGTCACCCCTGGCGGCCCAGCTGTAAAATTCCTCTCTTTATACTGTTTCTCTTTATTTCTCAGCTGGCCAACACTTACAGAAAATAGAAAGAACATACATTAAAATATTGGGGGCGGGTTCCCCCAATATCTATGAAGGAAAACCTGTCAGATTAACAGTGGACTTCTCAGCAGAGACTCTACAAGCTAGAAGGGATTGGGGGCTATTTGCATGGAATATCTTTTTTCCACCCCTTTACCTTAAGTTTATGTGAGTCCTTATGTGTCAGGTGAGTCTCTTGAAGACAGCAGATACTTGACTGGTGAATTCTTATCCATTCTGCAATTCTGTATATTTTAAGTGGAGCATTTAGGCCATTTATATTCAATGTTATTATTGAGATGTGAGGTACTATTCTATTCATCATGCTTTTTGTTGTCTAAATACCTTTTTTTCCCATTGTGTTATTGTTTTATAGGTCCTGTGAGATTTATGCTTTAAGGAGATTATATTTTAGTGTATTTCAAAGATTTATTTCAAGATTTAGAGCTACTTTTAGCAGTTCTTGTAGTGATGGCTTTGCAGTAGCAAATCCTCTCAGCGTTTGTTTGTCTGAAAAAGATTGTATTTTTCCCTAATTTATGAAGCTTAGCTTTGCTGGATACAAAACTAAGCTACTTGGGTAGGCTGAGGCAGGAGAATTGCTTGAACCTGGGAGGTGGAGGTTGCAGTGAGCCAAGATCATGCCATTGCACTCCAGTCTGGGTGACAAGAGCGAAACTCTGTCTCAAAAAAAAAAGTGTGCTAATTTTATTTGGTTCGCCTCCAGCTAGGAGGTGGTGCTTTTAAGAGCACATCAGCTGCAGTAGTATAGGGAGGATAGAAGCTTGCCCTAAGGTCAGGTGGTAGGCAGGGCCATACAGTTCCTAAGAGATTGTGTCCTTTGTCTTCTGCTACCAGGGCAGGTAGAGAAAGACCACCAGGTCTGGGCAGGGTTAGGCATGTCTGAGCTCAGACTCTCCTTGTGCGAGGCCTGCTGCTGCTACTTTGTGGGATGGAGGTGTGGTTCCCAGGCCAATGGAGTTATGTTCCCAAGGGAATTATGGCTGCCTTGCTGCATCACACAGGTTGCCAGGGAAGTGGGGGAAAGCTGGCAGCCACAGGCGTCACCCAGCTCCCATGCAGCCCACAGCCCAAAAGGCTGGTCTCACTCCCACCATGCTCCCTGCAACAGCACTGAGTTTATTTCCAGGCAGCCAGTCAGCAAGGCTGAGAACTTGCCTCAGGCTACAAGCCTTCCAGCTGAGAAAGCAAACAGACTAGCAGTTTCCTCAGCTGTCCCACGGAGCCTGCAGTGGCAATCCACCTCCTTCAGGTGGCCTGTGGATTCTCTTGGCTTTCCTGGTATGTTCCTGAGGTAGTTCATGATGTGAGTCTCCACATGCTGCTCTGTCTGTCTGAGTGGGAGCTGCAAGTTAGTCCTGCCTCATATCCACCATTTTGACCTCAAATTGATGTGCCAATTTTTCCTTTTCATAGCAAGTATATGGGATTTACAGGGACTACTGTCTGAATCCTAAACAAGATACCCCAAGATCTTTGTGTCCTATTCTGAGATAGGCTGGCCATCTGCAAATCCCCTATTAGAAGCCCCTTGCTGTTTGACACTGTGCTTGCTTCCATAAAAGATCAAGGAGAAAAACGCCCATTAGTGTCTCATGTAAGGTAAAAAGAAGAATACAATTAGATGTCACCTCAGTAACAAGATAAAGGAATGCAAATATTTGTTTCCCATGGGATGGTTACTTGGCTGTCCCTGTAAAGGAATCGTCACCTTTGTAAGTGACATCCAGTATGTTGGGGCAAACCTATTGCTATGCAACAAAACATTCCAAAATTTAGTGGTTTAAGACAACAATTTATTGTTTCTCACAATTCTGTGGGTTGAGAGTTTGGGCAGGGCTTGGCTGGGCAGCTCTTCTGCTCCTCCTCATGGCATGGACTGCATATATGGAGTTCAGCTAGGTTAGAGGGTCCAAGAAGGCTCCATTCACAAGTCTAGCACCTCAATGCTCCCTTATGTGGTCTCTCTTTCCATATGGATAACTTGGGCTTCCTTACAGCATGACTGTCTCAGTACAGTTTAACACCTTACCTTGCCTGGACTCTAGAAGAGGAGAAGCAGAGGCTAACGATTCTCTAAAGATTGGAATTTTAAGCCTCAAAACATTACTTCCAGCATATTCTGTTGATGAAGGCATGTCACATACCACTATTTGCTCCCTGGGGTCTGGATTTCTCAGCCTCTAATTCCTTATAATAAATCTCTCTATATAGACAGATATAGAGATATGGATATAGATATAGAAATATAGATACCTTAGTGGTTCTCTTTCTCTGGAGAATGTGAATACATCTGCTTTTACACAGAAGGCTGGAAACTGTAGGTAATACTGGCCTCTAATTTTTTAAATGCATTTTTATTTGTTAATTTTTTTGAATAGACAAAGTTTGAACACAGCAAAAAATTTGAAAGTGAAAGTTAAGTCTCCTCTAACCTTTTTCCCACAGTCACCCCATTTTCTTTCCCTGGAAAGAACACTATCAACAGCCTCTTTTATATCCTTACACAGTGCTTTTTAGTGTTTTACATTAGTGGTAGATGTACCCATGGTTCTGCACCTTGCATTTCTTTTAATAATATTTCTTAGAGATCTCTGCATATTAGTTCATATAAAGACTTTTTTTTTCTTGGCTACTCATGGTTCTATGGATGCATCACTATTTATTTCACCCATTTATTTATAGAGATGTAGATTGGTTGCATATTTGTTAGTGAAACCACGTTGCAGTGCACATCCTCACTGGCAGGCCATTTCATATGCAAACAAATCTGTAGGACAAATAAGCAGAATTGCTGGGTTAAAAAGTGTGTGCACTGTTACCTTTGGAAGGCCTTAGCAAACTGCCTGCCATGCCATCTCCCTAGGGGCACACGGTCAGTAATGAGTGAGAGCACAGACCCCCACAGCCTCCCAGACACAAGCCACTCTCCTCGTTTTTGAACTTGGCCAATCTGAGACTGGAAAATAGTATCTTGTAGTTTTAAAGTATAGTTTTCTAATTACCAGTGTGGTGGAGCATCTTGTTATATGCTCAAGATCCAGCTGGATTACCTGTCTGTCCATATCCTTTGCCAAGTCTTCATATATATAAAGAAAAAAATCCAGCCTGGACCCATGGCAAAACCCTTGTCTCTACAAAAAAAATATAAAAATTACCCAGGTGTGTAGTGCATGCCATAGTCCCAGCTACTCAGGAGGCTGAGGTGGGAGAATCACTTAAGCCTGGGAGTTCAAGGCTACAGTAAGCCAAGATCACACCACTGCACTCCAGCCTGGTCACAGAGTGAGAACTTGTCTAAAGAATAAGAAGAAGAAATAAATTTGACAGTCTGTAATACGTGTTACATATTTTTTTTTCCAGTTGGTCATTTTTCTTCTGAATTGTAATAAATAGGCAATAAAGATAAAATGAAACCCTTTGACTGGTGGTGTTACTTGGTGACCTAAAATTCATGTGTTGTAATTAAGAAAAAGATAAATTGAGTCTTGCTCAGAGAAGATTGGCTTCAACGTAGCAGGTCCCACACTTTAGCAGACAACCCTACCTGTTCTACTAGTAGAAGGCGAGCCACCTAGAAGCCTGTCTGTAGCTAAGGGGGTGCATCCTTCCCGCCTTACAAAAGAGTTTCTCCTTTTTCCTTGGCCTTGCCAGGTGTCCAGTTCAGGAGTACGTGTGTGCGCTGGAGAAGGAAGGACACATTTAAATCATTTAAAAGGTATTTATTGAACATAACTTTCCGCCCTATCCCCACCATGGTCTCTTTAATTACTGCAGTGAAACAGAGGTCTGAAGTCTAAGTTCGCGAGCATGGAGCTGCCGACGGTGGCATGGGTGTCTTTGGTCGCTAGAGGCTGAAGCGCAGGCCAAGCAGTGGAGCGAACGCGAGATCCAACCCGAAACCTCCGCAGGCTGTTGGGACGGCCAGGTTCTGCCGCGAAGACCCTTGTGAAACGTGAAAATCACAAGCTGAAATAGAGGCACGACCAGAGAAAAGAGTGATGCCCATTTGTGTTTGTGTGTGTGTGTGTGTGTGTGTGTGTGTGTGTGTGTGTGTGTGTGTTTTACTAGGAGGAGGGAAGATGAAGAAGGAAGACTGGCTAAATTCTGGCGGCTTCTTCGTCCGCCTCTGATATGCGCGCCGTGTGTGTGCACCTGTGTGCAGGGTGGGGGCAGGCAGCAGGTGTGACAGGGAACCGGACAGGCGGAGTCCGCACCGCAGCAGGGTGGCCGCGGGGCTTCTCCTCTGCCTGGAGGGCGCTGCGCTGCCCCTTCCGGACCTAAGTCCCTCCGTGATTCACAACTCAGTTTGTAGCCTGGGCGCTTCTCCGGAAACAACCCCACCGCCAGGTGACAACATGCGCCCCTTTCTCTGTCCTCTGCGGCTGGGGCTTTCCTCAGCTGTCACACTTAATATACTGCACTGTGACTCCCCCACAAGCCTTTTGATGAAGCCAAATTTGAAATACACACGTGGAAGAATCTATCCAATGCAAGCGTATGTCTCAGCAGCAACAGTTTAGAGAGCATCTCCACACTCACACCGTTTGAGAATGGACTATTTCCTGTCGCGTGGAATAGCCCCTCTCCCTTCCTGTCCTATGCTCAGATCATAACCCCCTTGCTCTCCTGCCTCCCTCTCCAACCACCAACCTGACTTTGCTGATAACCCCCCCTGTCTTTATTAGCATAGATGAGGAACTTTATAGTATTGCAGTTATGTTACGTGTATTCTTTTGTGATGCTCTCTCTCTCCATGAAGTTCTTGGGATTTGTCCATATTGATACGTGTAGCCATAATTCATTAGTTTTTAGTACTGTGAAATTGTATTCCATCATATATAGAGACTATAATTTATTGTGTTGCTGATGGGCACATGCGTTGTTTTCATTTTTTCCCATTGCTAATGGTCCTCCCACGAACCCTGTGTGTTCTGCGGGGTGTATGGGCAAGAGTTTCCCTAGGGCATGTTTACATTTACAGGAATGAAAGTGCTGGTCGTACGTGGGCATAGTCACCTCTTTTAGGAAATGCCAAACTGCTTCTCACAGTGGTTTGTACTAGCACAGGCTCCTTCAGCCATGGGTGAGAGCTTCCACATCTCCGAATCACCAACCCCAAACTGACAAACTTTTTAACTTCTGTCAGTCTGGAGGGTGTGAAATGTATCTAATTGTGACTTTAATTTGCATTTCTCTCATCAGTTACTAGGTTGAGCATCTTTTTGTATTTTTAGTGTCCATTTAGGTTTTCTCTTTTATGCCCCTGGTATAGTTTGATATTGTCTGTTTCCTCCAAGTTTCATGTTGAAATTTGATCCCCAGTGTTGGAGGTGGGGCCTAATGGGAAGTGTTTGGATCATGGGGGCGGATCCCTCATGAATGCCTTACTGCCCTCCCTGGGGAAGGAGTGTGAGTTCTTACTCTATTCGTTCCTGGTTGTTAGAGAGAGGCTGGCACCTCCTCGCCTTCCTCTCTTGCCGAGTGATCTCCACACATGGGCTCCCTTCCCCTTCTGCCATGAGTGGAAGCAGTGTGAGGCCCTTGCCTAATGCCAGCTCCATGCTTCTTGCACAGCCTGCAGAACGCTGAGCCAAATACAACTCTTTTCCTTGTAAACCACCCACACTCAAGTATTTCTTCACAGCAACACAAACGAACGAACTAAGACAGCACTCATAAAAGCCTTCTTTTGCACTTTTCCCATTGGGTTGTTTTGTTTTTCATGTTGACTTTTGTGCTGCAGCCTTTATACCTGCCTTGTGAGAGCCAACTGCAACCATCTATCCCCAAGGCCCTACTTGGTGACCTTACATTAGTGGCTTGTAATTGGCCACATGGAAGTGTTTATATCCTGGAAACAAGCAAATGCTAAAAATAAGGACTTTTGGGACCTGAGGGTCAGTTGTTAAACATTTTCCAGTACATCAACATCACTGTTTACAGGAGTTATTTATGTACTCAAGTTCTAGTCACTTTTTGGTTACATGTGCTACAAATATTTTATCTCATATCATGACTTTTAAAAACATTCCCTTTGAGGTAACTTTTGATTAACAAAAATTCTCAATTTCAATATGGCTAGATTTGAAAATGTGTCCTATATAGGTAGTGCATTTTTCATCTTTTTAAATAATTGTTTCTAATCTAAAGATATTAAGAGAGTCTCCCCCATTTAATTTTGAAAGATTTGAAATTTTGCCTTTTATATCTGGGTCTTTGATCTATATCTGAAATTGATTTTTGTGAACTGTTGGAGAGTGGACCAGTTTCTTTCTTTTTTAAAAATTTAGGTCTCTTATAAATCCTCAGAGACATACAAGGGTGCATCATAGTGATAGCCCTGCTGAACTGGGTGAGGTTTGGCAAATAATTCAACAACTGGGTTAGAATCAACTGTGGTAAGGAGACAGCCACACATTTCAATATTTTATGTCTGTCATTTGACATTTCATTATTTTATGTCTGTCATTAGGATGAACTGTCCCAAAACACTTCTCTATGGGATTCTCAATTATAGAGGATTCACTGCAGAAATCAGCCCAATTTTTCATGCATCACTCTTGCCATTCGTTTAAGTAGGGCCCTCCCAAAATGCTGTTGGGCTTGATGCTGTGACATGCTTTGGCCAACAGGACAGGATCAGAGGCTTGGAAAAGCACATGTGCATTTTCACTCATTTCTTGGACCTCTGGCACTGCCATGAGAACAAGCCCAGCTTAGCCTACTGAAGGGATGTGCAGAACACGGGGAGGAGGACTGAAGTCATCTGAGATGAGCCAGGCCCATCCAATCCACTGGCTGATCACTGATGAGCCAGTTAAGATCAGCCACATCCAGCCCAGAGTAGCAGAAGTGCCCCATCGACCTGTGGACTCATGAGAAATAATAAAAGGTTACTATTTTAGGCCCCTAACTTTTGAAGTGGTTTGCTACAGAGCAATATCTAACTAATATGCCAGTTATCTGAGAGTACTCCAGACCCTTGAGGCTCTCAGTGGCATTGTTTTATGTATTCAAGCTGTAATATTTATTGAGTACCTTCTATGTGTGATTCCTTAAGGGTACTACTTGAAAACTTCAGTCAAATTTTCCCTTTAGTTTTAATGGGAAGGTCAAGGTTAGGTTTCTGTTATCTCTACCAAGGTGGAGTATTTCACATACCTGCCCAGGTACTCTGTCATTGCAGCAGGCTAAGACTTTAGCAGCACTTTGGAAGAAGCAAGATATAAGCATAATGGTTCATGAAACTCTCTCTTTTAAATTTTAAGGCCATTTAAAACTATGAATGTACTACTGAGTATAGCTTAGGAATTATTCTTTTGGTTGCAAAATATTTTGTTTTTATCTTCTGTTATTTTACTCCCAATTTACTCTTTGATGCAAAAATTATTCATGAATGAGAGTGTCAGGCAGTGTATTAGTCTGTTTTCACACTGCTGATAAAGACATATCTGAGACTGGAAAGAAAAAGATGTTTAATTGGACTTATACTTCCACATGGCTGGGGAGTCCTCAGAATCATGGCAGGAGGTGAAAGGTACTTCTTACATGGTGGTGGCAAGAGAAAATGAGGAAGAAGCAAAAGTGGAAATCCCTGATAAGCCCTTCAGATCTCATGAGACTTATTCACTATCATGGGAAAGACCAGCTGCCATGATTCAATTACCTCCCCCTGGGTCCCTCCCACAACACGTGGGAATTCTGGGAGACAAAATTCAAGTTGAGATTTGGGTGGGGACACAGCCAAACCATATCAGGCAGTCTGGCCATTTTCATGGTAGTTGAAGGAAAACGCTGCCAGTTTCTGCATTCCCCGGGGTCTCCTTGTTCTCTTGTCTTTGCAGACAGCATTAGTTCCCTGCTCCCTCCTTCCATTTCTGTACTGCCCACCCACCTGGCTCAGTTCCTTTCCAGGTAGAAGATCCTGGTGGGACTAAAACCCAGTGTTTTACCATCATTCCAAAATTAAGAAAGACTCATTTTCTGTATGAGGACTTACCCAAATTCTTTTAAATAGTATCAGATGGAAGTTTCAGACCACTGAGAGACATAGAAAGTTGAAGGATCTTCTTTGTTGCCTGTCCAATTACTACTAATAGTAAATATAATAATTAGCATTTATGCGTGGTTACTGTGTGCCAGGCACCCTTATAAGTATTATAGATATTATTAACTCATGTTAATCTTCAAAGCAATCTTAGAACACAGCGACTATTCTCATACTATTTTACAGATAAGGGAACTGAGGCCTAGAGAAGTTAAAGAACTTGACCAAGATCACCCAAGTTGGGGGTGTAATAGAGATTCAATCATCCAGCTCCAGAGTCTCCATTTTTAAACCAAGATAGCAGTCAGCTGTGTCACCTGCACTGTTTACAGCCCTTGGATGAGTGTGTGTTTGCTTCAAAAATCCAAGCAGCCAAGAACCCCTGAGCGGGCAGAACCCACTTGGTTTTAGGAGTAACACAGTCCCCCTCCAAAAACCGTTTGCCTGGAGTCACCAGGTAACATTTTTGTCCTACCTGTGCTCTCTTGCTCTCTCTCTCTTTTTCTCTCTCTGTAACATTTAAGAATACCTTGCAGATATCACAACAATTTCCAAACATTTCAGCCTATGTCCTAAAACAAGGATATTCTCTTATATAACCATAATATAATTATCTAATTTAACATTGATTTTTTGACATCGTTGAAGAGTGCAGGCCACTATTCTGTAGAATGTGTTTTACTTGAGTTTGAGATTCCTTTGTGATTAGACTTTGGTCATGCATTTCTGGCAGGAATGGTGATGTATCCTTCCCAGGACATCACCGTGATGCTGGTTTGTCTTGTTACTCATGTTATTAATCTTCAGTCAATATCATGGTAGTGTCTGCCAGATTTTCCCATTGTAAAGGTATCTTTCCTCCCCTTTAAAATTAAAAAGTAATTCATATAAATAAATCTATTTCTCATTTAACTTCCATCTAATGACTTGAGCATCCATTGATGTTTTCTGCCTGAATCAATTACTACAATGGTGGCTACAATATGGTGGTTTTTAAATTCTACACCATTCCTTGTAAAAAGGAAGGTTCATTCATTCGTTTTATAACTTAAAATGGTAACATGTATCCTGTTCTTAGTCACTTGGTTATAATCCTGTCGTTATTCATTTTTATGCTCATATTATCTCAGATTTGGCCAGCAGGAGCCTCATCAAGCTGGATCCTGGGTCCTTTTTTTTTTTTTTTTTTTTTTTTGCTTTAATCAGTTTTCAAGGACTTCTGTACTTTCTGGCACAACAAAATGTTCTAGGCTTATAGACCATGTAAGAGTCAGGGTTCTCCAGAGAAAGAGAGCCAACAGGTCATCTATACATACATAATAATGAAGACATATCATATTTGAGCTTATTAAAACTAAAGATGATAGGATTGAAAACAACCAGAAAAAAATGACATTTTACTTACAAGTGCCATTTGAATGACAGTGGATTTCGTATTTGAAACCATCGGTGATATAACCTCTTATAAAAGATTTGTCATCTTAATAAATCTTTTTTATATTTAAGGCCAGAAGGAATTGGTACAACATTTTTCAGGTGCTGAAAGAAAAGAACTGTCAGCCACAGTCTCTATCTGGCAAAACTATTTTACCAAAATGAATGAGCAATAAAGACATTCTCAGATGAAGGAAAGCTAGAAGAATTTGTCAATTCCAGACCTATCCTTAAAAATTGGCTAAAGGAAGACCTTCAGCAGGAAGGAAATTATAAAAGAAGGAACCATGGAGCTTAAGAAAGAATGTCATAACAATGAAGCATATGAGTACAAACCATAGACCACCCTTTCTCACATGAGTTTTATTTTAAGAATCTGAAGATCAAAACAAAAATTATAGCATTATCTGATGCTCAAGATAACAATATATAAGATTATGAAAGGAGCTGGGCACGGTGGCTCATGCCTATAATCCCAGCACTTTGGGAGGCTGAGGCTGGCAGATCACTTGAGGTCAGGAGTTCAAGATGAGCCTGGCCAACATGGTGAAGTACCGTCTCACTAAAAATACAAAAAATTACCTGGGCATAGTGGTGAATGGCTGTAATCCCAGCTACTCGGGAGGCTGAGGCAGGAGAATCGTTTGAACCTAGGAGGCGGAGGTTGCAGTGAGCCAAGATCACTTCATTGCACTCCAGCCTAGGTGACAGAGCGAGACTCTGTCTCAAAAAAAAAATAAAAATAAAAATAAATAAATAAATAAATAAAGTGAAAGGTAAAGGGACCTAAATGGATTAAAGGTTTCCACATGTCACTCAAGGTGGCAAAACGTTGATACCAGCAGACTGCGATAAGTCACGTATGTCTATTGAAATATCCAGAGCAACCGAAATAAAAGCTATATGAAGAAACACACTCAAAAACACTATAAATAAGTCAAAATGAAATACTAAAAATTATTCAATTAACAAGAAAAGAGAAAAAGGAATGATAACCAGAGGAAACAAACAGAAAACAAATAACAAAATGGTAGGCTTAAGCTCTAACATACCAATGATTAAATCCACCAGGAAGTCGTAGCAATTCTAAATGTATATGCACCAAAAACAGTGCCTCAAAAATACATGAAACAAACACTGATAGAGCTGAAAGGAGAGAGAAACTCAAAATTATAGTTGGAGACTTCAATCTCCCTCTCAGCAACTGTTAGAACTAGTAGACAGAAAATAATCAAGAATATAGAAGACCTGAACTAGGACTTACCCAAAGAAGGGCAATGTATAAAGAAAAGGAATTTAATTATTACAGTTATGGAGTCTGAGAAGTCCAAGATCAAGGGGTCACATCTGCTGAGAGCTTTCTTGCTGATGAGGACTCTGTGCAGGGCCCTAAGGTGGCTCAAGGTATCACAGGGCAAGGGGGCTTAGTATTGCTAATGTGCTAGCTCAGGTCTCTCTTCCTCTTCTTATAAAGCCACCTGTTTGCCTCTCATGATAATGTATTAATTTATTAACCCATTAATCCATGAATGAATTAGGAGCAGAGCCCTCATGATGCAATCACCTCTTAAAGGCCCCCACCTCTCAATACTGCCACATTGGGGATTAAGTTTCCACATGAGTTTTAGAGGGGACATTCAAACCATAGCAGCAGGGAATTCATACACACATACAAAATTGTTTACCTATTAGTAGTCAGGAAAATTCAAATTCACACCTCTTTGAGCCACCATTATACATCTGCCAAATGGCTAAAATTTTAAAAACTGACAATAGTAAGCATTGGCAAGACTGTGGAGCAGAGGTAGGTACTCACACACTGCTGGAGAGAGTGCATATTGTACAAATAATTTGGAAAACAGTTGTCATCATGGAATAGAATTTAATATAAGCATATCCTATGCCCCAGAGATTTCACTCCTAGGTACATAATCAATAGAAGCGTATCGAAATGTACCTCAAAAGTCGTGTACAAGGATGGTCACAGCAGCATTATTCATGATATCCAAAGACTGGAAACAAGCCAGATATGCACAAACAGAGAGATGGAAAAATGGTGACATACTCATTTATGAAAGATTATGTATAATATCTGAGAATAAATAAATTATGGCTACATGTAACATGTCACAAACAAAATATTGAGTGCAAAAAGTGAGACACATAAGACTTCATACTATGCAACTGCTTGTAACTCAACATTGATAAAATAATACATATCAAAAATTGAGGGCTTCCACTATAAGGTACTATAGGAATTTATAATCTTTACAGTACATATTAAGAAAGGCTATTCAGAGCCCAGATGAAGACGTTAATAAAAGTTTAGAAATAAACTTGTAGATAAAAAGAAATACTCAAGATTTGAGCAAAAATTAATGAAATGGAAAAACAAAGATAAAACAGAAAGGGTCAAGGGAGAGCAGAGCAAGATGGCTGAATAGAAATTTCACCAATCGCCCCCACTGCAGGAGCACCAAATTTAACTACTATCTACATACACAAAAAAACGCCTTCATAGAGCCAACAATCAGGTGAGCGACCACAGTACCTGGTTTTAACTTTCTATCACTGAAAGAGGCACTGAGGAGGGTAGAAAACACAGTCTTGAATCCCTGAAGCCACCCCTCCCCCACTCCCCAGTAGTGGTCCTGTGGCATGGAAAATCTGTGCACTGGAGGAAGGAGAGTGCAGTGATTATGGGACCCTGCATTGAACTCTATGCTGCCCTGTCATAGCAGAAAGAAAAAAACAGGCTAAACTCACTTGACACCCACCCACAGAGGAAGCATTTAGACCAGCCCTAGACAGAGGGGCATCATCCATCCCAGTGGATGGAACATAAGTTTTTGCAAGCCCCACCACTGTGGGCTCAAAGGCTCTGGGGTCCTAAATAGACTTGAAAATCCATCTAGGCCACAAGGACTGCAATTCCTAGGCAAGTCCTAATGCTGTGCTGGGCTCAGATCCAGTGGATGTGGGAGGCATGTGACCTAGTGAGGCACCAGCTGGGCTGGCTGAGGGCATGCTTGTGCTATCTTTCCCTCAATCCTAGGCAGCGCAGCTCACAGCAATGAAAGCAACTTCTTCCTTCCACTTAAGGAGGGGAGAGGGAACTAAAAAGAACTTTGTCTTGTGTCTTGGATACCAGCTCAGCCACAGTAGAATAGGGCACTGTTCAGGATCATAAGGCCCTCATTTTGAGCCCTAGCTCTTAGATAACATTTCTAGACACACCCTGGGCCAGAAGGGAACCCACTGCCTTGAAGGGAAGGACAAAGTCCTGGCAGGATTCATCACCTCTGAGTAAAGAGCCCTTGGGTCCTGAAGAACCAGCAGTGATATCCAGGTAGTATGCTATGGGCCTTGGGTGAGACTCTGAGACATGCTGGCTTCAGTGGAGAACCAGCACATTCCCAGCTATGGTGGTTATGGTAAGAGACTGCTTCTGCTTGAGAAAAGCAGAGGGAAAAGTAAAGGGGACTTAGTCTTGCACCTTGTGTACCAGCTCAGTTCAGTGGGCAGAGCACCGAGCAGGCTCCTGGGATCCCTGATTCCAAAGGCCTTGGCTCTTGGATGACATTTCTGGACCTGCCCTGGGCCAGAGGGGAGCCCACTGCCCTGAAGGGTGAGTCCCAGGCCTGGCAGCATTGACCATAAGCTGACTGAAGGACGCTTGGTCTTAAAGTGAACATTGGTGGTAGCCTGGCAGTATCCCATGTAGGCCTGTGGTGGCCATGACCATGGAAGAGGTTCCTCTTCCTGTGGAAAGCAGAGAGAAAAGTGAGAAGGACTTTGTCTTGTGATGTCAGTGCCGGCTTACCTGCAGTAGAATAAAGCATCAAGCAGATTTCTAAGGTTCTTGACTCCAGTCACTGGCTCCCAGACAGTATCTCTGGACCTGCCCAGGGCCTGGGGGAACTTGCCACCTTGAAGGGAAGGACATAAGCCTGGCTGGCTTCACCACTACTGAATGTAGAGTTCTAGGGCCTTAAGCAAACATAGGTAGTAGCCGGGTAGTGGTTACAGTGGGCCCTGGGTGAGACCCAGTGCTGTGCTGGTTTCAGGTTTGGCCCAGCACTCTCCCAATGGTGGCAGCCACAGGCATGCTTGTGTCACCCCACCTCCAACTCCAGGTGTCTCAGCACAGATTTGAATAGGCATTTCTCAAAAGAAGACATACAAATGGCAAGTCGGCATATGAAAAGGAGTCAACATCATTGATCATCAGAGAAATTCAAATCAAAACTACAATGAGATTATCATCTCACCCCAGTTAAAATGGCTTTTATCCAAAAGACAGGCAATAACAAATGCTGGCAAGGATATGAAGAAAAGAGAAACCTTGTCCACTCTTGGTGGTGATGTAAATTAGTACAACCACTATAGAGAACAACTTGGAGATTCCTCAAAAAACTAAAAATACAGCTACCATACAATCCAGGAATCCCACTGCTAGGTATATACTCGAAAGAAAATTAGTATATCAAAGAGATAGCTACATTCCTGTGTTTTCAGCACTGTTCACAATAGCCAAGATTTGGAAGCAACCTAAGTGACCATCAACAGATGAATAGATAAAGTAAATGTAGTACATATACACAATGGAGTACTGTTCAGCCATAAAAAAGAATGAGATCCTGTCATTTGCAACAACATGGATGGAACTGGAGGTCATTATATTAAGTGAAGTAAGCCAGGTACAGAAAGACAAACTTCACATGTTCTCACTTATTTGTGGGAGCTAAAAATTAAAACACTTGAACTCATGGAGGTAGAGAGTAGAAGGATGGTCACTAGAGTCTGGGAAGGGTAGTGGGGGAGTAAGAGAAATGAGGAAAATTAATAGGTACAAAGAAAATAGAAAGAATGAATAAGACCTACTATTTAGTACAACAGGGTGACTATAGTCAATAGTCAATAGTAATTCAATTGTATATTTAAAAATAACTAAGAGTATAATTGGATTGTTTATAACACAAAGGATAAATGCTTGAGGGGATGGATAACCCATTTACCCTGATGTGATTTTTTAATTTTTTTTTTTAATGGAGTCTCACATTGTCGCCTGGTCTGGAGTGCAATGGTGCAATCTCGTCTCACTGCAACCTCTGCCTCCTGGGTTCAAGCGATTCATCTGCCTCAGCCTCCTGAGTAGCTGGGATTACAGGCACCCGCCACCAAGTCCAGCTAATATTTGTATTTTTAGTAGAGACAGGGTTTCACTATGTTGTTCAGGCTGGTCTCAAACTCCTGACTTCGTGATCCACCTGCCTTGACCTCCCAAAGTGCTGGGATTACAGGCATGAGATACCGCACCCAGCCGATGTGATTATTATGTTTCATGCCTGTATCAAAATATCTCACATACTCCATAAATATATACACCTACTATGTACCCACGAAAATTAAAAATTAATAAAAGGGTCAACAAAAATCAAAATAGTGGTCCTTTGAAAATACTAATGAAAATAAACCAACCTCTAGAATAATTGACCAAGAAAATGAAAAGAGGGATGGCACAGCATATAATACAAGAAATCAAATGGAGACATAACTTTAAATATAATGGACATTTTACAAATTGCTATAGAACATTATTATGCCAATAACTGACAAAACAGACAGTAAGCCGAAGAGACCAAACTTGGAACATGTCTGGAAAAGAAATAGAAAACCCAAATATGCCTATGAACCTCAAGACAACTGAGTCGGGATTCAAAATCTCCTCCCAGAACTAACAACCATGGGTTCAGGCCCGAGGGCCTCATGCTGTTCTCCACTGGGGTGTGGGGTGCAGGACACGAGTCTCGCAGAGCTGGGCACTGGCCCCATCCTAGAGAAGGGGAGGCTGCCTCCCTCACACAGGCCCCTGGCCCAAGCGCGATGCCCGGGCCTCCCCAGTCAGGCCTGCCTGGCCGCCCCCTCCCTGGGCCAGGGCCTGTCCAAGGCTCTTTCTCCCTGCTGGGGTTGGGGTGAATCCAGCACCAAGGAACCCCCTACCCCACCAGCCCTGGTGCCCCCAGCATATCCAGTGACCTGTCCTTGGCCCTGAGTTTCTCAAGAGCAGAGGCACCTGCAGAGAGGAAGGGGTGACCAGAGGGTCCCCTGAGGCCTGTAGACCTCCCATCCAGTGCCATGGTGACATCAACTGTGAGTCCCAAATATCACTATCCCCTTTCAGTGGGAGAAACGAGATTTCCAGCTGGGCAACTTCAACCTGAGCACTTTGTGCCTCTTCCCTCTGAACTGCAGCTGTGCTGACTGTAGGCACCTCCAGCTTCCCAAAGTCCTGGGCTGAGTAAAACAGACAGGAAGCTTGCTAGAAAGCTAGAGAGGCATGGATGTGTCCCTGATGGGCAACCCAAGTGCCCTCTGCAGGGTCCAGGGTAAGAACTGGTGTAAAGTTGGTCCTCCGCAAGGGAAAGCACTGCAGGCTTCCTGGAGGAGGCAGCTGGGAGCTGAATCTTTTTAAATTTTATTTTTTATTGACAAATAATAAATATACACATTTATGGGATACAAGGTGATTCTTCGATATATGTTTACAATGTAGAATGATTGAATCAGGCTAATCAACAATCCATTTCCTCATAGGCTTCTGAAGGAAAAATCAAACACTGGTGGTCAGTGGGGATGGGTGAACTGGGCACAGGGACTGCTAGTGGGACATGAAGTCATGAGATGCTGGGTCTTTTGAGGGTGGAGACATCTGGCATGGAGCTCGGGACCAAGCGTGTCTCACCAACAAGCCTGGCCTTGATTGGACACATTAGGGTGCCCTAAAGACCTCTGTGTGAAGGAGCAGAGGGAGAGGCCAGGACAGCTCAGACCCTGGACAAGCAGGGCTGGCAGAGGAGGCCATGGACCTCAGCCTTGGGCCTCCGGATACGGTGCTTTCAGGCCCAGTGCTCAGACACACCCGCTGGTTTCAAGGGAGGAGGGGGCAGGCCAGGTGTGGGGTGACCCTGCTCACCTCACTCCCAGCACCTGAGGGCCGTGCTCCTGCACCACCCTCTGCAGAGTCCCCAGGGCACCAGGCTCTGGGGCTTCCATCAGGATTCAGAAGCTGGATGAGCTTGTCAGTCTCAGCCCTGCTGTGCTTGGGCACAACGACCACCACCAGCCACTCTGGTCCCCACCCAGCCCTCACTCATCCCTCTCCCTGCCCCCTGGGGACTCAGAGAAACAGGTGCCCCATGACACCTCCACGCAGCTCGCACGGACATCTCACCTCTCACCTTAAACAAAACCTGGCTTTCACTGACATCTGCTTCCCCTGAGCAGCCCGCTCCCTTTCCCCAAGCCTTTTGTTCCCTTTAATCCCAGCTCTCCCGTGTAAGCAGACGGAACCCACAGTCTTTCAGGCTCATGAAATCTGAGTGGTCTCTCCACACCACTGCCATGGCTCACAGTAATCCAGGACTCTGGCGTGGATTCACTTGGCTCTACCTCCTGTCTTGCCAGTTCCTGGATGGGCCTGATGTCTATCTTGATGGCTCATCCACACAGCACAGCCCATCCTCAAATGCTGAATCCAGCACCCTTGACCCACTCCCCACACTCCCAGCAGGACTCCATCCTTGGCCCATGGCTTCAGGCCCCTTCCCCAGGCCACTGCCCTCAGCCTCCCTGAGCTCTCCTTCTCCAGCCTGGCTCTGCCTTCAGCCTTTTCCCTGAGCCTGTTCTGTGCCATCTGGTGTTGAACACAGAGCTCATTAATTCACCTTCTATTTTGTTCTCTAACATAGGTTATAACATAACCTTATATTATAAGGTTATAAATGTCCTTCTAGTGCCATTTTACCTGCATCCCATGAGAGTCAATATGCGCTGCTTCTATCAATGCTTGGTTTATGTCTTTTGTATTTTCCATTATCGTTTTCTCTCGGGCCCGTGAGTTATTGTGTTTTCCAGATGTAACTAGGCTTGAGGCTGTCTTCCTGTGATTGACTTCTAACATTATTGCATTGTGATTAGAGAGCATGTCCTGCTTATCATCTCTGCTATTTTTTTTTTTTTTTTTGAGACAGAGTCTCGCTCTGTTGCCCAGGCTGGAGTGCAGTGGTGCAATCTCAGCTCACTGCAAGCTCCGCCTCCCGGGTTCACGCCATTCTCCTGCCTCAGCCTCCTGAGTAGCTGGGACTACAGGCACCCGCCACCACACCCAGCTAATTTTTCTGTATTTTTAGTAGAGACGGGGTTTCACTGTGTTAGCCAGGATAGTCTCAATCTCCTGACCTCGTGATCTCCCGCCTCGGCCTCCCAAAGTGCTGGGATTACAGGCGTGAGCCACCATGCCCGGCCTCCTTTTTGGCCACCTTCATGGTCAGTATTATAAATGTTCCATCTGTGCTGGAAAAAATGTGAATGCCCTGCACATGGGGTGCAGGATTCTGTATCTGCCCAGCAGCCCAAACTTAAAGTCTATATTTCAGGTCTCTTTATTTTCATGATTTTTATTCTGTTTGATGCAAATTTTCGGAGCAAGGTATGTTCAAAGTTCCCACCATGCCTGGGGATGTGCTAGGTTTGCTGTTGTCTCACTGAGGCTGGTGGCTGCATCTTCCAGGTGGGTAACCTCCTTCCAAGTTACCTGGTAGCAACCCAAACCCCACCCCATGCACCTCTCCCTGCCTTACTGGTCGCTTCCCACACCCACTTCCTTTCTGTTAACATGTCATAGCAGATAGCTTGCTTTAAACACACACACACACACACACACACACATATATATACAGCCTGAGAATCCGTGTTTTGAATAGATGAGTTTAATCTTATCGAATCCATCCCTATAGGTTTTATAAAATTAATTAAGAAATAAGGGAGGGAGAGAAAGGAAAATAAACCAAGCTTGCAGGGTCCTGAGCATTGGCTTCTAGGCCAGCTCGCTCTCTGACCCTTCCTCACTGCCATTCCATGCATACTGCCTCAGAATCACCTTAAAATCAGTTACAAGACTCCAGTTCTCCTAAGTTCAGATAGGTAACAACTATCCGCTATAGATACCAACTTGAACATTGTGAAGTGTTAAGCTGTCCACTTGAGATATCCTTTTAGGTCCTGCAAGCCAATCAAACAGCTGACTGCATCTGGTCTGAGGGACCCCACAAGCAGTTGACTCACCAGAGCATGCAGTGTCCACACCCTGATGATTGCATCCTCTTTACCCCAACCAATCAGTGGCCCCAATTTTCCACCCCTTGCCCTCCATGATCCTTTAAAAATTCCACCCCAAAACTCCTCAGAGAGATGAAGTGAGGGTCCCTCCTCCCTCACTCAGCCACCCTGAGATCGGTAAACTCTTTCTCTGCTGCAAAGCCTGCTGTCTTGGTGCATTGGTCTGTAACTGCGGAGCAGGTGTAGGAACCTGGTGGTCCTGTAACATCATTACATTTTACTGTCTTAAGGATATTTTCAATGACTTTTACCATCTTACTTTCTTTCCACCACTTTTTTCTTGGTCCCCAGTAGACTGTGTTTCCTTATTTCCTTTCCCTCCCTACAGGTCTAGAGGTGATAAAATTTCCCTGTTTTAAGTAGCTTTCAGATGTACAAAGCTATGTGGTCCCCAGTTGGCAGGGTGCCTCCCTTCCCCCTCCTTTTCATCTGCCTGTGAAGGCCCCACTTCAGCCCCTGCTACTATTGTGTTGGTCTAACCCCTTCTCCTGTGTCCCCATCTCCTTCCTCACACACTTACATCAGCAGCCTCCCTGTATATGTGGTACCTCTCCAGGCCACATGCCACTTACTTACAGTTGACCTTTGAACAACATGGGTTTGAACCACACACATCCACTTACACACAGATTTTCTTCTGCCTCTGACACCCCTGAGAAAGCAAGACCTTTTCCTTCTCTTCCTCCTCCTCCTCAGCCTGCTTAAGACAATGATAAAGAACTTTATGATGCTCCACTTCCACTTAATGAGTAAATACATTTGTCTTGCTAATTATTTTCTCAATACCACTTTCTTTTCTCTAGTCTACTTCATTGAAGAATACAGCATGTGATACATCTGTGTAGTGTGGGTAAACAAAAAATAAAAATAAAATAAAGAATACAAAATATAATATATATAACCTATAAAACATGTGTTCATTGACTGTATGTGTTATTGGTAAGTCTTCGGTGAACAGTAGGCTGTTAGTAGTTTTGGGGAGGTCAAAAGTTATATGCAAATTTTCAACTGTGAGGGAGTTCAGTGCCCCTAGCCCCCACATTGTTTAAGGGTCAGCTGTATTTCCATGTATTTGAAGATAAGAAAAATACAAAGCATCATTTATGTGGGCATTAGTGGTGCACACTAATGGTATATTGGGCTGAAATTCCAATTCGATCCTTCTCATTTTTTAGCTATACCCACTTCACACCTCCTGTCCATGCTCCCCACTGACCTGATGACTTGGTCTTCTGCCTTCTGTGGGGCCTTGAGAACTCTGAGGTCAGACTCACTCTTGTTTCTCTGTAACTGTTTTTCCCTCTGTGATTCTAATTTTTCTGGTGTGTGTGCTTGCCACTCTGGGAACACTTCCATCTAAAGTCTTGTGTCTGTGTTTAGTTCTTGGAAATTCTCTGCCAGCCCTTCTTCATATATATTCTCCTGCCCCGTATTCTTCCTTTCTTCCCAGTACTCCTCGGAGACGGACAGGGGCCGTCTTGTTCCACCTTCCTCACCTCTCAACCTGCCTCCCACCTCCTTATACCCTCCTGATACTTTCTGGAGAGTCCTTTGGTGAAATCTTCCAGCCCCTTTCAACAATTATATTTATTTAGAATTATATTACAGTTTCATACATTATATTTATGAATTCTATTCTATCTATAAATTATATTTTTTACACCCAACATCTCCAACTGGTTTGTCATGAGAGCTGCTTCTTTTGAGCTCATGTTCATTGCATGCTCCCTTACAATGAAGTCCTCTGAGGACTTTGGTCACTTGTTCTAAGTCCTGCTCTGTCTGTCATCTATGGCACAGGTGTGTCCTTTAGGAGCTGGGTGCAGCTGGGAGCTGCTCCTGCAGGCATGTTTGGGTTTTGTGTTGGGCCTGAACTGCCTACTCTGATACCTGCTGTACAGGGGCAGAGCAGCCACTGCCAGCTTAGAGGAGCCTGCCCCTTGCCCTGGCTCAGCCAAGAGAGCAGAAGGGGGACAGCACCACGTGGAGGCTCCCAGCTGTCCTCCACTTGTGCCATGGCATCCCCGGCAACCTGAACCGACCCTGTCTGTGCCCCAGGCATCCCTGTGGGTCTATATTTGCTCTGAGTCTCTCTCCTTCAGCATTTCCTAGGCTGGTTTACGGAGAGGTTGCCAATAGCCCTTGATGGCTCACCATTTCCTCCCCCAACAGAATATGCAAAATGCAAAGGCCTCTCATCTCTCTACCTCACCACCATGCCTGGAGTGCCCCTCACCACCCCTCATTCTTCTGCTGACCCTCAGCGGGCCCTCCAACCTGAGTCAACCCAACTACCTGCTCCTGGGCACCTTCACTGCCCTGTGCTTCTGTGGGCAGCAGGCAGCCCTGACCAAGGGGCTCTCACCCTAGTCTCATCTAGCCCCCGCCTCCCACTGCACCAGCCCCCACCTGTGCTCCCTACCACACACGCATGCTCGGGCCACACGCTCAGTCATGGCAGGCTGCAGGTTTCGAGCCCTGCAGGCAGGGAGGCAGTGGAGGCTCACTGAGAATTTGAGCACAGCGTGGGCGGACCGGCAGTGCTGGGGGACCCAGCGCACCCTCTGCAGCTGCTGGCACAGGTGCTAAGCCCCTCACTGCCTGGGGCTGGTGGTGCTGGCTGGCCGCTCCTAGCGTGGGGCCTACTGAGCCCGCGCCCACCTGGAACTCACGCTGGCGGGTGAGCACTGCTTGTGCAGCCCTGTTTCCCACCCGTGCCTCTCCCTCCACACCTCCCCACAAGCAGAGGGAGCCGGCTCTGGCCTCGGCCAGCCCAGAGAGGGGCTCCCACAGTGCAGCGGCAGGCTGAAGGGCTCCTCAAGCATGGCCAGAGCAGACACCGAGGCCGAGAAGGTGCCGAGAGCGAGCGAGGCTGCTGGCACGTTGTCACCTCTCATTATGGGCAAGGAAACGGACTCGTGGGGACATCTTGCAGCTCACTGTCAATCCCCAAGCCCTCTAAGCTGAGTGAGCTCCTTGGCCTCCCTCCTAGGATGTCACTGTATTGTGCTGCTTCAGCAGCTGTTGTCTTCTGCTTTACACACCTTCTGCAAGACCCTTCCACTTCTTCTGCTCCAACAGCTCTGGGTCTGTTGGTCCTGCCTGGCTATGGCAGAGATAGGAGAAAGAAGTACCTCCTGGATGCGATTGTGTTCTGGGAGGCTAAGAGGCTCCCTCTGGCTTTTCCCTATCTCATGGAGATGTCACACCTGTAATCCCAGCATTTTGGGAGGCTGAGGCAGATGGATCACTTGAGGTCAGGAGTTTGAGACCAGCCTGGCCAACATGGTGAAACCCTGTCTCTACTAAAAATACAAAAATTAGTTGGGTGTGGTTGTGCATACCTGTAATCTCAGCTACTCGGGAGGTTGAGGCAGGAGAATCACTTGAACCCGGGAGATGAAGGTTTCAGTGAGCCAAGGTAGTGCCACTGCACTCCAGCCTGGGTAACAGAGTGAGACTCTGTCTCAAAAAAAAAAAAAAATTGCATCTCACCCACCATGCTCTGTGCTTACCTCTTCTGTGGTGCTGTCTTAGTGACACAAGGAATGATGCACAGATTTCCCTTCCTGGTGCCTCTCTATGTGTCTTGCCTGCTCTGCACTCCCCTGCTCAGACATTACACTGATACATATTTGGGGAATGGAAGAGGGAAGAATTCTAGAACCCACCGAGGAGGCACATGTGGACGTGCTTTTCCCTGAGACTTACTGTCCTCAGGTAAACGGTCAAATATTTAACTGCAAATCTGATTTATGTTCTGACAGAGACTGAAAATACTGGGTTTTTTCCAGAACTGTGAGTTATGCTTTGAATGTTTGTTTCCCCACCAGCACTGGCTTTCCTGACTTTATTTTTCTGTCTTGACTCTATCTTCACTCATCAGTTTGTGACCTCTCAGTCACCCAGACTCACCCTTGGTAATGCAAGACCTTTCTCTCTTTCTCATCCTGGGGAACAACATCCCTCTGCTCCATCCATCCTGTTTCATGCCTTTCCAGCTTAGTTTTAAATTCCTTACTGATTAATTCTATAATTAATGATTTAGATTATTTTAGGGATATAGAGGATATAATGTCAATAGAAAGAGATCTTAGCTCTGTGTTTAAGGACAAAAGTAAATACTAGTAACAATTATTTTGTCTTCTTGACTTGTTCACAAAGTATCTTTATGAAGATACTTATTCATATGGTACCAATGCAATGAAATTATGCACATGGCATAACTTAAAATTTACCTTCACAAATACTTATTTGATGAAAACATGTTCTCAAATTTTACATGTAATTTATTCACAGAGAGTTAATGTAGCATGCGGGTCCCCTATGTAACCTTTTGCAGTTGATCTATTTCTGCAATTTCCATTGGCAGTGTCTGTGAGCTAGGCTCCCATGATGTGATGTGGGGATACATTTTCCGTAACTGATGTCTGGTTCCTTGCTCTTGCTTGGTGCCAATTCTCTCTGTAAAAAAAGAGATGCTCTAAGAATAGCTAATGACTCTTTAATGGATGTTTTCAAGAATAATTCCAGACCCAAGGATTCCCAAATGAGACATGAATACTGAAAATACCTTACACCTTTAGTGATGAACATAGTCCATCCATGGGATAGCAGTGGCTAAAAGCGTATTCTGAATTTGAAATGCTCTTTGCTCTTTGTCAGAGCATTCTTTTATAACCATTTCTATGTCCATTCAAGCAAACATCTATTGGTTTGTTGCCAGGCACTGTGCTAAGTACTGGAGGTAGAAAGATGAAGAACATGCAAACCCTGTTCACAAGTTTACAACGAAGTAGGTCAGAAAGATGCACAAAAATGATTACCATTCCATGTACCATGTACCACCACACATACATATACGCACTCACATTCAGGGTCAGCTTTATGGCTTCGTGGTTTGTGTTGTTGCACAGGGCCGCATGCTTATTTAGATGGGGCCCATGTTTGGTCTAATATTCTGCTGTTACCATGTTGAAATTCTTCACAACTTCTGAACTGGGCTTTATATTTTCATTTTACAATGGGCTGTGCAAATTATGTAGCCAATCCAGCTTATAGCCATGCCCTTTTTTTTTTTCCTCTTGGCTCTGTTTAATACTGTTAGCAGACTCAAATGTTTGAACAATATCCTGTACAATAGAAATAACATATTTAAAATGTCTACACATCAGGCTTTGGGCTTTTATTGATTTCCCAGTAGTGTAGCTTCTGTATTTCTATTTTAAGAAAAAAACAGAAAAGGCAGGGGTTGCAATCCTAGTCTCTGATAAAACAGACTTTAAACCAACAGAGATCAAAAGAGACAAAGAAGGCCATTACATAATGGTAAAGGGATCAATTCAACAAGAAGAACTAACTATCCTAAATATATAGCCACCCAATACAGGAGCTCCCAGATTCATAAAGCAAGTCCTTAGAGACCTACAAAGAGACTTAGACTCCCACACAATAATAATGGGAGACTTTAATACCAAACTGTCGACATTAGACAGATCAACAAGACAGAAAGTTAACAAGGATATCCAGGAATTGAACTCAATTCTGCACCAAGCAGACCTAATAGACATCTACAGAACTCTCCACCCCAAATCAACAGAATATACATTCTTCTCAGCACCACAACACACTTATTCCAAAATTGACCACATAGTTGGAAGTAAAGCATTCCTCAGCAAATGTAAAAGAACAGAAATTATAACAAACTATCTCTCAGACCACAGTGCAATCAAACTAGAACTCACGATTAAGAAACTCACTCAAAACCGCTCAACTACGTGGAAACTGAACAACCTGCTCCTGAATGACTGCTGGATACATAACAAAATGAAGGCAGAAATAAAGATGTTCTTTGAAACTGATGAGAACAAAGACACAACATGCCAGAATCTTTGGGACACATTTAAAGCAGTGTGTAGAGGGAAATTTATAGCACTAAATGCCCACAAAAGCAGGAAAGATCTAAAATTGACACCCTAACATCACAATTAAAGGAACTAGAGAAGCAAGAGCAAACACATTCAAAAGCTAGCAGAAGGCAAGAAATAACTAAGATCAGAGCAGAACTGAAGGAAATAGAGACACAAAAAACCCTTCAAAAAATCAATGAATCCAGGAGCTGGTTTTTTGAAAAGATCAACAAAATTGATAGACTGCTAGCAAGACTAATAAAGAAGAAAAGAGAGAAGAATCAAATAGATGCAATAAAAAATGATAAAGGGGATATCACCACTGATCCCACAGAAATACAAACTACCATCAGAGAATACTATAAACACTTCTATGTAAATAAACTAGAAAATCTAGAAGAAATGGATAAATTCCTCGACACATACACCCTCCCAAGACTCAACTAGGAAGAAGTTGAATCTCTGAATAGACCAATAACAGGCCCTGAAATTGAGGCAAAAATTAATAGCTTACCAACCAAAAAAAGTCCAGGACCAGATGGATTCACAGCCAAATTCTACCAGAGGTACAAGGAGGAGCTGGTACTATTCCTTCTGAAATTATTCCAATCAACAGAAACAGAGGGAATCCTCCCTAACTCATTTTATGAGGCCAGCATCATCCTGATACCAAAGCCTGGCAGAGACACAACAAAAAAAGAGCATTTTAGACCAATATCCCTGATGAATATTGATGCAAAAATCCTCAATAAAATACTGGCAAACCAAATCCAGCAGCATATCAAAAAGCTTATCCACCATGATCAAGTGGGCTTCATCCCTGTGATGCAAGGCTGGCTCAACATGTGCAAATCAATACCTGTAATCCAGCATATCCACAGAACCAATGACAAAAACCACATGATTATCTCAATAGATGCAGAAAAGGCCTTTGACAAAATTCAACAACCCTTCATGCTAAAAACTCAATAAATTAGGTATTGATGGGACGTATCTCAAAATAATAAGAGCTATTTATGACAAACCCACAGCCAATATCATGGTGAATGGGCAAAAACTGGAAGTATTCCCTTTGAAAACTGGCACAAGACAGGGATGCCCTGTCTCACCACTCCTATTCAACATAGTGTTGGAAGTTCTGGCCAGGGCAATCAGGCAGGAGAAGGAAATAAAGGGTATTCAGTTAGGAAAAGAGGAAGTCAAATTGTCTCTGTTTGCAGATGACATGATTGTATATCTAGAAAACCCCATCGTCTCAGCCCAAAATCTCTTAAGCTGATAAGCAACTTCAGCAAAGTCTCAGGATAAAAAATCAATGTGCAGAAATCACAAGCATTCTTATACACCAAAAGGAGACAAACAGAGAGCCAAATCATGAGTGAACTCCCATTCACAATTGCTTCAAAGAGAATAAAATACCTAGGAATCCAACTTACAAGGGATGTGAAGGACCTCTTCAAGGAGAACTGCAAACCACTGCTCAATGAAATAAAAGAGGATACAAACAAATGGAAGAATATTCCATGCTCATGGGTAGGAAGAATCAATATCATGAAAATGGCCATACTGCCCAAGGTAATTTATAGATTCAATGCCATCCCCATCAAGCTACCAATGACTTTCTTCACAGAATTGGAAAAAACTGCTTTAAAGTTCACATGGAACCAAAAAAAAGCCCGCATGGCCAAGTCAATCCTAAGCCAAAAGAACGAGGTGGGAGGCATCATGCTACCTGACTTCAAACTATACTACAAGGCTACAGTAACCAAAACAGCATGGTACTGGTACCAAAACAGAGATATAGACCAATGGAACAGAACAGAGCCCTCAGAAATAATGCCGCATATCTACAACTATCTGATCTTTGACAAATCTGACAAAAACAAGCAATGGGGAAAGGATTCCCTATTTAATAAATGGTGCTGGGAAAACTGGCTAGCCATATGGAGAAAGCTGAAACTGGATCCTTTCCTTACACCTTATACAAAAATTAATTTAAGATGGATTAAAGACTTAAATGTTAGACCTAAAACCATAAAAACCCTAGAAGAAAACCTAGGCAATACCATTCGAGACATAGGCATGGGCAAGGACTTCATGTCTAAAACACCAAAAGCAATGGCAACAAAGCCAAAATTGACAAATGGGATCTAATTAAACTAAAGAGCTTCTGCACAGCAAAAGAAACTACCATCAGAGTGAACAGGCAACCTACAGAATGGGAGAAAATTTTTGCAATCTACTCATCTGACAAAGGGCTAATATCCAGAATCTACAATGAACTCTAACAAATTTACAAGAAAAGAAACAAACAACCCTATCAAAAAGTGGATGAAGGATATGAACAGATACTCAGACACTTCTCAAAAGAAGACATTTATGCAGCCAAAAGACACATGAAAAAAATGCTTATCATTACTGGCCATCAGAGAAACGCAAATTAAAACCACAATGAGATACCATCTCACACCAGTTAGAATGGTGATCATTAAAAAGGAAACAACAGGTGCTGGAGAGGATGTGGAGAAATAGGAACACTTTTGCCCTGTTGGTGGGACTGTAAACTAGTTCAACCATTGTGGAAGTCAGTGTGGCAATTCCTCAGGGATCTAGAACTAGAAATACCATTTGACCCAGAAATCCCATTACTAGGTATATACCCAAAGGCTTGTAAATCATGCTGCTTTAAAGATAGATGCACACGTATGTTTATTGCGGTACTATTCACAATAGCAAAGACTTGGAATAAAGCCAAATGTCCAACAATGATAGACTGGATTAAGAAAATGTGGCACATATACACCATGGAATACTATGCAGCCATAAAAAAGGATGAATTCATGTCCTTTGTAGGGACATGGATGAAGCTGGAAACCATCATTCTCAGCAAACTATCGCAAGGACAAAATACCAAACACCACATGTTCTCACTCATAGGTGGGAACTGAACAATGAGAACACATGGACACAGGAAGGGGAATATCACACACTGGGGCCTGCTGTGGGGTGGGGGGAGGGGGGAGGGATAGCATTAGGAGATATACCTAATGTTAAATGACGAGTTAATGGGTGCAGGACACCAACATGGCACATGTATACATGTGTAACTAACCTGCACATTGTGCACATGTACCCTAAAACTTAAAGTATAATTTAAAAAAAGAAAGAAAATAACAGGATATCTTAGACCCTGGCCACTTTAAGACATAAAATTAATTTTTTAAAAATGTGGTAATTGCATTTTATTTTTTCATTGCTCTATTGTATATGTTTTTTTTCTTTTTTTCTGTCAACTTTTATTTTAAGTTCCAGGGTACATGTGCAGGATGTGCAGATTTGTTACATAGGTAAACATGTGTTTGCTACACAGATCAACTCATCATCTAGGTATTAAGCAGAGCATCCATTAGCTATTCTTCCTTATGCTCTCCTTCCCCAACCCCTCCCCAACAGGCCCCAGCATGTGTTGTTCCCCACCATGTGTCCATGTGTTCTCATTGTTCAGCTCCCACTTATAAGTGAGAACATGTGGTATTTGATTTTCTGTTCCTGCATTAGGTTGCTGAGGATAATGGCTTCTAGTCCCATCCATGTCCCTGCAAAGGACATGACCTCATTCTTTTTAATGGCTGCATAGTATTCCACAGTGTATATGTACCATATTTTCTTTATCCAGTCTATCATTGATGAGTACGTAGGTTGATTCTATGTCTTTGCTATTGTGAATAGTGCTGCAATGAACATATGCATGCATGTATCTTTATAATAGAATGATTTATATTCCTTTGGGTATATACCCAGTAATGGGATTGCTGAGTCAAACGGTATTTCTGCTTCTAGATATCTGAGGAATCACCACATGGTCTTCCACAATGGTTGAACAAATTTACATTCCCACCAACAGTGTAAAATCGTTCTTATTTCTCCACAGCCTCCCCAGCATCTGTTGCTTCTTGACTTTTTAATAATTGCCATTCTGACTGGCGTGAGATGGTATCTCATTGTGGTTTTGATTTGCATTTCTCTCATGATCAGTGATTCAACATATCTTTGTTGAGTGCCTAATAACTGTCAAGCACTGTTCTAGGTGCAAGGATGTATCATTGGGCAAGACAGCAAAACTCCCTGCCCTCATAGAGCTCATAGTTTAGTTAGTGGGGAGAAAATTTAATAAACAAATGATGTTATATCATGTTTGAAGGTGGTAGGTGCTACAGAAAAAGCAGAGCAAGGGAGGGAACATCAGGAGTATTCAAAGAGGGAGTCCGGTTTGAGTAAGGTCAGGAGCTGCAGTGTAAGACATCTTTTCCCATATTTGTCTTTCATAGCATGACTTTAATATTACAACTAAAGAGTTGCACAAAGCCATGAGAGATATGCAGAACCCAACAGGGTGTCATATTGCTATCTTTAAGAATTGGGATTGAGGCACGATGGCTCACACCTGTAATCCTAGCACTTTGGGAGGCTGAGGCAGGAGGATTGCTGAAGCCCAGGAATTTGATTTCTTTTGCACCTCAGCCCCAAATTTCTCTGGTTAATAATTAATCTTGATCAACTAAATTGGAACAAGCTGGAAACACCCACTTGTTTGGAAATCCATAAACACCTTTTAACCCTGGGAATGATGAGCATAGTTACAGAAATAATTAAATAAACCTGACCCACAATACGGTATTTAAGAATCATCTATTAGTACATGTTTGGGTAATTTAAATACTGGCCAAATCAAGATATCTAACAAATAGGGCTCATGATTCAAATTTAAAATATAGTTGATATTATTGTGCTTTTAAGTCAAAAGTTCTAAGTTTACTAATTGTAGTAAACAGTGTTAATATATTAATAAAATCTAAAAATTTGTCCAACGTATGCATTAAATTTATTTCATTTATACAAACATATTTTAGAAAGGTTCTAGTTCTTAGAGGTAGTTGAGGAACATAAGAGAAATCAAATATTTTACATTTAGATATGCAGTTTAAGGCAATTAATGAAGTTGTAGAAGACTCCTTATGAATAGTTGTTAAATTTATATTATAAATAATATGTTATAAATAATTAACATTTATAAGATTATAAATCTTTAAAGCTCCTTATTAAATTATAAATTAAATTTAAAAGCTTAGGTGAAACATAGAGTTTTGATTAGTAGCTTTAGTAAATCATAATAAAGTCCAAAGTAACCATATTTTTCCTGTGCCTAAAAACCTACCCTTAAGGACACCTGAGTTAATTTCACCATTTGAGCTACAGATAGTGATAGCAGTTGATTCTGGGACCCCAACTTGCAGTTTTTTAAAAGGCCTAACTTGCTCTTTTGTTAATTATAAGAGAAACGAGGCAGGGCTGGTGAAGCTTCTCTGCTTCTTTTAAGATGCATGGTTATGAAGGATTTTTCAGAAACTAAGATTAATTTTTATCCAAATAATACTCCAATGCTTGAGATTTCTATAATTAAAAATACATTCACTGAACACAGGTGGTCCTAGATTTTTGAGGGGTAAAAAGACAGGTTCCTTATCCTACTGGATTTTATAGTCTTTTTTTTTTATTTCTTTATTTTTTCAAGACCGAGTTTCACTCTTGTTGCTCAGGCTGGAGTATGGTGGTGTGATCTCAGCTCACTGCGACCTCTGCCTTCCAGGTTCAAGTGATTCTCCTGCCTCAGCCTCCCAGAGTAGCTGGGACTACAGGCGCCCATCATCATGCCTGGCTAATTTTTGTATTTTTAGTAGAGATGGGGTTTCACCACATTGGCCAGGCTGGTCTCAAACTCCTGACATCAAGTAATCCGCCCACCTAGGCCTCCCAAAGTGCTTGGATTACAGGTGTGAGCCACTGTGCCCATCCAGATTTTATAGTCTTGTTGGGGAGACAGGTGTATTTAATAATGACTAAGAAACAGTGCAGAATATGATAAGTGTCGGAAGGAAAAGCCAGGTGAGATCCAGGAGTGGAGCACAGAATTCCACTTGGGGAGCAGGTAGCAAGGAAGTCTAGAAGGGTGTTCTTGAGGAGCAGCCTTTGAGGTAGATGTCAGAGGATCTTTCGGGTACCTGCAGGTAGAGGTGAGGTAGGAGGGCAGGCAGCCACACAGACCAGTGCAGCCAGAGATACAGGGACTAGGACGTGAGAGGCATGTGTAGGGAGTGATGAGTGCAAATGGTGTGGCTGGAGCCTGATGAGATAGGGATGGGGAGGGGAAGTCAGGCCAGATAATTCTATGCTCACTTCCAGCTTCCCCAAACACCGTTCCAATACCTTCCCTCCAGTCCTAAGAACACCTCTTTCTCGATCTCCTGACCTCGTGATCCGCCTGCCTCGTCCTCCCAAAGTGCTGGGATTACAGGCGTGAGCCACTGCACCCGGCCAGAACACCTCTTTCTCTATTCAAATCCTCCCTTTAAGACTCAGGCCTGGTTTGTTCCCTTACTCCAGCATGGTACCTCCCTAAAATTCTTGTCCACACTAGTCTTTTGTCAGGCAATTACATATTCACATATTGTGTTAGCTTTCATGATGAATTATAATGGGAGAGGAACACTTATTCCCAGCTCCTCTTGTTTCCAGGAGGCAGGAATTTTTCCCTGAGTACTCTGGCTTCTCGCTCTGATTGGTAACACCAGGATAAAAAAAAGGGCATAGTTTGTCCCTTTCCCCTCTCCTCCTCTCTCAGGAGCCAGGCTGCCAGATACATTATAGTTTGCTTCTCTGCTTGAGAAGTTTCCTTGGGACAACTTCAACATGTGTTTGTGACTAGGTGGGTTTGTCTTATTCTGGGAATTCATGTTAGGAAGTCCATTATTGCCTCACAACACACATTTTCCAACCGAGTCATTCTCAGCAATGAACATACTCTTGATTTCCATCTTCCTGCTCCTTGCCTATTTCTTAATTGATTTAAACATGGTTATGATAACTCTAAATAAATATTTTACCTCTGCAATGAGAATGCTCACACAAATAGGGAAATAATATATGCCTTTTTTTTTACACCTTGGTTCACTCTCTTATTTGTTCTTTCAGCAAACATTTATGGTTTGTCCTCCATGTCTTTTGTTGATAGATGAGTTTTTTTTATAGGGTTATACTATATATTAGGGCAATACTATAAAAATGTTAAGGGCCACGGTGAAACCCCGTCTCTACTAAAAATACAAAATATTAGCTGGGAGTGGTGGCGGGTGCCTGTGGTCCCAGCTACTCAGGAGGCTGAGGCAGGAGAATGGCGTGAACCCGGGAGGCGGAGCTTGCAGTGAGCTGAGATCGCGCCACTGCACTCCAGCCTGGGCAACAGAGCGAGACTCTGTCTCAAAAAAAAAAAAAAATAGCAGAGATGATAAGCAGGACATGCTCTCTAATCACAATGCAATAATGTTAGAAGTCAATCACAGGAAGACAGCCTCAAGCCTAGTTACATCTGGAAAACACAATAACTCACGGGCCCGAGGGAAAACGATAATGGAAAATACAAAGGCTCAAAAAAAAATGTTAAGGGCTCAAATGTTTGTTGATTGAATGTTCAGGAATTTGGACTTTACTCCATAGGCAAAGAAAAGTAATCAAAGGTAAATAAGACAAGGTCAAAGTCTCCCTCTCCTTTCTTTGCTTAGAGACCAGGTTGAAAATGCAATGGGAACAGGGATCACATTGGCTTAACCGCACATTTATGTATAAATCACCGGGTGTTCCCTGCATTCAGGTTTTCTAGGACTAGCATTAGACACCACAAGGTAAATCTAAGGAGTGGAAGGGGTGATGGTGGCTGCAGAAAGGACAGGTTGAAAATACTTAAAACACATTCCAGTAAGTGTATTTCAGCAGAGAATAGTGGAACACTTAGGGATAGAAAGTGGCAGCTGAAGAAAGGACAGGTTGAGAATACTTAAAACACATTCCAATAAGTGTGTTTCAGCAGAGAATAGTGGAAGACTTGGGCATAGAATGTGACAAAAAGGCCTTCCATATGCCTGCCCTTGGCTGTTTTCCTTATCTTCTTGCAAGGCACCCTAAAAATCATGGTAACTCAACAAAATGTCTATTGATTTTTATACTGCTTGCCTCTTTAAGGCCATAGCACCAGTCCTGCCAGGCTGTTCATCAGCACAGCCCAGCTATTTTGACAGGTGACTCTAACTAGATCTAGAGTCTTAACTTTATTGTATCAAGATATGGATCATGACACCTGATACTTGACAGTAAAACTATAACCTGGAAGGCTCACTTCATTGATTTATTTACAACAGAGGAATGCAACATATCAAATAGCTGCCTTATAGATAAATACAGCCAGAGATGAGGGAAGATCATCATTTTTCCCTCTGTCTGGGAAATTTTAGCACTGCTGAGCTATGTGTGGGAAAAGATTCCCATTCTGGCTTCCTGTTGCTAGGAGGGTTGGCCTAACTAAAGGCAGAATTCAGCTCACAACATTGAAGAGTGCTCCACACAGACCTCTAGGCAGGGTGCACAGGGCTTCCCTCAAAATCTGCAGTCTGCAACTGCATGATGCTTAAAAAAAATTAGTGCTCTCTCTTTGTTTTTTTAACCAGAGGTGTTTCATGTAATCAAAACCAAAGGCTTTGTGGTACTGCTCAGGATGGTGTGCTACTTGTCACAATGTGTTTGCAAAATCAGGAGCCTGAATGAACATGTGTGTGTTTAATTTCCTGGCCACATCCACCACCACAGCAAGGGCTGGGGCTCAGTGTAATACCGGTTTTCACCAGTAATATTGGTTTTCCCCATTGGTCATGGGGAGCGAGACACATGACCAGTGGGGAAGGCTGGCAGACACAACAGCTTGCCTTCTGGTTGCCAAGAAACAGATCGGCCAGCTACAAATGTGGTCAGTCTGAGGAGTGGGATGCCTTTTGCATGGCAAGGACAAGATGACCATACTGACAGTGAAAGATGCCAGTGGATCCTGGGCGTGCTTGGGTGGTCCTGATTTCAACCACTGTAGGTGCTGCCAGACCATGTGACGGGTCAGTCAAACCCTGGGTCCTGATACATCTGTGGACATGGAGAGGTTGATTAACCGGCATCAAGCAACATCTGTTTCCTCCAAATTGCATTCAGTTGTCACAGGGTCTGAAATTCCATCATTAGGAATTCACTACTTTGGTCTTCAAGCCCTTTGTAAAAATTTTCAGGGGTCTCCATTAAAGCAGCCAAGTTCATAAGCAGTGGCTAACAGTCAGCAAAGCTCTTATCACAAGGTGAGTGGGTATCAGGAGTGGAAGAAGCCACCGAGGGCTTCTGAGGCCCTCCTCCAGGACAGCACTTATGCTGAATGCAATTTCTCTTTTTCCTATTAGATTGTGACCTATATAAGATCAAACACTAAATCTTCTTTATTTTTGCCTCTCTTATTGCTACCCACAACCGTATTGACATAGATAAGAAACCTAATGGAGACCTGGAAGCTGAATGCAGGAAAGCCCATCCTCAATCATATAAAATGGCTGCATACTCACATGCCCAGATGGTTCTCTTTCTCATCTCATACCCTCTAATTTTAAGAATTGTGTTGACCAAAGAGTTCCTTGTGCAGCCAGGTTGGACCAATTTCAGATGCAGTTCATCCACTGAAGAGAAAATGTTAGAAGTTATTGGCTCCAAGGTCCCTTTTTTTTATTTGGGGAATTGGATAAAATTAGGTTATCCTGCATCATCACACTTCACTGCAAGCATTACACTTCACTGCAAGCATACAGGTTCCCATTCAACATATTCCATGTGTACAGTTAATCTAAAGAAAAATTCACCCACCTGCCGACCCTAATTCTCCCAGCTGATAACCACACCTTCTACTTTACTAGAACAGAATATGCCTATTTTCAGGAGTACAGATTGTCAACTTCCTCCCTTCCCAATCTTCCATGTCAAATTCATTTATCATTTCATCCATCTTTTTCTGCTTTTTCTGTGGTAGAAAAAAAGTGTAACCTCCTCTTTCTCCCATACTTTATACCCCTTCTCCTCCTCATTCTTCCTTCCTTTCTCTTTCTTCCTTCTTCTCCCTCTACTCTGGTGTTCTAGCTTCCTTCCATCTTTCTAGTTGACCCCAGACTTAAACAAAAACTTTTAAAAAGCCTTCCATATAGCTTTATCTGATGGTCTTTTTTCTTGTTCTCAAATATGTTTAACTCTTCCATCTTAAAAACATTTTTCAAGTGTGCCCCACTTCAAGGCCTCAGCTTAAAGCCCAGTTCACAATTGCCATGCTTCTAGAAGGAGAAGTCCACAGCTCCCTGTGGGCCCAGCTTCCAGTCATCTCCTCCCTATGGCCTTATAATTCTGCTGATGCTGGTCTTGCTGACATCACCTCACAATTATCCTCTTCCCAGGTCTTATTGTCTTTGACCTCCTTGTAGAATGAGACACAGTGGACCACGCCTTCCCACATCTTTTTGGTACACTTCCTCTTGCTTTCATTTCTGACTTTCCTGTTTTTGCGCCTTAGCTTCTCTAACAGTCTGCCAGGGCTTCCATAACCCTGTACCACAGACCAAGTGGTTTATGCAACCTAGACTTATTTCCTCACAGTTCTGGAGGCTGGAAGTTCAAGATCAAAGTGTCAGTAGGGTTGATTTCTTCTGAGGCCTCTTCTTGGCTTGCAGATGGCTATCTTTTTCTAGTATCTTCATATAGTCATCCCTCTCTGGATATCTGTGTCCAAATTTCTTTCATGTATAGGGGCAGCCATCACATTGGCTACCTATGTTACCTCATTTTGCTGTAATTACCTCTTAAAGGGTCATATCTTCTAATACAGTACATTCCCAGATACTAGGGGCAAAGACTTCAACATATGAATTTGGTGGGGGACATCATTGAGACCATAACACTGCCTATTGCTGGATTCTCCTTTGCTCTCTTATTTTCTGGTGCTCTCAGCAATTACCTCAGCTGTTTCCTGTGTTCTGTCTTCATCTGTGTTTCTTAAGAATATGGTTGTAGAATTATGATTACAAATATTCATCCCTTTGCTACATCCCTGACCTGTTGGATCAGAATCCCTGGGAAGAGATTCAAGGAGTGTGCCTTCTGCAGCCTTCGTAGATGATTCTTGTGCACCTCAGAGTCTAAGAATTAAGACTCTGCATGGTGCCCAGTCAACTCATTTACTGCCATGGCTTCTGCTACCATCTCTTGGCAGATGTCTTTACATTTAGGGCTCTTTACCTACTTTTTAAGCTTCAAATCCACATTTCCAACTATTATGTGGACAAATCTACCCTGGTGTCTCATTGATATCTCAAATTCCACATGTCCAAGGTGAAATGCCCCCTCATTCATCTCCAAGTCAGTTCTTCTAAATACCAGACCCCATTTAATGACATTCCTGTCTACTTAAACTTCAGAGCTGGAAACCATAGTGTTCTTCTTTATTTCTCTTATTTCCCCCACCTTCTTCCCTATAAAATTCAGGTCATTCTTCCACAGAAATGTCTCTTCAGCCTGACTCTCCTCTTCTGCATAGAACTGTGTTGATGGTGCAGACCCTCACCACTACTGTCTTCCTTGGGTCACTGCACCAGCCTTACCTCTGGTTTCTCATTCTCTCCACACTGCCATGCAACTCCACACAGCTGCTGGGCTCACTTTTACAAAATCTCAATGTCATCACTTCCCTTTCCCTATTTTAAGCCTTTCTGCGAGCTCCCCTCTTAGATGATGGCATGCCTCCCAGCATGGCTGGTCATCAGAGGAACTGGGGTAGTTTTTAATAACTCAGACTCCCAGGCTCCAAGGCTCTCCTGATTCATTGGTCTGGGCTGACATCCCGGCTATCTGAGGATCAGCCAAGTCTGGGAACACCTAGCAACTGGATTCCAGCCTGCAGGATAAAAACCCAACCCCTCCACTTAGGTGGTTCTCATATGACTTAACCAACCTCCCGAGTCTTGCCTCCCTGTGCCTTCCTCCATGTTCACATAAAACAGGGCTTAGGTTTTTCTAAGTCTGATCTAGTTTCTCGCCATAACTTTGCACCTTCTTTCACCTGAAAGTCCTTTCTCTACCATCCATTGGCAACTCCTAGTCACCCTTAATGACCCAATTGAAAGATCCCCTCTTTTGTCAAGCTTCCCAAGCCCTTGTTGCCCTTCAGCTTGTTATTCCTACTTCTGTAGCACAATTATTACATCACAATGCAATTTACCTATGCAAATATCCAATCTCTCCAAAAGATCAGAAACTAAAGTATCTAATGTCTAGCGACATATAGCAGAAGCCTAGTAAATATTTGTTGGATGAATAATCTTTTAACATATAGGTGCTCTGATTTTACGGATAAAGAAAAAGGCCACAGTGTTTTTGTCATGATCAGAATATGTTTCTGTTCAGAACAAGATTCCAACTAGACTTGGGGCACAGTGGCTCATGCCTGTAATCCCAGCACTTTGGGAGGCCGAGGTGGGCAGATCTCGAGGTCAGGAGATCAAGACCATCCTGGCTAACACGGTGAAACCCCGTCTCTACTAAAAATACAAAAAATTAGCCAGGCATGGTGGTGGGCACCTGTAGTCCCATCTATTCAGGAGGCTGAGGCAAGAGAATGGCGTGAACCCAGGAGGCGGAGCTTGCAGTGAGCCAAGATCGTGCCATTACACTCCAGCCTGGGCAACAAAGCGAGACTCCATCTCAAAAAAAAAAAAAAGAAAAAAGAAAAAATTCCAGCCAGACTCTAGGGGTACAGTTATTCTCTGAGGAACAGGGGACAGCAACAGGCTGTGACTCAGAATAGGACTCTAGACCCAGTGAATTAACCAATGTCCATCAGAAAATGGATTCAATATCACAAAGGATGTAGATATATGGGGCCTGGCACTGCAGGTAATGCCTGTAATCCCAGTGCTTTGGGAGGCCAAGGTGGGAGGATTGCCTGAGGCCAGGAGTTTGAGACCAGACTGGGCAGCATAGCAAGATCCTGTCTCTACAAGAAATTAAAAAGTCAGTCAGGTATGGTGTTATGCCCTGTAGACCCAGCTACTTGGAAGGCTGAGGCAGGAGGATTGCTTGACCCCAGCCTCGAATGAGACTGAAGTGAGCTGTGATTGTGCCACTGCACTCCACCCTAGGCAACAGAGTGGACTCTATCTCTTTAAAAAAAAAAGGATGTAGATATACAGAGCAGAGGGCATCACTTAATGCTGTAAACACACTGGGTTGGGTTAAAAATGTTCACACGTTCTTTGAGGCCCCTCCCAGTAAGAGATGGAGCTTAATTTCCGATCCTTGAATCTTGACTGCCCTTGTGACTTGCTTTGCCCAATAGACGACATGGACATTACAGGGCATGACTTCAGAGTAAGGCCTCGAGAGCTCTTGTAGTTTCTGCTCTTGCCTTCTTGAAATGCTTTTTACATCATGAACTAGAGCCCTGCCCAGCCTCCTGGAGCATGAGAGGCCACATGGAAGAGAGCTGAAGTGCCTTAGCCAACAGCCCCAGGTGGCCACCAGGAAGGTGAGTGAGGCCACCTAAGGTAAGCCTGTCCCCAGCTGAGCTGCCGGCTGATGCAGGTGCACGAGGACACCCAGGCAATACCACATGAGCAGAGCCCAGCTGTCCCTGCCACACCCCACTCTCACTGCAAGGACCCAAAATCATAACCAGTTAAATGAGTGGAGATTTTTGTATCACCGAGTTTTGGGATGGTTTGTTTTGTAATAAAGATAACTGGTACATGGGTTGGTAGGCATAGTAGTGGTATTTTGGAACAAGAATTATTGAACTGACAAGACATTTTCCACAACCTCCATGAGATAAGGGAGGCCCTGATGTTCTATAAGCCTTAGGCAGGATTGGCTTAGGGACTAGGTGGAGTTGAACCTGAAGCTGAGATCCAGATCTCACTCTTGGCAGCTCAGAGACATCGGGGAAAACAGATTGGGCAGAAAGGAGAGTCAACAGTAAGCACCACTAAATTGCACAACCATGTTTTCAGTAATTACCTAGTGTGCTTGAGCATGTGCTGTGTGGACATGGATGCAGTCACTGTCAGATACATAAAAAAGTAGCTGGAACTATAATGGAGTCTTACAGTGTGATCTTTTCCTGATAACTCCTGAAAAATTATATGCTTTTCAAGGTTGTCTTTTATTGTTAGTTTCTTTAGTGGTGTTGCTTTAAGCAGCTTCCTAATGCTACACAAATCCTGAATTGTGTGTAAGAATAATTTGTAGTTATAGCCTAGTTTCTCCGAAACACAGTT